>NC_000015.10:25095055-25398086 GCF_000001405.40 Homo sapiens | reverse complement strand
AATGATTCTCCTGCCTCAGCCTCCCAAATACGTATCATTTTTATTTGTCACCAAACCTGGTGTCTTGACAGGTGAAAGGAGATATGAGTATGAGTGAAACTCTTACAAAGATAGCTGAGATGATCATTGTCAGAGGTTTTAGTATGTCTAACAAAGACAAGGGAGTGATTTGCTGAAATGAGGAGGTGAAGATGTCTCAAATTTAGAAAGGCAAATATTTTGGGGGCCTAGAGTATTGGGATAGAACCATGTACAGGGACATTGAAGTCACTTTGCTGATGATGTAACTGGGGGCAAAGTGGAGGCTTAAATATGTGGGTTTAATTGACCAGAACAGGGAGGGAAAGAGAAGGCATTCGGTTAGATGACATGAGTTTCAAATTACAAGCTGTTTTTTTGTTGTTTTTAATACAGGGAATTTTGCCGTTTATTTTTAATACAGGGAATTAGAAGAATAATGGTGGACTTAGGAGTTTTAGGAGTCACATAAAAGGGTTGCATGATAGGCAGTGCCTTTGGGGAGGAGCCAGGCTTTCATGAAAGCTAAGAAGTTGAGGGGCCATTATGTAAAGTAGTTGAAGATGGGGGATAGCCTATGGGTCTTCAGAAAGCCTCTGGGTTTCTAGAGATCTTTCTGGAAGAGGTTAGGAGGATGAGTCAAGTTTAGAATGGAAGAGGATAGATGAAGCTTGCATTTGGTAGTAAAAACCAAGGATGAATGTGTGAGGCATGATTATTTGTCACAAGTTTCCAGGTGACACTCTGGCACTCAGTCCTTGTTGAATTAAGCAAGCTTTCTTACTGTTTTACTTGGCTGTGTTAAAGTAGAGTAACAGGAAATTAGACTTCCCATAATGTCTCAATAGAGCTGTTTTAAGTTTCTAGCCATAATTGGTATGGGAATATAGCTCTAAACCTTCAAGGCTGCTACCATTTCTCACATTCCTATATCTAGAAACTGTAGCCAGGCAGCACTTTCAGTGAGGTGAGTGGGTCCAGGTTTGTTCAATTACTTTTGTACCAACCTAATACCTTAATAGTATTTGTCCTAATTTACAAAAATAGGTAATGAAGGATTCTTGGTTTTACCTCAGAGCTAACTGTCCATTAATGGCAACATCCCACATTTGTTGAAGCATGATTTTGTTGTTTGTACTTTGACATGCATTTGATATTTTAAGTAACGCCTTGAATGCATCTTAAATAATAATTTATATACAGTTAACACTCCTGTTTGTTTTTAGGAATTCTTAGTGTTGCCAATTTCCTAGGATGTAGAAGAGCATAGTAAAAAAAAAAATTATTAATACTCTTAAACAAGTGTTTTTAACAACTGGACACCATTTTGTAGTTAAGCCTAGAAACAGAACTAATGCAATAACCCAGATCTTTTCATTTATTCGTATGTTTATTTTACCTGGATTTACTTTAGTTTTTTGTTTTGTTTGCTTGTTGTTTGAGATATTGTCTTGCTCTGTCATAAGTGATACAGCTAGAGTGCAGTGGTGTGATCAGAGCTCACTACAACTTTGAATTCCTGGGCTCAAGTGATCCTCATGCCTCAGCCTCCTGAGTAGCTGGGACTACAGGCATGTGCCACCATGCCAGGCTAAAACAGTGTTTTTGTTTGTTTGTTTGTTTTTTGTAGAGACAGGGTCTCACTATGTTGCCCAGGCTGGTCTTGAACTCTTGGCCCCAAAGTAATCCTTCTGCCTTGGCCTCACAAAGTGCTGGGACTACAGACGTGAGCCACCGTGCCTGGCCATGGATTTTGTTTAAATTTATAAATACCGTGTTGTAGAATCTCTTTGTATGTATTAATTTAGACACCTTAGTTTTCTTAATGATTTCATACCAGTTTCTCAGTAACTTCAGATTTTTTTTTTGAGATGGAATCTTGCTCTGTCACCCAGGCTGGAGTGCAGTGGCGCAATTTGGCTCACTGCAACCCCTGCCTCCCAGGATGAAGCAATTCTCCTGCCTCAGCCACCCGAGTAGCTGAGATTACAGGCATGTGCCACCATGCCTGGCTAATTTTGTATTTTTAGTAGAGACAGAGTTTCACCATATTGGCCAGGCTGGTCTTGAACTCCTGACCTCGTGATCTGCCTGCCTCGGCCTTCCAGAGCGCTGGGATTACAGGCTTGAGCCACCGCACCCAACCAGATCAGATTTTTTATGTTTGGTATTTACTCTTTACCTCTAACACTAAGGCTATGTTTCCAGATGTATAACTATAAATGGAGCAGGGGTAAATACAACAAGTGATTTATGGTTCAGTAAAGCAAGTTAGTTTTAATAAATGCTCAGTTTACTGTAAATGTCAGAAATGCCCCAGGACTCTGTCTATTGACAACTCTTCTATTTCCATCGTCAGCTCTTGCCCTCTGAACTGTAGACTGATTTATCCAACAGTTAAGTCTGGTTCTCAAACTTAACCTGTCCTAAGTGGAGCTCCTGATTTTCATCATCCCAAACCTACGTCTCTCATAATATTTTGCCATCTCAGTCAATAACAGCTTTTTTCCCCTCCTGTGCAGCCAGAAGCCTTGGAAGCATCTTTTAATTTCTCTATGTCACATACTCAAATTATTGGTAAATCTTGTTGGCTACACCTTCCAAATACCCATAATTCATTTTATTTTTTTTAACCATTATACTTCTGTTTACTCTGTTTAAAGGCATCATCTTTTGGCAAAAGAAAGAAATTGTTTCCCAGGAGTCTTGTGCTTTACAGTGTATTCTCTAGTAGCAGCCGGAATGATCTTTTTAAAATCTGAGTTAAACCATGTTATTTACTATGCACAGAACTTTTCAGAGGCTTCCCATCTTAAAAGTAAAATCTGGAGATTTACATGGCCCTGTGTGAACTGGCTTCCTTTCATTTCTGTGATCTCTCTACCGCACTTGCTCATCTCTGTCTAAAATGGCTGTATCTTTGTCATCTTAAGGCTTGTAACTATTGTCTGTGACCCTGTGACCCTTCTCTGTGATAATCCATGTGGCTTCCTTCCTCACTTGATTCAGAGAGCTCTCTGCTCAAATGATGCTTTTCCTGACCGGCTGCATCAAAGAATGATCATGTTCTTCTGCATTCCCCTTAACTTGCTGCATTTTTCTTCATGGGATTTAATGTCATTTGACTTCTTGCATATTGATTTCTTTGTTGTTTTGCTTCTTTACCACTAGAATGGAAGCCTAATGACAGTGCCTGGCATACAGTAGGTAGTCAGTAACTACTTCCTACATGAAAGAATGAAGCTAGTAAATTTATGCAAAATGTTTGTTTCTGCCTTTTTAATTATCTTGCAGAAATGTAGGAAGAATTTTTTAGGATCAGTTTATGTATATATATAAACTGATAAGTATGTACACAGCCTGTAGAATGTGGGTAATACCACCTATCATCTTTTTGAGCATTTACCATGTAGCAAGTGACTGTGCTCCATAATCCACATGCATTATCTTGAATTTGATAGGAGAGCTGAGCTTTTTAATCAGAGTAGACCATAGAAATATAGCTTGGATGCTTTTATTTCCTATATGACTTCTTCGGTGTACTTACACATCTATAAGCATTTATGGGTCAAGTAACATACTGAAATATTTTCTGAAGTAAAAGAAATCTCTTTAATCAAATAAGTGGTTCTCCTATAGGTTCTCATATCATATTCTTGGTCTCCAGATTGAGAAGGTCCTTTTGTATGCTTCCAGTATACTCGAAACCAGGAGGTAGTCTGACATCTATTTCCCTTCAAGGTCAAATAATTAGAGAAAGGTTTAATTGACACTGTTATCGAGACAGTATCAGAAGAGAAATTGAAAAATCTCTGTTGAGACTCTGTAATTTGCTAGGTTCTGAGGATACGACAGTAAATAAGTTATTAGGTCATATACCTCAGCTTCCCATTTAATTAATAGGCAGTTATTATATATAATAGAATAGGTACTGGTTGGTATGAGACTACAGAGGAAGAATACCTAATTATCTTAAAAGTGGTATATAAGCTGAAACCTTGAGGATGCTTGGGAATAGCTAAGAATCATAGTGTTCTAGGCAGGAAGAATAACACCTGGAATCAGAGAAGACAGCAGAACAAGTCCACTGAGTAGTAAGAAGTTCCGTATTGCAGTAATGTAGAGTTAGCTGATGGGAGAAGGTGTGAAAAAATGCATTTGGATATAGAAAGCCAGGAGCACGCTAAGGCCCTTTGCTTTCTTCTGACAGACACAGGAGCCCATGAAAGGCATCACGTGTGGAAGGAAGTGACACGAGTCATAGTCTGCCCTGCTTTTCTACCACCTGAAGCATCATATAAACCTATATCTTCTGTTTCAAATGTAAGGAAACATACTTCTAGTTCACAGTAGGGATAGTTGAATGGATGAACTGTTTCTGGCTGAATCTTCTCAAAGTAGAATGAGCAAAACATGGCTATATTATGAGATTATCTAAGGAAAGATTTTTATAATCATGTGAATTTTGAATTTCTTTATATCTTAATTATTCCAAGAGATTTTTGGGAACATTAATGAGAATAGTTTACCTTTAGTACATAGAACTTCTTGTCAGCTATAAATGAGGATCAAACCCAAAAGAGATTAACAAAAATAAAAGGGATGCTATTTCCCCAAATTAGCAGAACTTTTTGATTCACCGAGTTCTTTGTTTTTTAACTGCTGTCTGCCTCTTAACATAATTGAGTATTCAGTGATATAATATAAATAAATCACTTACTAAATGCTGATGAACGCTTGTTTTTACTAACATCTCAGCTTGTAGCATATCTTGTTGCCCATACCAGAAACCCTACCCATTACCTCTGGCTCTTCCAGCTTATTTACCTCTTACAAACTACTTATTTTAAATATTTCCTGGGTCAATTTCATCTTTTTTTTTCTTCCTACTGCTACATTATTTGTCCGGACTATTACAGTAGTCATTACCTAACTGGATTGCTTGCCTCCAGTTTTGCCCACTTTGGTTTCAGTTATTGAAAAGGCAAATTTTGTCAGTCACTTAACCTGCTTAAAACCCTTCAGTGACTCCTTGTGTTTTAGTTCTTATCTAATGGTTTATGAATGTAGTGGGTTACGAATCTTCCGGAAGAGTGCATTTGCACTCCTGAAGTGTGCATGTATTTTTATGAGGAGAAGATCTTTAGCTTTTATTAGATTACTCCTCTTTTGGCTAAAAAAAGAATTACTTATCATGGCTATTGAGGTCTTCCATGATCTGGCTTTTCCCTGCCTCTCCATTTTCATATTTTTGAAACTTTTCTTGAACTTTAGGCTCTTGAAGTGCTTGGAATTGTCTTATAATATCATGTTTTCAGGCCCCTGTGCTTTTACTCATTTTCCTCTATCTGAAACATTCTTCCCCTGTCTGAAACATTCTTCCCACCCATAGTGTCATCAGCTCCTAGTCATCTTTTGTGATTCACCTCTCCTAAGTTGCCTCTCTTTTTATTGCTATTCCTCTGTAGTCATCTCTGTGATATTGAAATCGTGGCTTTCTCTTTCTTTAGACATCATAATTCCTTGAAGAGCCCTTTTTATGTAGCCTGACAAGCAGAATTTATACTGAAGTAGACATTTGGAAGTCATTTAGTTATTGCTCAATCCTTGAAAGATGAAACTGTCCAAAGGGAAATTTAAAAGGGAAAGTATCTAATAGCTGATCCCTGGAGAATACAAATGTCTCTAGATTTGGAAGGGAAGTCTCTGAAAAACAGCCAGAGAGAAGGGAGGAAACCAAGAAATAGTGTCCTAGACCCAAAAGTCAATAATTTCCAAAAGGTCTATATTTCTTAGGAAGGCCAAGTAAAATAAGTAGTGAAAAGTGATGACCTGACTAGAGCAGATTCTTCATTTCCAGTTACAGAAGCTAGGTTATAGGTACAGTAAGCTCTGGACATGTTCTTTTCCCACATGGAACGTTATTCGTGTTCTCCACTGCTGCTTTGAACTATTCCTTTTACTCTCTCAGCATAAAAATCCCTGCTCCTTTGAAGCTTATGCCTTCTGGTTTTGTCTTCCTCTGTCTGCCTTCAGTGAGCTATCAGTTTCTTCTCGGTTTTTGAGGACTGCTACCTGAACTTATTCTTCTTCACTCTTTCCCAAATCTGCTGCCATCTTTATTTATATGATTAACCCCTCAGTCCCTAGCAAGTCAAATTCCCATCCGTTTTTATCTACAGTAATGTTCACCTCTGCATCACTGCTGCTTCCCATGTCTACAGGCATGCCAACTCAAAACTGTTTTACCCCAAAAGCTTCAGTGAAAACACCTTACCTCAGGTTGCCGTCTTTGAATGCTTTTCTACTATCTTAAACTTGTTTTCTTTCATTGCGCCTTTTCTTCCTTCTCTTAGAGACTTGTCCTATGGCTCTTCTACTGTCTTCCAGCTACAATTCCCTCTTGTTCCTGACATGTACTGCTCAGAGCCAGGAGATGGATAAGTAGTAGTATTTCACATGCACTTTTTTCTCTGGGGAGCAGTAGTCATACAATAATTGATTAAGATAAAACAGGTTTTTATCAGTTTATATAAGAGGTAAAGAAAACAATGGGGTAGAGTTTTAAAAATTGTCAAAAACAACACATTTTACCATATTAATGATTTGAAGTGTACGGTACAATTGTGGTAACTGTGCACATTGTTGTGCAGCAGATCTCTAGAACTTTTTCATCTTGTAAAACAGAAACTCTACATTCATTGAACAACTCTTCTTTTCCCCCTTCTTCCTATTCCTTGGCAAATGCCATTCTACTTTTTGCCTCTAAAATTTGACTGTTTTGGCTACTTCATGTCAGTGGAATCATTAAGTATTTGTCTTTTGTTGACTGGCCTATTTCACATAGCAATGTCCTCAAGGTTCATTTGTGTTGTAGCATATTACAGAATTTCTTTCTTTTCTTTTAGGCTGAATAACATTTTGTTATATATGTATACCACATTTTCTTTAACCATTTGTTGATGGATGTTTAGGTTCCTTCCACTTCTTGAATATTGTAATGTTGAAATAAACATGGGTATACAAATATTTTTTTGAGAACCTGTTTTTAATATATTTGGAAGTATACCCAGGTGTAGGATTACTGGATCATATGTATTCTATTTTTTTTTAGATTTTTTTTTTTTTTACAGGAGTTCTAGGTTCACAGAATTGAGAGGAAGGTACAGAGATTTCCCCTGTACCTCCTTCCACACACATGTATGGATTCTCTCATAGCCAGTGTGCATCTCCCACCAGAGTGGTACATGTCTTTCTGATGAACCTATATTGATACATCATAATTACCCAAAGTCCGTAGTTTATATTAGGGATCATTCTTAGTGCTGTACGTTCTGTGGCTTTGAACAAAGTACAATGACATGTATCTACCATTATATCATACAGAATGTTTTCACTGCCCCAAAATCCTCTGTGTTCTGCCTATTTATCTTTCCTTCCCTCCCACTCCTTGGCAATCACCGATCCTTTTACTGTGTCTCTAACTTTGCCTTTTCCAGCATATTATATACTTGTAATCATACAGTATATAGCCCTTTCAGCTTGACTATTTTTACTTACTAATATGCATTAAAGTTTCTTCCATGTCTTTTCATAGGTTGTTAGTACCTCTCTTTTTCCATTTTCTGGACATATCACAGTTTGTGAATGAATATTCACCTAATGAAGGACATTGTGGTTGCTTCCACATTTTGCTAATTATGAATAAAACTGCTGTAGATATCGGTGTGCAGGTTTTTGTGTGGACTTAGGTTTTCAGCGACTTTCTGTAAATACTAGGGAGTGCAATTGCTGGATCTTATGGTAAAAGTGTTTAGTTTTGTAGGAAACATCCAAACTGTCTTCTAATATGACGCTATCCTTTTACATTTTTCACCAGCAATGAGTGAGTGTTTCTTTTGCTCTACATCTTCACCAGTATTTGGTGTTATCAGTGTTCTGAATTTTGTCCATTCTGATAGGTGTGTAGAGGTATCTTATAATTTTAATTTGTGTTTCTCTGATGCCATATGATGTGTGGGACATCTTTTCATATGCTGAATTGCCATCTGTATATCTTTGGTGAGGTGTCTGTTAAGGTTGTTGGCCAATTTTTTAATTGGGTTGTTTGTTTTCTTGTGGAATTTTAAGAGTTCCTTACACTGTCTCTGTCTGTCTTGTCTGTCTGTCTGTCTGTCTGTTGAGACAGAGCCTCGCTCTGTCACCCAGGTTGCAGTACAGTGGCACAGTCTTGGCTCCCTGCAACCTCTGCCACCTGGGTTCAAGTGATTCTCCTGCGTCAGCCTCCCGAGTAGCTGGGATTATACCCGTGCACCACCACACCTGGCTAATTTTTGTATTTTTAGTAGACACGGGGTTTCACTATGTTAGCCAGGCTGGTCTCGACCTCCTGACCTCAGGTGATCCACCCACCTTGGCCTCCCAAAGTGCTGGGATGTGAGCCACCACACCCAGCCTCCTTACACATTTTAGTTAATAGTTCTTTATCAGATGTGTCTTATGTAAATATTTCCTCCCTATCTGTGGCTTGTCTTTTCATACTCTTGACATTGTCTTTTGCAAAAGACAACAATTTTTAAGAAACAAGTAGACAATTTTAATGAAGTCTGGCTTATCAGTTCTTTTCTTCATGGTTGGTACCTTTGGTGCCGTATCTAAAAGTCATCACCAAACCCAAGATCTAGATTTTTTCTTATGTTATCCTCTAGGAGTTTTATAGTTTTGAGTTTTACATTTAATTCTCTGGTTTATTTTGAGTTTATTTTTGTGAAGGGTGTAAGACCTGTGTCTAGACTCTTTTTTTTTTTGCATGTGGATGTTCAGTTATTACCACTGTTTATTGAAAAAGACTATTTTCTTCATTGTATTGCCTTTGCCTCTTTGTCAAATACTGCCATTGCTCCTTTGACTATGTGGGTCCATTTCTGGGCTCTCTATTCTGTTTCGTTGGTCTGTTTTGTCAGTTCTTTTGTCAGTACCACACCATCTTGACTACTGTAGCTTTACAGTAAATCTTGAAATCAGTAGTGTCCATCTGACTTTTTCTGTCAATATTGAGTTGTCTCTCACGGGTCATGGAATAGCTCTTCATTATTTAGTTATTTGATTTCTTTCATCAGAGTTCTAAAACATTTTTCCTCATATATCTTGTACTAATTTTGTTAGATCTGTACTTAAATATTTCATTTTGGGACACGCTAATGTAAAATGGTATTGTGTTTTTAATTTCAAATTCAACTTATGCATTGCTGGTTTACAGGAAAGCTATTAACTTTTTTATATGAACCTTGTATCCTGCAGCTTTGCTATAATCACTTATTAGTTCTAGGAGGTTTTTGTTGTTTTTCTTTTTCTTTTTTTCAATTCCTGTCTATGTTCTACACATATAGTCATTTCATCTGCAAACAAAGGCAGTTGTATTTTTTTGTTCCCCGTTAGTATACCCTTTATTTCCTTTTCTTGTCTTAGCTAGGACTTCCAGTATGGAGTGGTGAGGTGGGGATATTCTTTTCTTGTTCCTGATCTTAGTAAGAAAGTTTCTAGTTTCTCATCATTAAGGATGGTGTTAGCTGTATGTTTTTTGTAAACGTTCTTTATCAAGTTGAAGGTGTTCCCTCTATTCCTAGTTTACTAGTTTCTATCATGAGTGGGTGTTAAATTTTGTCACATACTTCTCTCCATCTATGGTATGGTCATGTGATTTTTCTTCTTTAGTCTGTTGATATGGTGAATTGCATTAATTGATTTTCCAATATTGAACCAGTCTTGCATACCTGGGATAAATCCTACTTTGTGCTGGTGTATACTTCTTTTTATACATTGTAGTAAAATTTAGTTTGCTAATACTTTGCTAATACAAAGATTTTTGCATCTTTGTTCATGACAAATATGGGTCTGTAGTTTTCTTTTCTGATAATGTCTTTGTCTGGTTTGGGTATTAGAGTAATGCTGACTTCATACAATGAGATAGGAGCATCTCCTTTGCTTCTGTCTTCTGAAGGAGATTGTAGAGAACTGGTGTGGTTTCTTCCTTAAATGTTTAGTAGAATTCATCAGAGAATCCATCTGGGCCTGATGCCTTCTCTTTTAGAACATTATTAATTATGGATTTAATTTCTTTAATATATGCTTTTTAATCAAGATTATTTCTTCTTAGAGTTCTAATAGATTGTGTCTTTTAAGGAATTGATTCATTTCATCTAGGTTACCAAATTCGTGGCCGTAAAGTTGTTCATAATATCCCTTGATTATCCTTTTAATGTCCATGAGATCTGTAATGATGTCCACTCTTTTCATTCTGATATTAGTTATTTTGTCCTTTGTCTCTTTTTCTTAGCCTGGCTAGAGGCTTATTGATTTTATTGATCTTTTCAGAGAACTAGTTGATTTCTTTGATTTTTCTCTATTGATATCTTGTTTTCAATTTCATTGATTTCTGCTCTAATTTTTATTACTTCTATTTGGATTTAATTTGCTTTTTCTAGTTTCATAAGTTGGTAGCTCAGATAATTGATTTTTAGATCATTCTTTTCTTTTCTTTTTTTTTTGAGATGGAGTCTCGCTTTGTCGCCCAGGCTGGAGTGCAGTGGCTCGATCTCGGCTCACCGCAAGCTCCGCCTCCCGGGTTCACGCCATTCTCTTGCCTCAGCCTCCCAAGTAGCTGGGACTACAGGCGCCTGCCACCACGTGTGGCTAATTTTTTTGTATTTTTAGTAGAGACGGGGTTTCACTGTGTTAGCCAGGATGGTCTTGATCTCCTGACCATGTGATCCACCCGCCTCAGCCTCCCAAAGTGCTGGGATTACAGGCGTGAGCCACAGCGCCCGGCCTAGATAATTCTTTTCTAATAAATGCATCAGTGTTGTATGTTTCTTTCTAAGCGCTGCTTTCACTGTATCCCACAAATTTGGATAAGTTGTGTTTTCATGATATTTTCAATTTATAATGGTATTGGGACACAACCCAATAAGTAAGTTTAGGAGCATTTGTATGCATAAGCACAATTGTTGACATTATTTTGAACAAATTCTTATTTGTTAGATCAATTAAGTATAAGAAAAATAAAAGGTTTTATTTTACTTTCAGTGTTTCCTTCTTTTGATGCTCTATATATGTAGATTTCAGTTTCTGAACTTCCCAACACTTATTGCAAGGCAGGTGTACTGACAACAAATTTCCTTAATTTTTGTCTGAGAAAGTGTTTCTTTTTAACTTTTGAATAATAATCTCACAAGGTAGAGTGCTAGGTTTATGGTTTTTTTTTCTCTCAACACTATGAATATTTCACTCTTTTTCTTGTTGGAAGTCACATGTATTTTTTCTTTTTTTTCTTTTTTTCCTCTACAGGTAAGGTGATTTTTTCCCTCTGGCTTACTTCGGATTTTTTTCTTATCCTTGAATTTCTGTAATTACAACGTTTTATGCCCAGATGTAGTTTTTTGGCATATTTTCAAGCTCAGAGATTCTTCATCCATGCCCAGCCTACTAATAAGCCCATCAAAGGCATTCTTCATTTCTCTTACAGTGTTCTGTTTTTTGTTTTTGTTTGTGTTTTATCTCTAGCACTTCCTTTTGGTTCTTAGGATTTTCATCTCTACTTTTTTAACATGTTGTTTACTCAGTTCGTTAGGGCCCTTAGCATATTAATCATAGTTGTTTTAGATTCCAAGTTTGATAATTCCAAATCCCTGCTGTATCTGGTCCTGGTGCTTGTTTTTTACCTTTTATTATGCCCTGTAATTTTTTTCTTGATAGCTTGGACATGATGTACTAGGTAAAAGGAACTGTTGTAAATGAGCATTTAGTAATGTGGTTGTAAGGTGTAGGGAGAGGAGAAGAGTTCTGTAGTCTTATGATTAGGTCAGTCTTTTTAGTGAGCTTATGCCTCTGGACTGTGAACTTCACAAGTGTTTCTCAATCCCACCCCTCCCTCATTCCCTTAGTTAGAACAAGATAGCTATAATGGCCTGAAGTTGGGTTATTTCTCTTCCCCCACATCATTTTGGCTTTGCTACAACCCCAGCAGGTTAGGCTCTGGTTAACTAGTTTCTCCTGAGGACAAACCTTGTTAAGACTGGAATAGTCTAGTGTACTTGAAAATCATTTCTCTTTGCCTCCCCTGCTGAGGGTTGAGGATTTTTCTCCTATATTTACTGTGAGAAGCTGGTCAATTGCCTGGATGTAAAACTTAGAAAATTGTAGGGCTCCCCCTATAATTGGGTAACTCTGGAGTTTTTAGCTTTCAGAGTTGTCCACACTGAGCCTTCATCAATTTGTCTATTACACTTCAGGATTTCCTACCCCGTGGAGGTTTCTGCTTGTGTTTTTCATCTCAGATAAATGGTGATGCTATGTGTTCACCTGTTCTCTGCTCTCACAGGCAGTCATTTGCCCTGTGACCTCACTTATCCTATCTCAGATTTGTTTATTTTTAAGTTTGTCATTTTTTACTTGTTGTTAGGATGGAGTGGTGACTTCCAAGCTCTTCATATGTGGAACTGGAGGTAATTCTATTTCAAATTTTTTGAGGGACCTTCATGTTGTTTTCCACAGTGCCTGGCACCATTTTACATTTTCACCAGTGGTGCATAAGGGTTCCAGTTTCTCCATATCTTCACCAATACTTATTTTCTGTTTTTTTAATGGTGGCCATCCTAATGGTTTCAGATGATGTATCATTGCAGTTTTAATTGACATTTCTCCCTACTGATCAGTGATGGTGAGAATCTTTTCATGGGCTTATTGCCCATTTGTATATATTCTTTGGAAAAATGACTATTCAAGTCCTTTGTCCACTTTTTAACTAGATTTTTTGTTGTTGAATTGTAGGAGTTATTTATATATTCTGGATATTAACCAAATAACAGATACATGGTATAGAAATATTTTCTCCTGTTTTGTAGGTTGCCATTTTACTCCATTTACTGTTTGCTTTGTAGAAATTTTTGAGTTTATGTATCCCCAGTTTGTCTATTTTTGCTTTGGTTGCTTGTGCTTTTGGTGATCTATTCAAGAAATCATTGCCAAGTCCAATGTCATGAAGCTTTTTCTCCATGTTTTCTTGTAGTAGTTTTATAATTCGATGTTTTAAGTTTAGGTCTGTAATCCAGCTTGAGTTCATCTTTGTATATGGTGTGAGATAAGGCTCCAACTTCATTCTTTTGCATGTTAGATTCCAGATTTCCCAATACAGTTTGTTGAAGAACCTCTTTTCCCTATTTCTGTGTTCTCTCTTCTGCTCACTTGGTCTGTATATCTGTCTTTATGCCAGCACCATAGTGTTTTGATTACTATAGCTTTGCAATATCTTTAGAAATCAGGGAATGTGAGGCCTCTAGCTTTGTTTTTTGTCCAGATTGTTACGGCTATTCAGGGTCCTTCAAGATTCTGTATTAATTTTAAGATTTTTTTTTTCTGTTTCTGTAGAAAATGCCATTGGGATTTTGATAGGGATTGCTTTGAATTTGCAGATTGCTTTGGGTAGTATTGCCATCTTAACAGTACTAAATCTTCCAATTCATAAACTTGGATGTCTTTCCATTTATTTGTATTGTCTTTAATTTCTTTCAGCATTGTTGTATAATTTTCTTTTTCTTTTTTTTTTTTTTTTGAGACAGAGTCTCACTCTGTCACCAGGCTGGAGTAGAGTGGCGTGATCTTGGCTCACTGCACCTCTGCCTCCCAAATTCAAGTGACAACTCCTGCCTCAGCCTCCCGAGTGGCTGGGATTACAGGCGCGCGCCACCAAGCCCAGCTAATTTATTTTGTATTTTTAGTAGAGACAGGGTTTCACCATGTTGGCCAGGATGGTCTCAATCTCTTGACCTCGTGATCAGCCCACCTTGGCCTCCCAAACTGCTGGGGTTACAGGCGTGAGCCACCACGTCCGGCCTATGTTGTTTAATTTTCAATGTACATGTCTTTCATTTGCTTGGTGAAAATATTCCCTAAGTATTTTTTACTCTTTGATTTCATTTTAAATGGGTTTAAAAAATTAATTTCCTTTTTGGATTCTTCATTTTTAGTATTTAGAAATGCAACTCTTTTCTTAATATTGGTTTTTATATCCTGTAACTTTACTGAATTCCTTTATTCTAACGGTTTTTTTTCTTTTTGGTAGGCTAGAGTTTTCAACATAAAAGATCATGTCATTTGCTAACAGAAGTAATTTTACTTCTTACTTTTCTCATTTAATACCTTTCATTTCTTTTTCTTGCCCAGTTGCTAACTCTGGCAGGATGTCTAACAGTATGTTGAATAGAAGTGGTGAATGTGTGCATTCTTGTTCCATTTGTGATCTTAGAGGGAAAACTTTCAGTTTTTCATCATTGAATAACATTAGCTGTGGTCTTTCTATATATGGCCTTCATTATGTTGAAGTAATTTCCATATCTTTCTAGCGAATTGAGCGTTTTTGTTTTTGTTTTTTTGAGACAGAATCTTGCTCTTGTCACCCAGGCTGGAGTGCAATGATGCTATCTCACCTCACTGCCAGCT
Organism: Homo sapiens; assembly: GCF_000001405.40. Classification (NCBI taxonomy): domain Eukaryota; kingdom Metazoa; phylum Chordata; class Mammalia; order Primates; family Hominidae; genus Homo; species Homo sapiens. The sequence continues at coordinate 25,383,572 of NC_000015.10, read as the reverse complement.
CCGCCTCCCGGGTTCTCAAGTGATTGTCCTGCCTCAGCCTCCCGAGTAGCTGGAATTACAGGCGCCCACCACCATGCCCGATTAGTTTTTGTATTTTTAGTAGAGACAGGGTTTCACTGTGTTGGCCAGGCTGGTCTCACACTCCTGACCTCAGGTGATCCACCCACCTTGCCCTTCTAAAGTGCTGGGATTACAGGCATGAGCCACCCTGTCTGGCCTTTTTTTAAATCCTAAAAGGGTGTTGATTTTTGTCAAATGCTTCTTCTGAGTCAGTTGAGATTATTGGTTTTTGTCCTAAGAATGCAGTGTATTAAAGTGATTTTTTTGTATGTTGAACCATCCTTGGATTTTATGAATAAATTCCAGTTGAGAATTTATGAAATATAATCTTTTTAATGCATTGTTGAATTCTGTTTCTTGGTATTTTGTTGATTTTTTTTGCATCAGTATTTATTAGGGATTCTTTTTTCTTGTAAATTTGTCTGATTTCGATATCTAAGTAATGCTTACCTCATAAAATGATTTTGAAAGTGTTCTGTCCTCTAGTTTTTTCAAAGAGTTTGAGAAGGGTTGTTAGTTTTTAAATGTTTGGTAGAGTTTTCAGTGAAGCCCTGGCGTTGTTGGACAGTTACTGATTCAATCTCTAATAGTTATAGGTCCATTCAGAAGTTGTATGTATTTGTGGCTCAGTCTTGGTGGGTTTGATGTGTCTATCCGTTCTCAAAGGTTATCAAATTTTTTTGGGTCATAGTTGTTCATATTAGTCTTTTAAGGTCCTATTTATTTCTGTGGCAGCAGTTGTTGTATCGCCTTTCTAATTTCCAGTTGTTGCTGTTTGTGTCTATTCTCTTCATTTCTTAATCTAAGAATTTGCCAGTTTTGTTGATCTTTTCAATAAAACAGCTACTCCTAATTTTGTTGATTTTTTTTCTATTGCAAAAATTTTCTATTTTTCTCTATTTTATTTTAGCTGTAATTTATTTTTATTTTTTTTATTTTTTGGTAAGTTTGAGTCTCATTTGTTCTTCATTTCCTAATTCCATAAGATGTAAAGTTAATTTGTTGATTTAAGGTTTTTCTTCCTTTCTAACTGTGAAATATGACACTGTAAAACAGATTTTCATTTTACAGATGAATTATGTAAATATTTAGTTCTACAATTTTACTTTTTTTTTTATCATATATCACGCATTCTGGATATTGAGACTATAAAAATGAAAAAAACAGTTCTTTTCTTTTCTTTTTTTTTTTTGAGACAGAGTCTCGCTCTTTTGCCCAGGCCACAGTGCAGTGGCTCTGTCTCGGCTCACTGCAAGCTCCGCCTCCCGGGTTCATGCCATTCTTCTGCATCAGCCTCCCAAGTAGCTGGGACTATAGGCGCCCACCACGGCGCCCAGCTAATTTTTTTTTGTATTTTTAGTAGGGACGTAGTTTCACCATGTTAGCCAGGATGGTCTCGATCTCCTGACCTCATGATCCGCCTGCCTCGGCCTCCCAAAGTGCTGGGATTAGAGGCGTGGCGTGAGCCACTGCACCCGGCCATAAAACAGTAATTGAAGGTTAACCTATATTTCAAACAACTGAAAATACTGATTTGTTCATATTTATTTTTTCATGAAAATCGTCTTGTTCTATATTTAATAGGTTTTTGTTCGGTTCATGGTACTAATGAGTTCACAATTGTAGGTTTAGTCTTGAAATAATCTAAATTCACTTCATCCCATTGTAACAGACCCTACATCATACTGAATATAGTTGTGTCACAGATGTCTCTTACAGTCTATTTCTACAAGGCCTAGAACTATTTAGGATACCGTTGCTCACTCTTACAAATTTTAACATTAAAAATAACTTTGAGATGGAATGGAGTTTTGCAACGTCTCAGAACAAAGAGACTCCACTTACGAGAAATTACTAAGCAGTGGTTCCTAGCTTTATAGACTAATTATATAAGCCTTCAGTTGTTTCTATTTTATATCTGTTTTTTAGATTCCTCACATGTTCATTCTGCTTTACCTTCTGTATAATATAAAGGTCACTCTACTTACAGTCACATTTTCCTTTTAATCTTTCCGTTTTTATTTTTTATTCTTTGCTTTGTTCACCATTAGTTTTTATATTGCATCTCACAGTTCATGTTTCTTTTTTGTCATTTCTGATTCTAATTGTAATTCTAATCTTACTTGTTTGGCGTTCACTGTCACATCTTCACTTTCTGGCAGCTGTTTCTATGGCTTCATCTTCTTAGTGCTTGTATTCATTGCTTATATTCCAGTTGTCTTGTAAATTCATTTTTTTAGTGAACTAAGCCAGACACGGAAAGACAGATATCACATGTTCTCACTGATATGTGGGAACTAAAAAAACATTGAACACAAATTTTACAGCTGACACACATATGCCTGCCACCTAGATTCTGCCATTAATACTTACATTGCTTTATCGTATAACCATCCTTGTATCCATCAATCCATCTTAATTTTTATGCCTTTCAAAGTTAATTGCTAACATTAGTACACATCCCTCTAGGTGAAACCATTTTTAAACTGATTGCTGTCAAGTTGTCTAGAGTAAACTCTGATCTTCCAAGTATGACTTATTCCATAGGACTTCTGTTTGTAGCACTGTCCCATTAATTCAATCATAGAAATAAATAATTGGAAAGTATTGTCTGTTTTAAATGGATAAGTATTTTCATGTGTCTGACTTTAGAGGACTTTTACTAGAAGGTCTCACTTGACCTTCATTGCTGACTAAATAAGAAAAGTTTGTTTTATTTTAAAAATCAACACATTATAACATACTTTGTTTTTTGAGTAATAAGAAAAGTCAATGGAATGTGAAGAAATTATAGCAAGTAAGCTGTTGTTCCTCTTCTAGGAATTTTGATTATGAACAGCTGATAAGGTATTACTAAGGGATCTCATCAGGGAAATTCCTTTCTTTCCTTCTTTTTCTTTTGCATCCTCTCCCTTTCCTCACTTTCTTTTCCCCTTTTTCCCTTTTCCCCTCTCCTCTTCTTTTCTTTAATAGTACTTGGGGAAAGGTATACCTTTTATTTTACGGATTTGCTCAGGGTAAAGAGAGAGTTAAGAGGCCAAATGATTAGATGGCAGGGTCACTGGAGGGCAGAGATAAATAATAGATCCTAAACTAAGGGTTGGCAAACATTTTCTGTAAAGGGCAGGTGGTATTTGTTTTAGGTTTTGCAGGCCTAAAGTACTCAACTCTGCCATTGTAGTATGAAAAACAGCCATAAACTATATAGTATATTGTATTAGTCCTTTTTCACGCTGCTGATAAAGACGTACCTGAGACTGGGAAAAAAAAAAGAAGTTTAATTGGACTTACACTTCCACATGGCTGGGAAGGCTTCAGAATCATGGCGAAAGGTGAAAGACACTTCTTGCATGGCAGTGACAAGAGAAAATGAGAAGGATGCAAAAGCGGAAACCCCTGATAAAACCATCAGATCTCGTGAGACTTACTACCACAAGAACAGCATGTGGGAAACTGCCCCCATGATTCAGATTATCTCCCAGGGGGTCACTCCTACAACACATGAGAATTATGGGAGTACAATTCAAGATGAGATTTGGGTGGGGACACAGAGCCAAAGCATTATCATATATAGTATATTTATAAATCAATGAACTTGGGTATGTTCCAGTACACTTGATGGATACTGGAACTTGAATTTCTTATAATTTTCACGTTACAAACTATTATTATTTTTCAAACTTTTTCCAGCCATTTAAAAATGTAAAATATTCTAAGCTTGAGAGACATAAACAGGTGGTGGACTCGATTTGACTTACGAGCTATGATTTGGTGACCCATATGGTACAAGGATTTCCCTTGCGCAGGAACTATACCAAAAAGTCGTTATTAGTGTATACTTTTCCAACGTAGAGGCCCTTTTATGTGCTCTAAATTTTGTATGCCTTTTACATATCCTAAATTAGATAGTGATGCAGATGAGGTCAGATAAATTAAGGTGTCATTGGAGTGAGGAAAAAAGAAGAATGCTTAATATAGTTGATTCCACCATTAACTTGGAGGTTCTGGCATGGCTTCCTTTAGTCCTGTCTCATCAGTGTAGCTGCTATTTGTTAAACTTGGCACAGAAAGGCAGATCAAATATAGAGGGCTACTTTCAGATCCTCCTCTTAATAGTTATTAAAAGCTCAAGTTTAGTAGCTGAGTTCAAATCTCTTATTAGATGTATGACTTATGTAATTTCTCTGAGCATCAGCAGAATGAAGGTTTATAGTGCTAACTCATACACTTGTGAGGGTGATAGTAACAATTACAACAATAATAGTAGTAGCTAACACTTTCATAGTGCTTAGTATGTGCCAGGCAATGTTCTAAGCACTTTATATATATTAACACATTTAATTTTCTCACAATTGGTAATGTGAAGAAGAATAATACTCTCACCATGATAATGCTCGTAGATACTACCATTTAAATTACGAGGAAACTTACGTCCAGAAAGATCAAGTAATTCATTCAGGGTCACATAGTTAATTAAGAGGTAGAGCCATTATGTGAACTTGGGCATCTGGCCTCAGAATGCGAGCTCTTAACTGTTAAGGTTTATTCCCCTCTAAAGTGGGAATGTCTATAAAATGCATAGCACATAGGTCCTCAACAAATTAGAGAGAAATTAACTTTGCAGAATATAGTGGTTCCATTTCCTCAAGAAACTTGGTCTGCCTTTGTGGTACCAGATAGATGCATAAATGTGAGGTTCACGTTATGATTCTTCAGATTTTTTTCCCAGTTGCACATTAGTTATGAGATTTTTTTCCATAGAATTCTTCAGTATTACTCATGTTAAAAAATAATTATTTTGAAATGAATCACCTTCTGCAAAACAATATAGTCAAAATGACTTAGACTCTGAAGCTGAAAGACTCCTGGACTCCTATTCTTGTCTTGGTTCTGTACTTTCTTTGAGATCTTGGTTTCGTGATTTGACTCCAGTTCTATTTCTCTCTTTGGCTGTGGACTGAAGATAATCCTCAATGTCATGGTATTCAAATGAGATAACCCATGTCAAAGTGCCCCGCAGTGTGTGTAATAAGTTATCAGGCATCCAGCAAATACTAGTTTCTTGCTCACCTCCCTATTACATAAAATAACTTTAAAATTAGAACTGAAGGGACTCATAAAGCTGGGAAAACTGAGGCCCAGACAATTGTTTCCCTAGGATCCTACAGCTGCTTAGGGACAGAAGGATGACACTTAATGCAGATCTTCTGATTTTTCAGTCTCGTTCTGTTTGTGCTGATCACTCTCCTCCTATGTAGTATATAAAGAAGTACTATGTATCTGACAAGTTTTGGGGAGGTTATTTTAGTATAAAAGCTCACATTAAAAATATCTATTTTGGTATTTTGACTTTTGTAATTTTTTTAAAAATCAGAGACAATTTAGTAAATCTCGGGGCCATTCAAATCATGTATATGAAGTTTTATAACTGCTATTGTTTTCCCCTTATAGTTATTAATTTTTAATATGCAAGTAGCATCCTTACTATGGAAAGAATAAATAAGAAATCAAAAGATGGAAGAAGTTTTAAAACTCACTTAATCACATCATCCAGAGAAAATGCTATTAATGCTTTGAAATAACAATGGGTTCATCCTACACCTGCTACTTTTTAACTGACTTTTGTCAGTTAGTGATATATCAGGAAGACTAGGCAGTTCTTTGTCGAATTCAAATCTTGATAGTTTTTATTTTATTGTGTGACCTATTATCAGTTCATTTAAGTAATCTTTTATTAGACATGTTTTTTTCAGATATAGAAACAATGCATTTTTGTAAAATTGTCAAATTATTTTCCACAAGTAGGATCTCATTCACACGGTATTCGTGTTTTTAAGACTTTCGATACATGTTCACTGTTTTCCTCCAGAAAGGAAATACCTACTTACATTTTCACCAGGGAAGTCACTGTAGTTTGGGAGAACATGACATTATCTCCCTTTCTTTACTGAAGGGTAGCAATATATATTTTAAATTTTCTAGATTCTGCATTTCCATTTTATTTTTACATGTTTTCACTTTCATATTTTGCATAGTGCTAAATCTGTGATAACAGTTTTTAATTTTCAGGTGGGGTTTATAGCTTCATAGATAGCAAAATGTCTTTAAGTCATGTTTATGCAATTTTTACATGTGCTTTGTGGGTTTTCTTTTTTCTCTGTTTGCATGCAGTGAGTGGTAAATTTGCATGGAACATTTGAAAAATAAGCACCAGAATGAATTGAATGTGTGTGAATTATCACTTTTTGTCACCTACCTGGACAGAGAGTGAAAGTTCTTCTGTTGAGACAAAATTGGATCTCGTGTGTTTCTTCACTTACTTGCTGCCTTGTTAATTGTTGAGTTTCTCATGATTAGCAAGATGTAAACTCTGGCATTGGTCATCTAGTCCTACATGTTAGATAATTCTGTGAATGTTTTGAAAATCAGCTGAACTATTTTTCTTATAATTTTGATTCTTTGTAGTTGTTATTTCCATGCTTGTGAATTTGGGACCAAAAGGAATGGCTATGACTTATGTTTCTTTGGATCCAGTAGTTTATTCTACTGAAATTATGGTAATTTTATCAGTTAGTAGAAGCATAGACTCTTTAGTGTTGAATATAATGTCATCTAACTTCTTACATGGTCACATAATTCCTCCCTCAGTTTTGGTAGCTCTCCTGAAACAGCCATAATAGGACATTAATCTGTGTACTTTAAGTTGACAGAGTAAAAGGAATATAAGATTTCACGTGATGGAACTTAAAATATTCCATCTTGTGACGTGGAACTAATGAGGAGGTTTAGTGACAAGTTTTAGATTTAAGATTCTACACTTTGGAGCCTCTTTTTCTTTTTCTTTTTGGTTTTTGTTTGTTTGTTTGTTTTTGAGACAAAGTCTAGCTCTGTTGCCCAGGCTGGAGTGCAGTGGTGCAATTTCAGCTTATGGCAGCCTTGACTCTCAGGCTCAAGTGATCCTCAGCCTCCCAAGTAGCTGGGACTACAGGTGCATGCCACCACACTTGGCTAATTTTTTTTAAAAAAGTTTGTAGAGAGTAGCCTCACTATGTTGCCCAGGCTGGTGTTGACCTCCTGGGCTCAAGTAGTCGGCCTGCCTCAGCCTCCCACAGTTATGGGATTGATTACAGTCATGATCTGCCTCACTCAGGCTGCAGCCGCTTTCTTTCAGTGTAACACTATCTTTGGATATTCCACTTACAAATTTATTTTTAAGTCTCCCATGTTGTTGATAATTGGGAAAAATAGTTTTTATTCCAGATAGATATTCTGTGTTAACTATAAGTCAAATGTTTACAAGCTGTTAAAAATGAAATACTGATTATGTAAAAGAAAACCGGATTGATGCTTTAAATAGACTCATTTTCCTAATGCTAATTTTTAAAATGATAGAATCCTACAACTCTTAGCTGTAAACCTTGTGATTTTTCAGCTGTTGTACTAAACAACTTAAGCACATATACCATCAGACAAGCCCCCCTCCCCCCTTTTAAACCAAAGGAATGTATACTCTGTTAATACAGTCAGTAAGCATTGACATTCTTTATCATAATATCCTAGAAAATATTTATTAACTATTTCACTAGTCAGGAGTTGTGGTAAATAGTGCATCTCCATTTTCTACTTCTCATCTTCATACACAGGTTAATCACTTCAGTGCTTGACTAACTTTTGCCTTGATGATATGTTGAGCTTTGTACTTGAGAGCTGTACTAATCACTGTGCTTATTGTTTGAATGTTTGGTACAGGAAGCGAGCAGCTGCAAAGCATCTAATAGAACGCTACTACCACCAGTTAACTGAGGGCTGTGGAAATGAAGCCTGCACGAATGAGTTTTGTGCTTCCTGTCCAACTTTTCTTCGTATGGATAATAATGCAGCAGCTATTAAAGCCCTCGAGCTTTATAAGATTAATGCAAAACTCTGTGATCCTCATCCCTCCAAGAAAGGAGCAAGCTCAGCTTACCTTGAGAACTCGAAAGGTGCCCCCAACAACTCCTGCTCTGAGATAAAAATGAACAAGAAAGGCGCTAGAATTGATTTTAAAGGTAAGATGTTTTATTTTCAATTGAGAATTGTTGCCTGAAAACCATGTGGGAGATTTAAATGTATTAGTTTTTATTTGTTTTTTCTTCTGTGACATAAAGACATTTTGATATCGTAGAACCAATTTTTTATTGTGGTAACGGACAGGAATAATAACTACATTTTACAGGTCTAATCATTGCTAATTAGAAGCAGATCATATGCCAAAAGTTCATTTGTTAATAGATTGATTTGAACTTTTTAAAATTCTTAGGAAAAATGTATTAAGTGGTAGTGAATCTCCAAAACTAGGCCACAACATCTATTTAAGTTATAGAATAACTGGACTAAGTATCTGGCATGAGTTCTGGAACCTCAGGATGATGTGATGAAAGAAGCAGAAAGAGGAAACAGTGGGTTTTTTCCATTTTTGAAGGCAAGACAAAATTTTGTGATAGTTATGTGAGAATTCTACGTTTCCTTCAGATATATGCTTCTCACTCTCCTTCCGGACATTTGGTACAGTCATGCTGCCAAGGATCATGACCTACCAATGACAGTCTTCACTCAGGTCTTTTGTTTTCTAAATGGTCCTACGTCCAAAATTCAGAATTCGATTACCTTGTCGCTAATACTAAAACTCCAAGTTATTTTCTTCAGTGAAGGTAATTAGTAACAAAGTAATCAAATTTTTGAATGACTACCAGGGCTTAGCGCCCCTCCACTCTCACCCCTACACACACCCAGAGGCAATTGTATTTTAAGAGAGAAAGCTTTTTTTTTATGACATACAAGTCAGAGAATTTTAGAGGCATTTGCCTCTAAAACTTTCACTAACATCATTTGAATCAAGTTTGAAAGAATTAGTGAAGTGGCATTGTGTTATAACCTCTACTCTGTTTCCACAATAAAATTATTTTCGTCACTTTACACAACTTTGTTGCTTCAGAGTGTATAATTCTGTTTCATGAATTAGTTCACACACTATGGGAAAATAGGTAAATGTTGTCTGTATATATAGTGTGTCAGTATAATGTGGAAGCTGCATTGACTTTATTGTACACAGTTCTCCAGTAAGTGTGCACCAGAGAGTACCAGTAACTGAATGTAGAGTGCTGGCACAGTGGAATGCAGCCAGCTGCGGGGGATGTGGTACATGAGGAATGTGCTCATCTGCTCTTTTGGCCACGTGCTCCATCTTAGAGGTGCTTATTGTGTGGCTTTATCCAGTCTTTATGCCCCCTCCTCTTTTTGCTCAAGTCTGCATTATAGCAGTTGTGACCTTTCCTTATCCCTGTTTTCTAATATGCTACTGTTACTGTTCCCTGTTCGTTACTGGTTTTTTTGTTTTTGTTTTTGCATTGTTCTATAGTTACTATTGTATATTGGAAATTAGAGATGCTTTCTGTACACTAGTACTCTTATTTTGATTATTAATTATGTTTGTTAACACTAATTACAAAGTTGCATAAGTATTAAGTAGTCTGCACCAAACTGTTTTTGCGTAGGAGGTTTTTAAGTGCAAAATTTAAAAGATTGAGTATTTTCAGGGACACATTTATCACAAGAAATCTTATAAAAATGTCTTTCTCAGTAGAACACCTGTATCAATAAACCAAACTTTTTGAATGTTCATATCTAATTACAGTGTTTTTTGACTAATTTTTATCTATATACCTGAAAAATTCAGTTTAACATATTAAACACTACAGGCCAGGCACAGTGGCTCACGCCTGTAATCCCAGCACTTTGGGAGGCTGAGGCGGGCGAATCACGACGTCAAGAGATCGAGACCAACCTGGCCAACGTGGTGAAACCCCCTCTCTACTAAAAATACAAAAAAATTAGCCAGTTGTGGTGGCGTGCATCTGTAGTCCCAGCTACTTGGGAGGCTGAGGTAGGAGAATCGTTTGAACCCGGGAGGCAGAAGTTGCAGTGAGCCGAAATGGTGCCACTGCATTCCAACCTGGCAACAGAGTGAGACTCCATGTCAAAAAACAACAACAAAAAACACTCCTTGGAAAAAGTATAGGTACATTCTATATAGGATTAGTAGACTGTCAGAATCACTTGAAGATGTTCCGAAAGCATGACATATCAACAAAGGACATGTGAGTCTAGAATGGTGATCCCTAGGACAGGCCATATTACTGCATGCAAAGCAAGTCTTTGTTAACCTTATGACTTGCTCAGGAAGCAAAGTGTTTCATGTCCTAATAGGATAGTAGTATTTTCTGTTATGTTACATTTTAGGAAATTAGGAGTTTTGCATTGTCTTGTAAGAAGGTATTTTAAAAATTTTCAATGAAAATAATGAGAAATAGGTTTCCAGTGGTTTTATGCTTTTGGGGAAGAGGTTACTGATGTTTAGCAAAAGATGCTTATATATTCTTAATAGAACAAACCTGAGAATTAGTTCTTAAAGAGTTAAGGCCCATAAAAGAAACTGTAAGTGTTGGTACTCTTGTAGCTGGGCCACAGATCAGATCCTTAGTATGATAAAATTTGGTATTTTTGTGCTTCAATTTTTGGAGACCATTCAATGATCACTTACATTTTATATTGTCTTTCATTGTGAAACATATATTATAGCAGAGGTGGGAGTCATTAAAAATTCTACATGTTGTACACTACATGTATAAGGGTATATTTGGCGCAATGGAGGTAGGATTGTCTGTGTGCCTCTAAAATTAACCTCTCAAGTAGTTAATCTGATGATGACAAGTATGTCACTTTATTGATAAAAGGGAGAATTAAGACTATTCTCAGTATTATGTTGGTCAGTACACAAAATATATCATTTGTTTTTACCTGTGAAATGAAATATCTTTCATCCTATTAGCCAGAAGGGAGAAAGCCTTGGCCTGAAAATAACACTTATCTCAAAAAGTTGGGAAATGTGGTCCAACTCTGTGCCCAGGAAAAGAGGAAATAGATTTTGATGACTACATAGTCTCTGCACTGCTTGCCAGCTCATAAGTTTACTTCTTTGCACTGTTTGTTTTCATTGCTCAAAAACTATTTTCTGTCACTCTATGAGATTTAGTCTAACCTGATTCCTGGCTGTGGAAAGCAGTTTCTACTTAAGAGCCGATGAGAAATGGTATATTCTTCTCAATCACTCACAGAATGACTACCCTGGAACAAACTAGGAAGACCCAAAATGAACCAGTTTGATTTTAATACATACATAGATGCTGAAGGAGCCTTTTTTTAAGACCTTGCCTTCTTAGTCTTTGGAGAACAGAGTACTGAAACAAGAAAACTCACAGATTAGTAGTATTTCTGTGTGTTCTACAGTGAGGTTTTAAGAGCTGTATTATGATTAATCAGTACATGACATATTGGTTCATATTTATAATTAAAGCTATACATTAATAGATATCTTGATTATAAAGAAAGTTTAAACTCATGATCTTATTAAGAGTTATACATTGTTGAAAGAATGTAAAAGCATGGGTGAGGTCATTGGTATAGGTAGGTAGTTCATTGAAAAAAATAGGTAAGCATTAAATTTTGTTTGCTGAATCTAAGTATTAGATACTTTAAGAGTTGTATATCATAAATGATATTGAGCCTAGAATGTTTGGCTGTTTTACTTTTAGAACTTTTTGCAACAGAGTAAACATACATATTATGAAAATAAATGTTCTCTTTTTTCCTCTGATTTTCTAGATGTGACTTACTTAACAGAAGAGAAGGTATATGAAATTCTTGAATTATGTAGAGAAAGAGAGGATTATTCCCCTTTAATCCGTGTTATTGGAAGAGTTTTTTCTAGTGCTGAGGCATTGGTACAGAGCTTCCGGAAAGTTAAACAACACACCAAGGAAGAACTGAAATCTCTTCAAGCAAAAGATGAAGACAAAGATGAAGATGAAAAGGAAAAAGCTGCATGTTCTGCTGCTGCTATGGAAGAAGACTCAGAAGCATCTTCCTCAAGGATAGGTGATAGCTCACAGGGAGACAACAATTTGCAAAAATTAGGCCCTGATGATGTGTCTGTGGATATTGATGCCATTAGAAGGGTCTACACCAGATTGCTCTCTAATGAAAAAATTGAAACTGCCTTTCTCAATGCACTTGTATATTTGTCACCTAACGTGGAATGTGACTTGACGTATCACAATGTATACTCTCGAGATCCTAATTATCTGAATTTGTTCATTATCGTAATGGAGAATAGAAATCTCCACAGTCCTGAATATCTGGAAATGGCTTTGCCATTATTTTGCAAAGCGATGAGCAAGCTACCCCTTGCAGCCCAAGGAAAACTGATCAGACTGTGGTCTAAATACAATGCAGACCAGATTCGGAGAATGATGGAGACATTTCAGCAACTTATTACTTATAAAGTCATAAGCAATGAATTTAACAGTCGAAATCTAGTGAATGATGATGATGCCATTGTTGCTGCTTCGAAGTGCTTGAAAATGGTTTACTATGCAAATGTAGTGGGAGGGGAAGTGGACACAAATCACAATGAAGAAGATGATGAAGAGCCCATCCCTGAGTCCAGCGAGCTGACACTTCAGGAACTTTTGGGAGAAGAAAGAAGAAACAAGAAAGGTCCTCGAGTGGACCCCCTGGAAACTGAACTTGGTGTTAAAACCCTGGATTGTCGAAAACCACTTATCCCTTTTGAAGAGTTTATTAATGAACCACTGAATGAGGTTCTAGAAATGGATAAAGATTATACTTTTTTCAAAGTAGAAACAGAGAACAAATTCTCTTTTATGACATGTCCCTTTATATTGAATGCTGTCACAAAGAATTTGGGATTATATTATGACAATAGAATTCGCATGTACAGTGAACGAAGAATCACTGTTCTCTACAGCTTAGTTCAAGGACAGCAGTTGAATCCATATTTGAGACTCAAAGTTAGACGTGACCATATCATAGATGATGCACTTGTCCGGGTAAGTTGGGCTGCTAGATTAAAAACCTAATAATGGGGATATCATGATACAGTTCAGTGAATTCATTTTAAAAGTGACTGAAAAAAATGATACCATATAGCATAGGAACACATGGACATTTCTGATCTTATATAAGTATTATACTTTTGTTGTTCCTGTGCAAGTTTATAGATGTGTTCTACAAAGTATCGGTTGTATTATATAATGGTCATGCTATCTTTGAAAAAGAATGGGTTTTCTAAATCTTGAAAACTAAATCCAAAGTTTCTTTCATTCAGAAGAGAATAGAGTGTTGGACAAAGACCAGAACAAGAGAAATGTGGAGATACCCAATAATAAGTGTGGATGTGCAGTCTTGAACTGGGAGTAATGGTACAGTAAAACCATACCATAAAATTATAGGTAGTGTCCAAAAAATTCCATCGTGTAAAATTCAGAGTTGCATTATTGTGGACTTGATGAAGTGACCATGGCAGATCAGTGCCTGTTGCCAGTAAGAGTTGAGTCCTGCTGGGCCACTTAGAATATCCCTGTGTGGACGGCACTGCCTGGCTGTGGTAGTTTCTTCCCACTTAAAAATTCATAGAGACAACTCTGGGTCTTGGAACTTCTGGAAAACAGCAGCTATTCCAAAAATCTGGGGATTAGTGGTGCCTGTAACATCAAGTCCAGGGAGATTGAGCAGGGAAATACTGGAAACTCAGGTACTCATCCTAACTTCCTGGTTTTCCAGATGGGGTTGCCATTTGTTCCTTTTCTTTCCTCCACAAGATAATTTTAGTGTATCTGTTTAAGAATATAAGAGTGGCCAGAAGACAGAAAGCAGTCGTCAGTCACATTTCACCAAAATTTACATTTGTCTCAGGTGCATTATCGCAGAGCTTTATTGTATTTCTAGTATTAGCTATCCCTGTCATTGCTGCTACTTTTTTATCATCTTCAAGTAAAATTTAATGTCAACAAAAATTAAGGTAGTTAATAATACTATAGTATACTAGTAAAGTTGTCTGACACAGACAACTAGGAAATGTGATTTTTACTTTAAAATGTATTTTAGTTTTAGAATGTCTAAATTTTAGTTTTAGAATTGTCTAAATTCGAGAATTCATAAAGCTGTAGCCCGGTGGAAAAAGTTATTTGACATCTCAGAAATTAAAAATTGCAGAGATTTTGTGTGTTTTTTTTTTTTTTGTTACTGGTTTGTTTTTTTTTTTTAATGTCAGATATGTTTATAGTGTTGGAGAAAGATTCTGCATTATTTAAGCAACTCAGGTGGTTTTCTAGCAGAGACAAAAGGGGGCTTTAACTGCCTGAAGTCATTATTATTGCTTGCTTTCTGGTACCCTTTTTATTTCACTTACATAGTTTTGAGACACATGAATAATTAATACACTTAATGACTGATCATAAGGCAGCCAGCACCTTACTTTACATAGTTTAGCAGAATGATAGGGTATTTTATAAGAATGTGAGTGATGTTTTATGAAAGGTATGTTGAGGTCTGTCTATGACTATCCATTGTTGGAGCAGAACTGCAAATGCCAAAGCTACATACTTTATGTTTGGCTTCTTGAGGTGAGATCCCTTCAGCTGTCTTCATCAAAAGCTATGTCTAGCCTTTAAAAGGCAATGAAATTACACTGTAAGAATCATTCCAGGGTTCAAAAAATTGTCTACCTTCCTTATCTGTCTTTCGCTCAGAAGTCTACTCAGTCTTATTTTCCTCAGTCCCCCATTTTTTTCTCTAGTAAAGCAAGACTAAAAACAAAAGTTTAAGTACTTGGTATATACTTTATTCTATATTTTAAATTCTATTCTAGAATTTTAAGGAAACAACTGCTTTTAAAGCCTTAGGTGTTAGTGTAAAATTAACTGTGAGCTCTTTAATTATGGTAACTTGTTTTTAGCAAGTTCTGCTTAATTATATCAAAATTAGATAATATAGTGTGGCCTATCATAAATCAGGATTCACTAGATAGTATATGTACTTGAATATTGCCAGCCCACAAAAGCAGTTCACTTCAGAAATCATGTGTGTTAGGCAGTTTAATAAACTGTGAAAATAGAAAGAGATGATGCTTACAGAGAAGCTTCCTTAGGGGCTCTGAATGCTCACACTAAGCAGATTTTACTCTTAACTTTCTTTCTCCCTTGCTTTTTCTTCCTTTTCTTTTTTTTAAAAAAATAACAGAATGTGAAAAGACTAGAAAAACCAGCATCGAAATAGGTCTTATAAGTAAAATTGATAACCTGTGTAATTTTTTGAAGTAAGTATTCACAGCAGGTGATGATTATGATAAAGCCACATATTTTAGTAACACATAGTAGAAGTTCTATAATAGAAAGTGGTTTAAGATTATTCTCTCATATGAAAGCTCAAAAGTGATGAATTTTTCAAGATCTTATTTCCCAAGGATCTCTGCTTTTTAAGCCTCATTCTTATATATCACAGTGAACAAACTAGTGGCCACTTTTTTATGACTTGCTAATTTTGGAATTGTATAGCAGGGTTGGGTGGAAAAGAAGAAATGAGAAACTTTGTGGTAAGCTTAATATTGATAAATAAAATTATGGGATCCTAGGCTTTAAGAGCTAAAAGAAACCTTAGAGTTATCCACTCCTTAGTTTAGAAATCAAGCCCAGAAAATAGTGACTTCATATATGAGACTCTTGTATGTTTTCTGTTGAGGAGTGGTAACTTGAATTAATAATTGTGGATTTTTTTAAAAAAGAAAAATATATTCATTGCTTTTATATATTGTGAAATTCAAACCAGACTAGCAGCTTTTTTCCTGAGGTTTTTAGAGAAATTGTCTTTGATGACAAGAGAAGAATTCATGTTGATAGTATTTTCACTAATCTCTGATTGTAGGAAACACTATCATTTTATTACTGCTAAGACAGAAAAATACCAGCAATTCATTGTAAGATGCTATCATTTGTATGGTGTAATCTGATTTCAGAGATAATGTGAAAAAAGTGAATTTTAGAATCAATAGAATATAAGTTGTCTCTTCACAAATACCTTAGAACTGCTTAAGAACACCCCCACCCTACCCGTTTAACTTACTGCCATAGTTCCCCTAGGACTTATTTTCAGTATTTTTTCGTTATTGTTCCTTAGAAAACAGTACAGTGATAAACATGAGCTTAGACTTCACCTTTCATTTGAATGACATTCCTAATGTGATGAGGTTTTTACAAATATGTAAAACCATATTTACAAATTTACATTTTTAATATAAATATGTAATTTAATTTAATATGTAAATTAATTTAATTTAAATATGTAAATATTTACATATTTACAAATATGCAAATATTTACATATTTACAAATATGTAAATATTTACATATTTACAAATATGTAAATATTTACATATTTACAAATATGTAAATATACCCATTTGTGTGTTCTTTTACAAGTAGATAATTTCTCATTTTTCTTAGATGAAGCACTTCCAATGATAGTATGTATTAAGATTTTTTAAATTACTTCTTAAAGGAGAAGATAGAGGTTATAAGTTTATGGAAGAATATAGTATTGCCATCATGAGGTCCCTCAAACTGCCTTCACATCTGAATGGGAAAATTGTTTAAAAAAAATAAATAAATAAATAAATAAAATCCAGGGCCCTAACCTCTAGAGGTTTAGATTAGAAGCTGTATTGTAGAGCCTATGAATCTGAACTTCTGGTAATACTCCACAAATATTTTGATAAAGCCAGACTCCAATATTTGGGAAGATGGCCTTTGGTTCAGCTCAGGTGGGGGTGTGTGTGCATGTGTGTTTATGTGTGTATGTGTGCATATATAGAGAGAAAGAGAAAGGCCATTTTGATATACAAGTATGTTTATGTGTTTTGGAAACTCAGATTTTTAAGAGGATCATGGGGACAGCAAGCTTGGAATAGAGGATGATGATGATGTGAAACTTGGTTCCAATTAGTCAGGGAGTTCTAGCATTTCACATAAATATCTAAAAACCAAAAGGAATGGCTGAGATGTGGAATTGAATAGGGAAGTTCAAAAATAGGAATTAGCACAGATAAAGGTGATTGGCACAGATAAAAAGCCCCACTACCAGGAGGTTCTGCAAAATCCCCTCTAAAAGTCACTGGCCCTTTTTATCTGGTTTCTAATAGCCTAGTCTAACCCAGCTTCCAGCATTTTCAGCTCCCAGCTTCCAGCATTGGTGAACACTCTTACTAGTGAAACATGAACGTAATTCTTTTATTTATTCATTGACTCACAGAGCTTTAAAAATGAGATTATTCTGTGCTGCACTAGGTATGTTTAATTTTGTCTTACACATACACTATATTGTGGTTAACATGTAATTTCCATTGTTCTTTCTTGTGATTTATTCTAATTGAAATCAAAAATGAAACCAAGAAATATGCTTGGTTTATGCCCTCAAAGTAATTTCTCAGAAACTGAATGAGAGAATGAAGCCTATATATACATAGATCCTCAGCATTATATAATAATTTAAGACAATGAAACATCAAACTTAGTATTACATGTGAGGAAAATGAAATCTAAAAGAGATTCCAGCCTACATAAATTAATGGCAGAATTGGAAATAGAAGTCAGGATTCCAGGTCTCATGGACGAACGTGATTATGTGATTTGGTGTTACCCAAACATTTAAACTACATTTGAGATATAACAGACTTTTCTTCATGTGTTTATCGTGAACATGAAAAAATTAATTTGGATAATCTGGAAATCTCAAGCAATAGTTTAAGCCTCAAGTTGACTGAAGTAGTTGAAGCTAGCCTTTCTTTCTTTTTCCTCTTTTTTTTTTTTTTTTTTTAGACGGAGTCTTGCTCTGTCACCCAGGCTGGAGTGCAGTGGCGCAATCTTGGCTCACTGCAAGCCCCGCCTCCCAGGTTCATGCCATTCTCCTGCCTCAGCCTCCCGAGTAGCTGGGACTACAGGCGCCTGCCACCATGCCCAGCTAATTTTTTTGTATTTTTAGTAGAGATGGGGTTCACCGTGTTAGCCAGGATGGTCTCAATCTCCTGACCTCGTGATCCGCCCGCCTCGGCCTCCCAGAGTGCCGGGATTACAGGCATGAGCCACCACGCCCGGCCTTGAAGCTAGCCTTTCTTAGAAATCCCAGGCATTCTTAAGTATTAGAGGTCTCTTTTATCTGATTATTGCTTCTACTTAAATATTCATGGTATTAAGGAATTTTTTTAAAAAATTATGAATTGATTTGATGTAATAGCTCAGAAAACTATAAGATTTTAAGTGATAAGGTTTTCCTTTTGATTCCTGTAAGTCTAGTAATATCATATTTTGATATTAAGATGTCATCCTGCTAGGTATTCTGCAAATGCTTTGATATCAGGTCAGATTTTTTTTTTAAAAAATGAACTCCCTAGGATTTCATCATCATGGCCAATTAAAAAGTTCAGAAATTAAAAATCATTTTATCCAGCAATTGATGAAATCAAGAGTCTTAAAGAAGAGGAAGTTACGCAGTGAAGAGGTAGATATGATTATATCCAGGATATTTTTGTTTATTTTTCCCCAGTAATCTCTGTCTGTTGCTAGTCTCCATGTTAAATAAATACAACATACACTGTACTTTTAAATATACCTAAAAATTGGCCTGGCGCGGTGGCTCACACCTGTAATCCCAGCACTTTGGGAGGCCAAGGCGGGCAGATCACAAGGTCAGGAGACCGAAACCATCCTGGCTAACACAGTGAAACCCCATCTCTACTAAAAAATACAAAAAAAAATAGCCAGGCGCGGTGGCAGGCGCCTGTAGTCCCAGCTACTCGGGAGGCTGAGGCAGGAGAATGGCATGAACCTGGGAGGCGGGGCTTGCAGTGCGCCAAGATTGCGCCACTGCACTCCAGCCTGGGCGACAGAGCGAGACTCCGTCTCAAAAAAAAAAAAAAAACAAACAAAAAAAACCCTAAAAATCCACGTGTGTATTGTAAATAAATTCAGGCATGCATGCACGTTCTCCTTTTCAGAATGTTTAGACATAGTCCTCCAAATTTCAAATATCCTAATGCATTTAAAACAACTTCTGACTTAAAAAATACAGTTTTATGGTGAGGTTTGGGTTTAAACAACAACATACAATTTTAAATAATATAGCTATTATGTAAAGAATACACCTTTACAGTTTATTTGTTAAATCTTTTTTAAATTGACCGAACAATTGATGGAGGTTATTTTTAAGAAAAAGAATTATCAGTACAGCTGTTTATGCAATAATGGCCTTTATCAAAATGGTTATTGCTAAATTTTATGTGTTAATAATTTAAAATAAAATAGTTTTAAAGGCTATTTATGTATTCTGTTTTTACTATTTTATTTATTTTAATTTTTGAGACAGGGTCTTAACTCTGTCACCCAGGCCTGGAGTACAGTGGCACGATCTCTACTGACTGCAGCCTTGACCTCCCACCTCAGCCTCCCAAGTAGCTGGGATGACAGGCGCATGCCACCACCCCCCACTATTTTTTATTTATTTATTTATTTATTTATTTATTTATTTATTAGTTTTTTGTAGAAACAAGGTTTCATCATGTTGCCCAGGCTGATCTCAAACTGCTGGGCTCAGGCAATCTGCCTGCATTGGCCTCCCAAAGTGGTGGGATTACAGGTGTGAGCCACGGCGCCCAGCCTTTATTCTTAAGTGGTACAGTATTTTATGAAATCACTTATGTGTACCAGAATGGTAATCTAAAATAGGTAATAACAAAATTTTTGCCTACAGAATTCAGTTACCAACTACTTTTCAAATTATTCTTTTTACATATTTATATTTGAACACATTCTGACTCTGAAAAATGTATTTGTTGTAAAAAATGGAAAAATATGGAAAAGAATAAGGAAAATAAAAATCACTCATAATCCTAAAAAAAAAATTTTTGGTCGTCATTGAAGAGAGTGAGTAAAGCATAGTAGTTAAGAGCTTGTTTCCTGGATTAGTATCTCTGTTCCACAACTTACTGTGACTTACTGTGACTTGAAGTTATTTCACCTTTCAGTATCTTGGGGTCCTTATCTGTAAAGTGGAGTTAATGTTTCCTTCCTCATAAGGGTGTTGTGAAGATTAAATTAGTTGCTATGTGTGAAATGCTACAAAAGTGCTATATATTATTGTTGCTGTATTCATGGAATATTTTTGTTCTATAATGCTATGGTAGGTTTTCAGAAAATATTTTAGAACCAATAAAATAACAGCAACAACAGCTAGTACTTTTAAGCACTAACTTTATGCAGGGAATTAATCTAAGCAGTTCATACATTAATTTATTACTATATTATTATGGTTATTTTACAGATGAAATAAGAGAGGTAAAGTTGTATGTTTGCATTTACAATAGAACATATTGCATTGCATTACATTCTTTTGGCACCAAGGTGGGGAGCATAGAATAGAGATCAGTGGAAGTGGACAGACATGTAATATTTTATGGAGAATAAAGATAAATTTGCTTCAGTTATCATTTGACATGTCTTAGGTAGAGCTAAGACTAGATAGAACACAGGGCCTCTCAATCCTGTAGAAATTCACCACCACATCCTTTAAAAGGTTTTACATTGATAAGGAGTCAGCTCTCATCTATGAATGTTAGTGGGGAAAAGCTGTAGAATGCACAGTCTAAATACCAGATAACCTTTTTTTTCCCCACTTTGGAATACATTATATTTGATAAAAGCAAGTATACCTTTGGATGTAAAGGTAAATATAAACACTGACTTACATCTTTAACACCTAGCCAGTTGGGAACTGGCATAAGGAAACTCAGAATGGATTACATGGCAATATGGAATGTTGGCCTGGTCCCACATTTGAGCTAAGATGTTAATTCTAATTTTAGTCTCCTCAGAATTCTGTATACTCCGTAGCTTGAAACAGGTTTCCAACTGAAACTATTTTTTTCCCCAAGGTTATTTTCACATCTACATTTGTTTGACTCTAGATCTTGGAACTAGTCTATATCAAGTTCCTTTGGGGACACAAAATTGCAAATCTGTTGTTCAGAGAGCAAAACTATTTTAAAAGGTAACACTCGTTCTCATATATTCTTAATAAGCCTTCACAACTTACAGTATGTTGAGGAAACTGAGGCTTAATTGAATCGCGTGCTAAAGTTTAAAGGTTAAAAGTTATGGTAAGTGAGAGTTGGGACTAGTAAGGTGAATTCTGACTGACTCTTGGTCTTTCCATAACAAAACATTGTCTAAAAGTAAACTGTGTGGCCTAAAAATGATTTTGTAAATATTAGAGATCGGTGTTGAACAACAACAGACATTATTTAAAGCTAAAGACTAAATTCACAGAATAGGACCCTAAAGTTGAAGATACCCAGAAGATAATTTCAGCTAGTTTTGTCAAACTCTTTGACTGCAATCCCTAGTATTTTACATAGCATCCCAGTACATGCTTATCCATCTGTACATCTAATTGAAACAAAAGTTTCACAAAACAGTAGGTTCCATTACTATGTGGAATGCATTCTGATTTTCCCATTGCTGATTGCAAACCACTAAATGGATTAGACTACCCACTAATGAGTTGCAGGTGACAAGTTTGAAAAAACAATGCTCTCGGGCAACCTGACCTGATGCGTTAATTTATGAGATTTTATTTTTTGTAGACAGACTAGATTGTCCAAATGAGTATTATTACTTTAACTACTATAGTGCTGTGTTACAGTTGTTTCAGTGATTATTGCATTTTTCAAAACCATTTTTAAAATTCTGTTTGAAATAGTTGGAATAACCTGAAAACATTTAATATCCTGTTTTGGTAAATTTTCATCTCCAAGATTAAATTTTTTTAACCAGCCAACAGATGTTTGAAGGCAAGTTAGGAGATATGATGGATACTGGATACAGTATCCATCCATGTACTAGATACAGTATCCATCCATGTACTGGATACAGTCATACTGTTAGCAAATTTTAGATACATAAAGTAAAACAAACAAAATGCAGTATAAACAGTTAATATTGGAATCTAGTGTTGATTTTATGATTAATCTCAATGAGGTTACTGTATATTCATAATTCTATAGGTACACAAAAATATTTGGTAAAAGATTTATAGTTGAGAAAATGCTAGACACTAAAGTTTGTTAACTTACAATTTAAGAATAAGGGCTGGGTGCAGTTGCTCACGCCTGTAATCCCAGCACTTTGAGAGGCTGAGGTGGGCGGATCATGAGGTCAGGAGTTCAAGACCATCCTGGCAAACGTAGTGAAACCCCATCTCTACTAAAAATAAAAAATTTAGCCAGGCGTAGTGGCGCCTGCCTGTAATCCCAGCTACTCAGGAGGCTGAGGCAGGAGAATTGCTTGAACCCAGGAGGCGGAGGTTGCAGTGAGCTGAGATCGCGCCACTGCACTCCAGCCTAGGCGACAGAGTGAGATTTCATGTCAAAAAAAAAAAAAAAAAGAGTAAGGACATGAGTAAGGTTATGTCTCACCTGTTTTTAAGGAAATGTGGATATAAGATGGGTTCTAGTCCATTAAAAGGTGGTAATTTATACTAAGTCTTACTGTGAGAGACCATAAACTGCTTTAGTATTCAGTGTATTTTTCTTAATTGAAATATTTTACTTATGACTTAGTAGATACTAAGACTTAACCCTTGAGTTTCTATTCTAATAAAGGACTACTAATGAACAATTTTGAGGTTAGACCTCTACTCCATTGTTTTTGCTGAAATGATTTAGCTGCTTTTCCATGTCCTGTGTAGTCCAGACTTAACACACAAGTAATAAAATCTTAATTAATTGTATGTTAATTTCATAACAAATCAGTAAAGTTAGCTTTTTACTATGCTAGTGTCTGTTTTGTGTCTGTCTTTTTGATTATCTTTAAGACTGAATCTTTGTCTTCACTGGCTTTTTATCAGTTTGCTTTCTGTTTCCATTTACATACAAAAAGTCAAAAATTTGTATTTGTTTCCTAATCCTACTCCTTGTTTTTATTTTGTTTTTTTCCTGATACTAGCAATCATCTTCTTTTCATGTTTATCTTTTCAATCACTAGCTAGAGATGATCGCTATGGAAAATCCTGCAGACTTGAAGAAGCAGTTGTATGTGGAATTTGAAGGAGAACAAGGAGTTGATGAGGGAGGTGTTTCCAAAGAATTTTTTCAGCTGGTTGTGGAGGAAATCTTCAATCCAGATATTGGTAAATACATTAGTAATGTGATTATGGTGTCGTATCATCTTTTGAGTTAGTTATTTGTTTATCTTACTTTGTAAATATTTTCAGCTATGAAGAGCAGCAAAAGAAGGATTTGGTATGGATTACCCAGAATCACACATCATGACTGAATTTGTAGGTTTTAGGAACTGATTTGTATCACTAATTTATTCAAATTCTTTTATTTCTTAGAAGGAATATTCTAATGAAGGAAATTATCTCTTTGGTAAACTGAATTGAAAGCACTTTAGAATGGTATATTGGAACAGTTGGAGGGATTTCTTTGCTTTTTGTTGTCTAAAACCATCATCAAACTCACGGTTTTCCTGACCTGTGAACTTCAAAGAACAATGGTTTGAAGAGTATTGAGAGACTGTCTCACAAGTATGTCATGCTCAAAGTTCAGAAACACTAGCTGATATCACATTAATTAGGTTTATTTGCTATAAGATTTCTTGGGGCTTAATATAGGTAGTGTTTCCCCCAAACTTTTTGAACTCCAGAACTCTTTTTCTGCCCTAACAGAAGAGTTGTTATTGAACACAGTTTGGGAAAGGCTGATGGGATTTGGAAATTTGAAAGTGAAGGATCAGAATTTTAGTTTTTTCCCTTTTGTGATAAAGTAGAACAGGGAAAAGATGCAGTCTTTTGGGTAGTCTACTTAACTTCATAATTCTGAACTGGTTCAGTTTCTACTGTAAATATAACCACTTAGTAACTGAGCTTGCTTACGTTTAAAATTGAGTACATGACAATTACAGGAAAAGGTTTCCACTGAAGGTACCATCAGAATTGTGAGGAGTGTGCATAGAATAATGTATGTCATTTCCCTTCAGCTTTGAGATTTGAGCTGTTATAGCCTGTTGATTCTAATTGAGTTGACCTTTCTGTTACTGTTCTTAGTCACACACACACACACACACACACACACACACACACACACACACACGCATCCCTTATCTATAATCTAGCTAGTGTTTTATTAATAACTAAAAAGCTATGCCATTTGTATGTAGTTTGTTCTAAGTAAATCAGAGATACATAAGACGACGCCCTTTTTGAGATAGAAAATTATAAACTTCATAAAGTTCTTAAATTTGGTAAACCTTAGCTCTAGCTTTTGATGTATCTAGAAATGTTAAACCTTAGCTATAAAGCATACTTGCATTATATGCAGAAATACTTGTAAGAAAAAACATAGATTAAGCAGTTCCAGTAAGATAACTGAAGTGATGGCAGTAGAAGTATCAAAAAGGAGTATTTTACCAGGAGGTTATGGTGCTTTTCTCCCTGGAACATGAGAAAATGTGCCTAAAATGGAACTTCAGAGTTATATTCTGATTAACTTATAGCTTGTTGCTCTTGGTTCCAAGGAAGGGCATTTGTGACATTTTATTAAATTCATTAATTTTTTAGACACACCATTGTCAGCTTGAACAAATTTATTAATTGTAATTATTTGTCAGCTGTTCTTGATCCTGTTAATACCATACTTATAACTAAAAGCATTTCCATGGATGTTGTAACTTGGCCTGTAAAAAAAATGTTTAGATAGAAACCATGAAACTCAAATATGAATTGTTTAATTTTCAAACCATTTTGCATTCAGAAAATGTCCTAAGCTTAATTCATACTCCTAGTGATCAAGGAAACATGTTAAAGCTCCTTATTTTTAAACTTAAAGTGACAATGACATTTTCAAAGATTTTAAAATTCTTATAAACAGGTTAAAATACTTATATACTGTATAATTTGATTTCTGATTTCTAAGCTCTACTTTTCTATTGGAAATTACAGATTTTTTTCAGACTTAATTCTTAAGATGTTTTCATTGTTTCACAGTAGCAACTAAACATGTAGTAAAATGATTTAAATTCAATTAAAATTTTTTTCCTTAGTCATTTAAAAGGGAAGAAATCAATTTTTAGTAGTACTCATTCCAAAGATTCCAATTTTCCTTTTTTTTAATCTTTTATTTTTTGGTGGAGGGAGGCAGGATCTGGCTCTGAGGCCCAGGCTGGAGTGTAGTGGTTCTGTCTCGGCTCACTGCAACCTCCACCTCCCAGGCTGAAGACTCAAACCATCCCCATGCATCACCCTCTCAAGTAGCTGAGACTATAGGCACATGCTACCACACCCAGCTTATTTTTTGTGTTTTTGTAGAGATGGGGTTTCTCCATCTTGCCCAGGCTGGTCTTGAACTCCTGAGCTCAAGTGATCTGCCTGCCTCAGCCTCCCCAAAGTGCTGGGATTACAGGTGTGAACTACCACACCGGGCCCCAATTTTCCAATGAGTGATATAAAAAAGGCCTCCACGCAGGCGCCTGTAGTCCCAACTACTCCGGAGGCTGAGGCCAGAGAATGGCATGAACCCGGGAGGCGGAGCTTGCACTAAGCTGAGTGCTGCTGCACTCCAGCTTGGGCGACAGAGCGAGACCGTCTCAAAAAAAAAAAAAAAAAAAAAAGCCTCCATGATTGGGGCTTGCATAGTGAAGACCATGTGAAATTGAAAGACTACGAAACTACTTTTCTTTTACGTATTGGCCCATAATTAACATGTGTATTGAATAGCTTTGTTTATCTAAGTTCATCAGATTTATCCAGGTTTATGTATTTCAGATCATCTGATTTTATTAGGAAAATGCTAGAAAAATTTCATGGCACCATTGTCTAATTTTGAAAAAACGAACCTTTCTTTACTGTGATTAAAAATTGTTTTTTAGGCCAGGTGTGGTGGCTCACGCCTGTAATCCCAGCACTTTGGGAGGCTGAGGCTGGCAGATCACGAGGTCAAGAGGTTGAGACCATCCTGGCAAACATGGTGAAACCCCTTCTCTACTAAAAATACAAAAATTAGCTGGCGTGGTGGTGCACACCTGTAGTCCTAGCTACTCAGGAGGCTGAGGCAGGAGAATTGTTTGAACCTAGGAGGCAGAGGTTGCAGTGAGCTGAGATCGTGCCACTCCAGCCCACCCTGGGTAACAGAGCGAGACTCCATCTCAAGGAAAAAAATGAAAAATTGTTTTCAAAAATAGTACGTGTGGTACAGATATAAGTAATTATATTTTTATAAATGAAACACTTTGGAAATGTAGCCATTTTTTGTTTTTTTATGTTTATTTTTCAGCTATGGGTGGATAAAGCATGAATATAACTTTTCTTATGTGTTAGTAGAAAATTAGAAAGCTTGAATTTAATTAACGTATTTTTCTACCCGATGCCACCAAATTACTTACTACTTTATTCCTTTGGCTTCATAAAATTACATATCACCATTCACCCCAATTTATAGCAGATATATGTGGACATTGTTTTCTCAAGTGCTAATATAATAGAAATCAATGTTGCATGCCTAATTACATATATTTTAAATGTTTTATATGCATAATTATTTTAAGTTTATATTTGTATTATTCATCAGTCCTTAATAAAATACAAAAGTAATGTATTTTTAAAAATCATTTCTTATAGGTATGTTCACATACGATGAATCTACAAAATTGTTTTGGTTTAATCCATCTTCTTTTGAAACTGAGGGTCAGTTTACTCTGATTGGCATAGTACTGGGTCTGGCTATTTACAATAACTGTATACTGGATGTACATTTTCCCATGGTTGTCTACAGGAAGCTAATGGGGAAAAAAGGAACTTTTCGTGACTTGGGAGACTCTCACCCAGTAAGTTCTTTGTCATTTTTTTAATTCAGTCTCTTAGATTTTATTTAAATGCAAAAATTTAATTTATGTCAAAATTTTAAAGTTTTTGTTTAGAATCTTTGTTGATACTCTTATCAATAAGATAAAAATGTTTTAATCTGACCGAAGTACCAGAAACACTTAAAAACTCAAAGGGGGACATTTTTATATATTGCTGTCAGCACGAAGCTTTTGTAAGATTGATTTCATAGAGAAGTGTTTCTAAACATTTTGTTTGTGTTTTAGTGAAATCTTAAGAGATAGGTAAAAATCAGAGTAGCCCTGGCTAAGGGTCTTGGTAGTTACAACGAGTGTGCCTGCTCCTACCACCCCCACCCCCACCTTGAGACACCACAGAATTTCTCATAGAGCACAGTGTGAATTCTATTGCTAAATTGGTGGTATGGGGTTTCTCAGCAGAGAATGGGACATCACAGTGACTGACAATCTTTCTTTTATAGGTTGGAAACTATTTGGGGGACTGGAGGGATACTGTCTACACTTTTTACAATTTTTATTGATAAGATTTTTGTTGTCTTCTAAGAAGAGTGATATAAATTATTTGTTGTATTTTGTAGTTCTATGGTGGCCTCAATTTACCATTTCTGGTTGCTAGGTTCTATATCAGAGTTTAAAAGATTTATTGGAGTATGAAGGGAATGTGGAAGATGACATGATGATCACTTTCCAGATATCACAGACAGATCTTTTTGGTAACCCAATGATGTATGATCTAAAGGAAAATGGTGATAAAATTCCAATTACAAATGAAAACAGGAAGGTAATAAATGTTTTTATGTCACATTTTGTCTCTTCATTAACACTTTCAAAGCATGTATGCTTATAATTTTTAAAGAAGTATCTAATATAGTCTGTACAAAAAAAAAACAAGTAACTAAGTTTATGTAAATGCTAGAGTCCACTTTTCTAAATCTTGGATATAAGTTGGTATGAAAGCACACAGTTGGGCACTAAAGCCCCTTTTAGAGAAAGAGGACATGAAGCAGGAGATAGTTAATAGCTAAGTGTGGTTGTAGTATAAAGCAAGAAGCAGGGTGTTTCTTGTATTAAGCTGTAAGCAGGAACCTCATGATTAAGGTCTTTATCACAGAACAAATAAAAATTACATTTAATTTACACATGTATATCCTGTTTGTGATAAAAATACATTTCTGAAAAGTATACTTTACGTCAGATTTGGGTTTCTATTGACTAAAATGTGTTCATCGGGAATGGGAATAACCCAGAACATAACAAGCAAAAAATTATGACAAATATATAGTATACCTTTAAGAAACATGTTTATATTGATATAATTTTTTGATTAAATATTATACACACTAAGGGTACAAAGCACATTTTCCTTTTATGATTTGATACAGTAGTTTATGTGTCAGTCAGTACTTCCACATTTTTGCTGAACTGGATACAGTAGGCAGCTTACCAAATATTCTATGGTAGAAAACTTGGGACTTCCTGGTTTGCTTAAATCAAATATATTGTACTCTCTTAAAACGGTTGGCATTTATAAATAGATGGATACATGGTTTAAATGTGTCTGTTTACATACCTAGTTGAGAGAACCTAAAGAATTTTCTGCGTCTCCAGCATTTATATTCAGTTCTGTTTAATACATTATCGAAATTGACATTTATAAGTATGACAGTTTTGTGTATATGGCCTTTTCATAGCTTAATATTGGCTGTAACAGAGAATTGTGAAATTGTAAGAAGTAGTTTTCTTTGTAGGTGTAAAATTGAATTTTTAAGAATATTCTTGACAGTTTTATGTATATGGCCTTTTCATAGCTTAATATTGGCTATAACAGAGAATTGTGAAATTGTTAAGAAGTAGGTGTAAAATTGAATTTTTAAGAATATTCTTGAATGTTTTTTTCTTGGAAAAATTAAAAAGCTATGCAGCCCAATAACTTGTGTTTTGTTTGCATAGCATATTATAAGAAGTTCTTGTGATTAATGTTTTCTACAGGAATTTGTCAATCTTTATTCTGACTACATTCTCAATAAATCAGTAGAAAAACAGTTCAAGGCTTTTCGGAGAGGTTTTCATATGGTGACCAATGAATCTCCCTTAAAGTACTTATTCAGACCAGAAGAAATTGAATTGCTTATATGTGGAAGCCGGGTAAGAAAGCAGGTGTCTGCAAAAAGTCATGTATCGATTTATTGTTTGTAATGATACAGTAGTATAGCAGATAACTAAGACATATTTTCTTGAATTTGCAGAATCTAGATTTCCAAGCACTAGAAGAAACTACAGAATATGACGGTGGCTATACCAGGGACTCTGTTCTGATTAGGTGAGGTACTTAGTTCTTCAGAGGAAGATTTGATTCACCAAAGGGGTGTGTGATTTTGCTTCAGACCTTTATCTCTAGGTACTAATTCCCAAATAAGCAAACTCACAAATTGTCATCTATATACTTAGATTTGTATTTGTAATATAATCACCATTTTTCAGAGCTAATCTTGTGATTTATTTCATGAATGAAGTGTTGTTATATATAAGTCTCATGTAATCTCCTGCATTTGGCGTATGGATTATCTAGTATTCCTCACTGGTTAGAGTATGCTTACTGCTGGTTAGAAGATAATTAAAATAAGGCTACCATGTCTGCAATTTTTCCTTTCTTTTGAACTCTGCATTTGTGAACTGTTACATGGCTTCCCAGGATCAAGCACTTTTTGAGTGAAATGGTAGTCTTTTATTTAATTCTTAAGATAATATGTCCAGATACATACTAGTATTTCCATTTTACACCCTAAAAAACTAAGCCCTGAATTCTCACAGAAAGATGTAGAGGTTCCCAGTTCTATCTGCTTTTAAGCAAATGCCCTTACTACTCTACTGTCTACTTCTGTGTACTACATCATCCAATTCTGAAAGACATAGGCTTCCCCATCCCCTGCTAAGACTGGTTCAAGTGGCAGCTACTGATGGATTGCAGTGAGAAGGCATGCAAACACGTACCTTCCTGGAAGTTGTCTCCAAAGGCTATTGCTCTAAGACTCAAGTATATAAACACTAGAATGAATATCAACTCTATCTAGCAATAAATGTTATTTTTATATTACAGTTGACCCTTGAACAACACAGCTGTGAACTTCATGGGCCCTCTGACATGCAGATTTTTTTTCTCAACTAAGAGCAGATTCAGTATTGGTGGGACTCAGAACCTGCATATACAGAGGGCTGACTTTCATACATGCCAGTTTCACAGGGCCAACTGCAGAACTTGAGCGTGCATGGATTTTGGTATACACACGTGGTCCTGGAACCAATCCCTGTCACATATACCAAGGGATGGCTGTATGTTACTTTATATTCATTTGTTCTGTTATTTTATAAGGTTGTTCGTCGTGGTATGTGGGAATTCACCAGTATTTCTTCTTTCTGGTGCACCGTTGGTCATTTCTGGCAGCAGTGGTGAATGTATTTACTCTTAGCAACCTCTGTGCTGCTACCTGTTCTGAGTTTCAAAGGTGATTCATTAAAGGGTTGGGATAACATGGTGATAGGAAAAACCCCCCTCATCAGTCACAAGGAGTATAACAGCAATATCTCTGTAATATGATTGATCATAGATATAATTTCTAGTAGGAAAAAAAGTCATATCTTGATGCATCTCTGAGAATAGTTGAACATATCTTGTGCTATTCTTTATAGAGAAATTATCTTTGAAATTAAAGTCTTAATTTTACTTCTAGCTTTTTATAACAACATAATCCCTACTTGGTATGTATCTTAAGATCATTTTTAAATGTATGATTTGAAGGGCAAACTAGTGTTATGTGAAAAATGACAGATAAAGTAGCTTCCAACTCATCCTCAAGAGTTGATGATATTCTAAACCTTTTCTAACTAAATTCAGCTTCTTAATTTTCTCAATATAAATATGATGAAAATATTAATTCATTAAATAGTCTACAAGTATTCGGTAGTTGAAGACTTAAAGTAGTGCTTGTAATAACAGAAGAGAAAAAAGACATTACAGGCGTATCTCACTTTATTGCACTTTGCAGATACTGAGTTTTTTTGGTGGCAACCCTGCATCAAGCAGGTCTACCAGCACCATTTTTCCAACAAAATGTGCTCACTTCATTAGCATTTTTAGCAATGATTTTAAATTAAGATAATGTACTTATTTTTAGACAATGCTGTTACACACTTGACTACAGTATAATGTAAACGTAACTTTTATAAGCACTGGGAAACAAAAAAATTTGTGTGACTCACTTTACTGCCATAATCACTTTATTTGCCATGGTCTGAAACTGAACCGGCAGTATCTCTGGGGTATGCCTGTATAGATATTTTGGTTGGTATTTATTTATTGTATGC
This sequence comes from Homo sapiens, assembly GCF_000001405.40. Taxonomy (NCBI): domain Eukaryota; kingdom Metazoa; phylum Chordata; class Mammalia; order Primates; family Hominidae; genus Homo; species Homo sapiens. The sequence continues at coordinate 25,352,310 of NC_000015.10, read as the reverse complement.
AGAATTCATAAAAATAAAAACTGCGAGGCTGTTTAATACATTTCAACTAAAAGTTGCCAGCATCATTAATATGTAAACCACTAGAAATAAGATTTTGTTAATTTTTTGTTTGTTTGTTTAAACAGTCTTGCTCTGTCACTGAGGCTGGAGTGCAGTGGCGCAGTCTCAGTTCACTGCAACCTCCGCTTCCTGGGTTCAAGTGATTCTCCTGCCTCAGCCTCCTGAGTAGCTGGGGTTACAGGTGCACACCACTACACCTGGCTAATGTTTGTATTTTTAGTAGAGATAAGGGTTTTGCCATGTTGGCCAGGCTGGTCTCAAACTCCTGACCTCTGGTGATCCGCCCGCCTCGGCCTCCCAAAGTGCTGGGATTACAGGCGTGAGCCACCATACCTAGCAAAATCAACTCTGAATCTGAATCAAACCTTTGAAACAAAAATTACCAATCAAAAAAACGTGCAATCCCTGCTCCTAACTTTGAAAAAGTGACAAGGAAGGACATTTGGAAAGATGTCTCTAAGCAGTCAACAAGAAATGAAATCAGGGAGAGCTTTTTCAGCACCTGAAAAAATACATGCAAAAACGCCCGAGGCGGGCAGATCACCGGAAGCCAGGAGTTTGAGACCAGCCTGGCAAACATGGGGGAAACCCCGTCTCTACTAAAAATACAAAAATTAGCTGGGTTTGGTGGCAGGCAGCTGTAATCCCAGCTCCTCGGGAGGCTGAGGCAGGAGAATCGCTTGAACCTGGGAGGCGGAGGTTGCAGTGAGCCTAGATCGTGCCACTGCACTCCAGCCTGGGCAACAGAGTGAGATTCCATCTCAAAAAAACGAAAAACAGATTCAGAGTTTATTTCCTTCCCAAATACTTCATAGATGTTGGTTTGTAGGAATAACTTAAAAGTCTCACTCGCTTTCTGTCTTTTCTAGTAATTTTTATCGTGGATTCTGATTGCCTAGATCTGCTAATTCATTGAGGGTTACAAAATTGTGATACTCGAATTCTTTATTCCTCCTTCCTTTATTACCTGTAATACTTCTTAAGAAAAACTCTTTCTCATCAACTCTATGACTACCCTAAATTACAGATCCACATATAGGATCTGTATACATGTATATAAATATGTACATATCATATACGATAATGCTTAATTCTTTCCCATTACTTACTAATTTTCAAAATAATGTGATTCCCTAACTGCTCTCTGAATGTTATCAATGTGGTGGTAATAATGGTGGTGTCGATGTTGTGTGGGGTAAAATTTGAATACAGTGAAATACCCAGGGCTTAATTGGGTTAGTTTTTAAAAATTACATTTATGTAACCATATTTCAGTCAAGGTGTAGACTATGTCCATCAGCACAGAGTTCCCATGTTTTCCCTTCCAGTGAATCTCCATCCCCCATTAGAACAGACAATAACTGTCCTAATTACTGTCACTGTAGCTTACTTTTGTCTGCTCTAGAATTTCTTATGAATGGAATCTTATGTACTTGTACTGCATGAAGACTCTTTAGATTCATCCATGTTATTGCATTGATTTATAGTGCCTTTTAAAAAATTATAGAGTAGTGTTGCATTATATGAATACGCAAAGTGTTTTTTTTTTACCTGTTGGTGGACAGTTGGATTGTTTCCAGTTTGGGACTATTGTGAATAAAGCTGTGTAGTCTTATTGTGGAAATGTTTTATTTCTCCTGGGCAAACATGTAGGAGTGGAGTTTCCAAAGCATATAGCAGGTGCATATTTAACTAAAAGTGTCTTTTCCTCATTTTTAATATTGGATTTTTGTATTTCTATTGACTATAGATATTTTCTTAAAATATAGCAGTATGTCTTATCCTTAGTTTTGCTTTTTTTTGGTTTCAGTTATCTTTGGTCAGCAGTGGTCCAAAAATATTTATTAAGTAGAAAATTCCATGAATAATTCAGGGTTTTTGATGTATGTGTGTGTTGGCGGGTGCAGGGCAGGGAGAGTTGGTTGGTTGGTTCGTTGGTTTTTTTTTTTTTAAAGAGACAAAGTCTCTGTCATCCAGGCTGGAGTGCAGTAGCATGACTACAGATTGTTATAAACTGAAACTCCTGGGCTCATGCAATCTTCTTACCTCAGTCCTCTGAGTATCTGGGCTCATGCAATCTTCTTACGTCAGCCCTCTGAGTAGCTGGTACTACAGGTGTGCAGCTAATTTTTAGTTGGTTATTTTTTTGTAGAAACAGGGTCTCACTATGTTGCCCAGGCTGGTTTCAAACCCCTGGACTCTAGCAATTCTTCCACTTCAGCCTTCCAAAGTGCTGGGATTACAGGCGTGAGCCACTGCACCCAGCCAACAACTCTTAAGTTTTAAATTACATGCTATTCTGAGTAACATGGTGAAATCTCCCACCTTTCCACCCAGGGCATGAATTATCCCTTTTTCCAGTATATCGTTGTTGTCTAGACTACCCACCACTTTTAGTCTACTGGTTATCAGATCGACTGTTGCAGTATCACATGCTTGTGTTCAAGTAACCCTTATTTTACTTAATAATGGCCCTAAAGCACAAGAGCAGTGATGTTGGAAATTCGAATATATATGCCAAAGAGAAGCTGGAAAGTGCTTCCTTTAAGGAAAGAATTTAAAAATCATATGTTGAGGTTGCTAAAATCTATGGTAAAAATGAGTATTGTATCTATGAAATTGTGAAGAAGGAAAAATAAATCATGCATAGTATATACAGGGTTCAGTACTATTTGCAATTTCAGACATCACTGGAGGTCTTGGAACGTATTCCCCATGGGTAAGTGGGGAATACTGTATATTCTATATAAAAGGCCCATTTCTGATAAGTAGTTTATGATTATTTTCTCCAAGTTTTCATTTTCTTAAGTGTCTTCTGGTGAGCAGAAATTATTCATTTTTTGAGGTCTAATTTATTTTTTCTTTTATGGTTTTTTATGTCCTTTTATATCTTTGCCTAGCCCAAAGCCACAAATATCTTATGTTTTCTTCTAATTGTGTAATATAGGTTTAACTTTTATGTGTAAATCTGTGATCCACCACCAATAAAATTTTGTGATGCTGTTAGACAGTGGATGTCATTCATTTTCTAAATAGTTTTATTTATTTGTTCCAGTACCATTTGTTAAAGAGACTTTTCTTTCCCCATTGAATTGCCTTTGCACCTTTGTTGAAAATCAATCTGTGTGTGAGCCGTGTTTCTGGATTCTCCATTCTGTTCTATTAATTTGTTTTGTCCTTTTGCCAAAATGACACTGTTATGGTTACTGCAGCTTCAAATCAGATGCTGTGAGTCCCACAACTTTTTCATTAGGTTGCTTTGACTTTTATTTGCATATAAATATTAGAATCAGTTAATTTTTACAAACAAAAGGGCAAAGCCTGCAGAGATTTTGATTTGGGTTGCCTTGACTGGGGCAGGTCAATTTGGAGAGAATTCACATTTTAACAATATATTCTTCCAATCCTTGAACACCGTACGTCTCTCCATTTATTTAGATGTTTGTTAGTTTATCTCAGCACTGTTTTATAGTTTTTAATGTTGAAATCATGTACTCTTTGGTTAGGAATAAACTTAAAATATGTTTCTAATGCTATTAGTGGTATTTTTTAAATACTGCTTTTCACTTGTTTATTACTATCTTGAAATAAAATCGATTTTTATATATTGATCTTATATCCTATAACCTTTCTAAATTGACTTATTCTAGTAGTTATTTAGTAGATTTCATAGGGTTTTCTAGTAAACAGCTATGTCATCTACAAATCAAGACAGGTTTCTTTCTTTCCAATGTTTATGTTATTTATTACTGTTCCTCTATTGCACTGGCTAGAACCTTTGGTAGAAGGTATTCTTACTTTATTCCTCATTTTATTGAGAGAGACTATAATATTTACCATTAACTGTGATGTTACTTGTAAACAAAAAGTTTGTATTTCTCTGGGATTAAAAACCAAGAGTCCATTTGGTTTTTTACTGTTGAGTTTTAAGGGTTCCTTATGTATTTTCTAGGTATGTTCTTCCTTCATTGAATTGTTTTTTTCACATACGTTAAAAATCACTTGAGAATATTTATATAGGTCTGCTTCTGAGATTTATCTGTTTATCAGGTTTTGTTTCATTTATTTTGAGGCTCTATCATTTGGTTCATACCCATTTAGAATTACTATGTCTTGGTGATTGGTCCTTTATCATTATATAAGTTTTTTCTGTTTTGCGATTTTCTTTGCTCTGAATCTGATATGAGTGTAACCATTTGTTTTTTTTTAAATTAATGTTTGCATGATCTGTCTTTTACTATCATTTTACTTTCATCCTGTGTTGCTGAATTTGAAACGAATCTCTTGTAAACAGCATATAGTTGTCATTTTAATAAAAACTGTTAGTCTCTGCCTTTTAATTTTTTTATTTAGACCATTTATATTTAAGGTAATTATTGATATGTTAGGGAGAGGTCTGCCATTTTATTATTTGTTTTCTGTTTCTGTCTTCTGTTTATGGTTATTTATTTATTGCCTTCCATGATTACTTGAACATTTTTTAAGATTTTTAAGACCCTTGATTTATTTAGTGTTTGGGTTTTGTTTTGTTTGTTTGTTTGTTTTTGTTTCGAGACACAGTCTCGCTCTGTTGCCCAGGCTGGAGTGCAGTGGCACAATCTCAGCTCACTGCAACATCGGCTTCCCAGGTTCAAGCAATCCTCCCGCCTCAGCCTCCTGGGTAGCTGGGACTACAGGCACATGCCACCACACCTGGCTAATTTTTGTATTTTTATTAGAGATGAGGTTTCACCATATTGGCCAGGCTGGTCTCGAACTCTTGACCTTGTGATCTGTCCACCTCAGCCTCCCAAAGTGCTGGAATTACAGGCATGAGCCACCATGCCTGGCCTTCTATGTGTTTTTTATAGTTGTTTTCACGGTCATTGTGGGTATCACATTATAGATAATGTGACTTACCACCATTCACTGCCATCAATACCATTACATGGAATGAGATATGGAAACCTTAATTTCAGTTGGGTCTCTTTCCCCACTTTTAAATAGTATTGTTTTGAGGATTAATGCTATTACAGTTTTTGTATCAGTTATCCAATATGACTTATAGAACTTATCAAGGGAGTGATGCTCTGTTGTATGTACCCATGTTTCTGCTATTTCCATTATTTTTTCCAAGATTCCATCTTTTATTACTTCCATTAGCCAGTCTTCAAAGGCAGTTCTGCTAGTGAGAAATTCTTTTTGTTTTTCTCTTTCTGAAGATGACTTTATTTTCCCTTTATTCCCAAAGAATAGTTTTATTTGTGCTATTTGGGGTTCGCTCAGCTTCTTGAAGCTGTAAGTTTGTGTCTTTTGCCAAACATGGAAAATTTTCAACCATTATTTCTTCAGGTGTTCTTTCAGCGTCACTCTTTTCTCCATTCTAGGCCTCTAATGATACAAATGTTGAGTCATTTGTTACTGTTCCACATGGACCTGAGGCATGGTTCATTTTTCAGTCTATTTTCTCTCTTTTGTTCAGATTTCTCTCCTTTGTCATCTTCACTCTACTGTTGAGCCCATCTAATGATTATTTTTCTCCTATTGTATTTTTTAGGTCTATAATTTCCATTTGCTTTTTTTTCCTTGTATCTTGTTTCCTTGCTGAGATTTTCTATTGTTTCGTTTTTGAAACAGTAGAACTTGTAATTGCTTGTCAAATCATTTCTCTGATGGCAGCATTAAGATCCTTGCCAGATAATTTCAGCATCTTACTCATCCCAGTGTTGGCGTTTTCTTTCCTTCATGTAATTTTCCTGGTTCTTGGTATGACAGATAATTTTTGGATTGTGTCTCGGACATTTTAGTTATTATATCAGGAGACTCTGTACTTTTTAAAAATTTTAACTTCAGTAGTAACCTGTTAAGGTATAGCATGTAGGTACTAGCATATATTTGTGAGCTGTGGTTCCAGTGACCATTTTTCAGAGGCTTTATGGTGCTGTTTTGGTTTGTTGCTTTTATCTCAGTCCACTGGGGCTCGCACTGGTTCCTAGTAGTGCTGCTTGAGGGGCCTTCTCCAGGCTGAGCTGCGCAGAGTGTGTTTGGGTGAGGGAAGAGGACCCCCACTAGATTTTCGTGGGCTGGAGAGTGCTTCCTGAGCCTTGTGCCTGTTGTGGCAGGCTCCCCCTTGCTGGTGTTCCTGGCAGTGCTCCTGACCACATTGTGTCCCTGGGCTGTGGAACACTTGCAGGAAAGGTGAACACTGCCAGGACCAATTATAGCAGAATTCCTCCTGCCAGTACACAGCAGCACTGTGGCTCTGGACCAGCAAGGAGAGTCTCAAGCATGGGTTTGTTTCTTTTTGATTTTAAGATTTTTCTTCTGCCTTCAGGTTCTGGTATTATTGTTCTGTTTTATTCACCTTTATGTTTCTTCTAGTTTAGTTTTAGTTTCTTTGTATTTGATGGGATTTTTTTCCTTGCATTTCTAATTACTCCTTAGTTGTGTCATGTCTTCCTTTTTTTCAGTTACCCTCATTCAGAAATTTCCCATTTCTAATGATTTGTTATTTTTTAAATTCTTTTTAGCTCAGTTTGAAATTTGTTTACAGTTTTCATGTTTTATTTGCATATTGTTTCATGTACTTTGATTTTCTGTAGGGACACCATTCTCATGTATATGCACATACTTTTTCTCTAATAATTACACTGTTTCACTCTGTTCTGTTATTTATTTATTTGTGTGTGTGTGTGTGTGTGTGTGAGTGAAATGAGTTTCTCATACTTGGACGAGGGAGAGATGGGCCAGGATAACTTTTTTCGCTTTTTAGGGACGAGGAGAAGTCTGTGTTTTTGTAAAATGGTCAAAAATATGCCCTTGTGCTTTCTGAAACTGCCTTCTTTACTCCTCTATCCCACACATATATTTGAACTTTTTTTTGGTTTTTATTACTGACCTGGTCCATTCGGAAGTTATTCCCAGAAGTTTTTCCTCGGTACAAGGTTTGTTTCTGGTGGGGGTTTGGTATTCGGGTGTTTTAAGGGCCCAGAGCTTACTACATCATGATCCCTTTGTAATCATCTGCAAATTAGATCCTGTAGAACTTTTTAAAACTTTAAGCCCTGTTTTCAGATTGGCCTGTGCTTTCCAGTGGGTTGGCAGTGTTCTCAGGGCTGTCAGAAACCCAGTCAGTTACCTTGCATCTGCTTCCTTACTAACCAGTCTTGTAGTTGTCAGAGCTTTGTTTCTGTCCAATTATATGCAATGGTTCATGGTTTTGTTGTAGATAATGTCTCTGGGTCTTTGGTTTTCTCATTCAGTTTGCTGTTTTTGTAGGGGAGGTTGGGAGGGAATAAAACAAAAAATAATAATAATAATAACTATGTCGTTGCCATCATCATCTTTCCAGAACCTGCTACCTGCCCTTCACCTGATTTTCGTATTTATCAGTATCATTACCTTAATCTGTTATCTCATTGGGGATTGCAAAATGGCTGTTTGGGGAAAAAAAATTTCCATCTGCTTGTCCTACATATATACCTGGCATTCTTTTTTCTCATCATTGGGTGCCATTTGATTACCTTGAAAAACAGTTCTACAGAAAAGGCATGATAAAATAGATTTAAGGTTTTTAGAGTAAGGAGTTAATGTAATAATTTTAATAGTGACAATTTAATTTTGTTTTTTGGTTGGTTTTTGCTGCCTTTTTGAATATTACGAACTAATGAATGTTTTTGTATTTAATACGTTTCACAGTCATTACTCTAAATGATATTCAAATTGCTTAGCTATCGTGTGCTTTTAAAATGACCCTATTAGATTTTGAGATTTCTAACTAATCTCGAACATTCATTCTCAGGCCTGGAATAAGTTATTTTTCCAATAAATTGTTGGAGAATGGCATTTAGAAGTCAGATTTTAGATGCAAAGTATGGCCTTTGCTTTTGAACGTTACTGCTTGTAGGCCTTATCAGAGGACAGAACTAGGAAAATAATCTTCCTAGTGTATCCTGAGAATCATCCCACATTATTGCAGAGGTGTTTTCCATTTTGTTTTGTATGACTGAATACTGCTCCTTTGTGTGGATGCAGCATAGCTTATCAATATTTATGGGCATCGAGGTTATTTTTAACCTTTTGCTGTTAGTACTAATGTCACAGTGAATCCTCTTAATGTTCATGCATTATTCCGTACATATGTAAAGTATCATTAAGATAAATTGTTAGAAGTGGGATTGTTGCATCAAATGGTAGATGCATGTGTAATTTTGCTAGATACTGCCAAATCCTCCTTCACAGAAAAATAACATTTTGCATTCCCACCAGCAGTTTACAACAGTATCTCTTTTCTTAAAACTTTCCAAACAGAATGTGTTGTTAAATGTGGATGTTTACTTATTTGCCAATTGAGAAATGGTATTTTACTATAGTTACAATTTTTGAGCTTACCTCAATTATGAATGATAATGGACATTTTTTCTTGTAGAGCTGTTTATAGTTTTATATAGTCTTTTGCTCATTTTGCTGCTCAGCTGGTCGTTTTCTTCACTTTTAGAAACTTTATATGTTAAGGAGATTAGTCCTTTAACGCTGGTAAATTCGCAAATATTTTTTCCCAGTTTGTCATTTGTCTTTTAACCTTGCTTATAGGATTTTTTTGCCAAATGAAAGGTTTTATGTTTATGTAGTTAGCTATTAATCTTTTTCGTTATTATGCTTTGATATGCATTTCTTTAGTTATGTTTATTTTATTCATTTTCTTTGTTTTTTAATTTTCTAGAGTCTGTCCTCAGTAGAAATTTTAGTCATACTGCTTCTTCTTTGGTCACCTTATAATAAAATTAGCCTTTATTTCCAAAGTTACCTTGCATATTTCTTCAGTATTTTTTAGTATTCTTATTTTTATTTAAGATGTGCTCATTTCTTTCTGAATTTGTATTTCTCATCACTGGTGGTCTGTCTTGTCTGCTGCTGCATTCTCCTTTTGTGTTGGAATGTGGTGTTACTAGTTTCCCATTGTTTATGACTGAATTTTTCTGGTCTACTTTTGTCTACCGGAAAGTTTTGCTTCTCATTCGCCAGACTCTTCCCATAATAACTTTATTTAGACTTCCGAATTCTGTTTTTCTTGTTTATGTTTCTATAACAGATGTTACTTTTTTCTGGACCTGTTATTACTAGACCTCATGGTGGAGCAGGGAGGAATTGTGTGGCTTTAGGGGTCTTGGTTGAAGGGATCCCTCTTCTGTTGCTTTAGTAAGGGCAGAATCACCACTTTCTGATTTTTCAGCTCCATGTAGCTTAATGAAGACTCTTTTTCATTAGCTGCTTCCACCCCTTTACAGCCGCTTAAGGGACACTTCTGCTTTTGAAGGTACCCCCCTTCCTTTCATGCATGGTGCCTTCCTGAGCCTGCCATTGCTGGACCCAAGTACTTTTCTGTAGTCCTTCCTTTAACCACCCTGTTGCCAGTGCTCTAACCTACACTCAGTAGTGCTCTGTTGAGGGGCAGGTGGTGGAGGGGGTGGGGTCTGGCCTTGGGTGATCCCTAATCAGTATGATTCCGCACAAGCCACTCTTCGATGTAGCTCCTGCTGGACCCTGCTCATTTCCCCACTTCTTTGGTATTTGGAGTTTATTGTTCTGTCTCCTAGTTTTACTCTAGACCTAAGTCATAGGTTTTTTTTTTATTTTCCCCTTTTTGATCCGGGTAGATTTTTAGAGATGTGAGTAGGATGTGATCGATACAGCCACCACTTTTATGTGGAAACCTGGAAGCTTCTTCGTGTTTTCTTCAGCTTTCTAAATATATGCATTCTTGTTTAATTCAAAATGTTAATGTAACACACATAACACTTATAGGAATAGAGATGCATTTTGTTCCCTGTTTTCATTGTATAAAATTTTTAAAGGTTTCGTTTAAAAGTCCAAAGAAACAGCTCCGTAATAATATAGCCAGACTGGTCATTGTGACCACTGCTGATCTGCCACTTCCTGCAGGGTCTGTCTCTGTTCTTCGGTGGTGCTCTTTGGTCTACCTCCTTAGGTGTAGCTGGTTCAGTTAAGCTTCAGAGCCCTCCTGCAGTGTGAGGAGGCTTTATTACCACCCACTGCAGGGCAGCTTTTCTGCTATGTTGGAGGGTTCTGTGCTACAGCAGACTTGTTTTCTCTTGTCAGCCTCCCCAAAAGGAGTATCATGAACTGGGGTCCGATTCCTCTCCTCCTTACCTGAGAGATGCTCCTGCAAGTTTCATGTCCAGTTTTCTGTTGTTGTGTGTTTCTTTTTTGTTTTCTCTTGCTGACTGGTGGATTTGTAAAGGGGCAGGGAAGGGAAGTGGCAAGAGATTGGAGAAAGCCAAGAATTCTAATAAAACTTTTAAGTTATTTCAGATAAATGGTGTTGCAGCACCAAAAATGCCAGCATTTTGGTAATAAAAATAGTATGTTGGGATATTAGAATATCAAAAGGTAGAAAATTGTAATTACTGGTTTGGGATGTGTGATGTTCTCTGCTAACATTCTGGAATTTTTTTTTTTTTTTTTTTTGAGATGAAATTTTTTTTTTTTTTTGAGATGGCTCAAAATGTTTCCCAGGCTAGAGTGCAATGGTGTGATCTCAGCTCATTGCAGCCTCCGCCTCCCATGTTCAAGCAATTCTTCTGCCTTGGCCTCCCAAGTAGCTGAGATTACAGGCATCTGCCACCACGCCCGGCTAATTTTTGTATTTTAGTAGAGACAGGGTTTCACCACGTTGGTCAGGCTGATCTTGAACCCCTGACCTCAGGTGATCCACTGGCCTCAGCCTCCCAAAGTGCTGGGATTACAGGCATGAGCCACCACACCTGGCTCTGGAAAGAACTTTCTAAATAACTATTAAAATGCATTTTATATTATATAAGCAACTAAAAATACTTTTAATTTTTTTTTTAATTTTTTAATCTTAACATTATTTAGCTATAGGCCAGGCGCGGTGGCTCATGCCTGCAATCCCAGCACTTTGGGAGGCCAAGGTGGGCGGATCACGAGGTCAGGAGATCGAGACCCATCCTGGCTAACATGGTGAAATCCTGCCTCTACTTAAACGTACAGAAAATTAGCCAGGCGTGGTGGCAGGCACCTATAGTCCCAGCCACTTGGGAGGCTGAGGCAGGACAATGGCGCGAACCCAGGAGGCGGAGCTTGCAATGAGCCGAGATCGCGCCACTGCACTCCAGCCTGAGCGACAGAGCAAGACTCTGTCTCAAAAAAAAAAAAATTTATTTAGCTATGAACTAGTGTATATATGTTTTATAGATGCCTGATTATTCAAATAAACTTCAAGATTGCACTTTATGAGCTTGTATTTCGTTTTTTAGAACTCAAACTAACATAAGTGTCATTAAAACATAGCTTTTATTACATAGATTTTAGGAATGCCACAGGATAAATCATTCTCTTAAAATAACTGCAGGTGGCAGAAATGTCAGAATAATTCTCCTCCTCCATACACAGCACATATTACTTGTTTAAAGTATTCTAGTTCATATAAAAATTGAACTTTTGTATTACTGCTATTAGGTATGTAGTTGTTTGCATTTGGGGCCAGTTGGTTGGGGCAGGGGGTCTTTTTTTCTTTTGTCCTTAATCTGTATCACTTTTTCCTCCCAAAGTTGAGTTAAAGGATGAGTAGACCAGGAGAATAAAGGAGAAAGGATAAATAAAATATATACCCAAAGGCACCTGGAGTTAATTTTTCCAAATATTCATTTCAGTCTTTTTCAATTCATAGGATTTTGTCTTTTGCTCATTACTGACTGCATAATGTGATTATACCATAGTTTAAATAGTCACTTCCTGTTACTACACACTTGGGTTTTCTCAATTTTTTACTATTGTAGTACTAATATTTTACTATATTGTAATCTAATCTAAATTTTTACGTATTCAGAGCTGTTCAGGATAAATTTGCTTGGAAATTTTTAAATCACCAGAAGTGATACTATCCTGATAATTAACTTCCAAGTTGTCTCTTAATATAGTTTTAATGCAAATCATAAGCTTATGTTAGTACCAGTCATAATGAATGCCAAACTGAAACCAGTATTGTATTTTTTCTCATTAGGGAGTTCTGGGAAATCGTTCATTCATTTACAGATGAACAGAAAAGACTCTTCTTGCAGTTTACAACGGGCACAGACAGAGCACCTGTGGGAGGACTAGGAAAATTAAAGATGATTATAGCCAAAAATGGCCCAGACACAGAAAGGTAGGTAATTATTAACTTGTGACTGTATACCTACCGAAAACCTTGCATTCCTCGTCACATACATATGAACTGTCTTTATAGTTTCTGAGCACATTCGTGATTTTATATACAAATCCCCAAATCATATTAGACAATTGAGAAAATACTTTGCTGTCATTGTGTGAGGAAACTTTTAAGAAATTGCCCTAGTTAAAAATTATTATGGGGCTCACATTGGTTTGGAATCAAATTAGTGTGATTCATTTACTTTTTTGATTCCCAGCTTGTTAATTGAAAGCCATATAACATGATCATCTATTTAGAATGGTTACATTGAGGCTCGGAAGATTATCATTTGATTGTGCTAGAATCCTGTTATCAAATCATTTTCTTAGTCATATTGCCAGCAGTGTTTCTAATAAGCATTTAAGAGCACACACTTTGCAGTCTTGTAAAACAGGTTTGAGTATTTTCTCCACCTTAGAGGAAGTTACTTGACTTCTCAGTGACCTAACCTCTAAAGTGCATTTACTGATGTCCTCTCTGTGGTTTTGTTGTGGAAAGATTTAGTTAAATGAACTGTAAGAATTCAGTACCTAAAATGGTATCTGTTATGTAGTAAAAACTCAATGGATACAGTATCTTATCATCGTCACTAGCTTTGAGTAATTTATAGGATAAAGGCAACTTGGTAGTTACACAACAAAAAGTTTATGATTTGCATTAATGTATAGTTTGCATTGCAGACCGTCTCAACTATATACAATCTAAAAATAGGAGCATTTAATTCTAAGTGTATTTCCCATGACTTACAGTTTTCCTGTTTTTTTCCCCTTTTCTCTATTTAGGTTACCTACATCTCATACTTGCTTTAATGTGCTTTTACTTCCGGAATACTCAAGCAAAGAAAAACTTAAAGAGAGATTGTTGAAGGCCATCACGTATGCCAAAGGATTTGGCATGCTGTAAAACAAAACAAAACAAAATAAAACAAAAAAAAGGAAGGAAAAAAAAAGAAAAAATTTAAAAAATTTTAAAAATATAACGAGGGATAAATTTTTGGTGGTGATAGTGTCCCAGTACAAAAAGGCTGTAAGATAGTCAACCACAGTAGTCACCTATGTCTGTGCCTCCCTTCTTTATTGGGGACATGTGGGCTGGAACAGCAGATTTCAGCTACATATATGAACAAATCCTTTATTATTATTATAATTATTTTTTTGCGTGAAAGTGTTACATATTCTTTCACTTGTATGTACAGAGAGGTTTTTCTGAATATTTATTTTAAGGGTTAAATCACTTTTGCTTGTGTTTATTACTGCTTGAGGTTGAGCCTTTTGAGTATTTAAAAAATATATACCAACAGAACTACTCTCCCAAGGAAAATATTGCCACCATTTGTAGACCACGTAACCTTCAAGTATGTGCTACTTTTTTGTCCCTGTATCTAACTCAAATCAGGAACTGTATTTTTTTTAATGATTTGCTTTTGAAACTTGAAGTCTTGAAAACAGTGTGATGCAATTACTGCTGTTCTAGCCCCCAAAGAGTTTTCTGTGCAAAATCTTGAGAATCAATCAATAAAGAAAGATGGAAGGAAGGGAGAAATTGGAATGTTTTAACTGCAGCCCTCAGAACTTTAGTAACAGCACAACAAATTAAAAACAAAAACAACTCATGCCACAGTATGTCGTCTTCATGTGTCTTGCAATGAACTGTTTCAGTAGCCAATCCTCTTTCTTAGTATATGAAAGGACAGGGATTTTTGTTCTTGTTGTTCTCGTTGTTGTTTTAAGTTTACTGGGGAAAGTGCATTTGGCCAAATGAAATGGTAGTCAAGCCTATTGCAACAAAGTTAGGAAGTTTGTTGTTTGTTTATTATAAACAAAAAGCATGTGAAAGTGCACTTAAGATAGAGTTTTTATTAATTACTTACTTATTACCTAGATTTTAAATAGACAATCCAAAGTCTCCCCTTCGTGTTGCCATCATCTTGTTGAATCAGCCATTTTATCGAGGCACGTGATCAGTGTTGCAACATAATGAAAAAGATGGCTACTGTGCCTTGTGTTACTTAATCATACAGTAAGCTGACCTGGAAATGAATGAAACTATTACTCCTAAGAATTACATTGTATAGCCCCACAGATTAAATTTAATTAATTAATTCAAAACATGTTAAACGTTACTTTCATGTACTATGGAAAAGTACAAGTAGGTTTACATTACTGATTTCCAGAAGTAAGTAGTTTCCCCTTTCCTAGTCTTCTGTGTATGTGATGTTGTTAATTTCTTTTATTGCATTATAAAATAAAAGGATTATGTATTTTTAACTAAGGTGAGACATTGATATATCCTTTTGCTACAAGCTATAGCTAATGTGCTGAGCTTGTGCCTTGGTGATTGATTGATTGATTGACTGATTGTTTTAACTGATTACTGTAGATCAACCTGATGATTTGTTTGTTTGAAATTGGCAGGAAAAATGCAGCTTTCAAATCATTGGGGGGAGAAAAAGGATGTCTTTCAGGATTATTTTAATTAATTTTTTTCATAATTGAGACAGAACTGTTTGTTATGTACCATAATGCTAAATAAAACTGTGGCACTTTTCACCATAATTTAATTTAGTGGAAAAAGAAGACAATGCTTTCCATATTGTGATAAGGTAACATGGGGTTTTTCTGGGCCAGCCTTTAGAACACTGTTAGGGTACATACGCTACCTTGATGAAAGGGACCTTCGTGCAACTGTAGTCATCTTAAAGGCTTCTCATCCACTGTGCTTCTTAATGTGTAATTAAAGTGAGGAGAAATTAAATACTCTGAGGGCGTTTTATATAATAAATTCGTGAAGAAATGTGTGCTCTTCAGTTCTCAAGTTTTATTATTATGGTATTTATTAAAGTTCTACAATTGTAATAACGTATCCATATGACAAGTTTTAAAGTGGTAATTGAAATAGGTTATCAGATATAGAGTTGTTCACATCAAGTAGACTTTTAACAGAGTCAGAATGAACCTACCCTTAAAATTTTAGAGAAAAAAAATCGTCGGTTGCACAGAATAGCTGCTCTAGCTTGCTTAATTATGCCGGGCATGTTGTCACTCCTCTTACTTTTGCTGCCTTTTCATTACTATTTAATGGAATGTCCCTGAACAATAAGGAAGAGCAAAACATAGACATTTTGACTACAGTGGATACTTCCTCTACCCCAAATGTTATGTTATAAAAGTACTTTTTTTGCCCAGGTACTCTATTATATATTTTGGTTTTCTTTGAATTAGACCTCAATCTCCAGGAAGCTCTGGAGGGAAAAAAAGGAACCATAAACTAAAGTAACTGGTTTTCCAAATAAATGTAAACTTTTTTAACCTTTTATTATTATAGAACATTTCAAACATACATAAAACATGAAAACAGCCTGCAGCCAAACTTTTCTGGACCTTGGCAGCTCCAGCAAATGAGCTGGTCATCCTAACCCTGGTTTCCTGAGACAACTACTTTTGGGGATGCTTGCTTGTATAGGGAGATGATAGATAGATAGATACATATCAAAAAGAAACTTGAAAAAGGCTTCGAACAGAACTTGCCGATGTTACTCATCCCTCCTCGGTACAGACATTCTGTTAGAACAGATGGTTGTAATGGGGCAGCATCACTCCCTATTCCCATTAAAAACATGACCATTCTGAGATTTCAGGCCCCTTCGAGGAATTTTTCTCAAGAATTCCATACAAACTGTCAGAGGAAGAAATGTCGTCCCAAGACTAGTCCCTGTGTAGTCTTGATCCCTTTACCTGCTTACTGTAATTTTTTTTCTCTGACTTTCCGCCAGTGTCTAAGGGCCATCTGTACCCCTCCCACCCTTCCATGAGCCACTGTATAATCCAAAAACACACCTTCCATTTGCTCCCTCACTTGTCTCCTTTTACCTCAACAGTGTTAGTGTGTAAAGAATTGCCTGGGGAGGGTAGAGGGTTTTACAAGTACAGAGTCCCAAGTCTTTTCTCCCCTCCCCGTTAGTGGGTTGGCATTTATTAATAGGCACTGCAAGATTTTGATGCAGGTGTGGGGTAGATATCACTGTGAAAGGCTACTAATGCATGGTAGTTTCACCGAAAGTACAGTCTTCAAGGATCCTTATAATCTCCTCATTGCCAAAATCAGTAACATCTATAACCTTGACAACACCCTAGCTTGGGCTGTTGCTTCTCTGGCTACTTGTTTTTCCATCCCAGTTTACCCAGATTTTAGATGGATACTCCTCCAATTCTGCTTAAAGTCCTTACCTGTTCTTGCCCAGTTCCCTCTAGTCAACCTCAGTCACTCCCAAAGATTCTTCCCCAATCCCATATCTTTTGCTCAGACCTCTGTCTCTGGGATTTCTTTGTTACCTCATAGTCAGTAGTCCTAAAAACAAAATTCTTCATCTTGCATCTCTATCGACCGACCATTCTTTGTTTCTTTTTAAGAAATGTAACCTTCACCCCAATCATCAAAATCTCTCATTCCTCAATTGTCACAGGTTGTCACTTCTTTCCCCCTAAACCTCTCCCATCATTCCTTCCTTCTTTATACTGCCCTTACAGGTCCTGATCCTCTGACTCACCCGGACATTCTTAGCAGCTGCCTAATTTCACTCCCTGACTCTCATCTCCCTCTTCCAATCCTTTTCATTGTGCTAGAACACTATCTTGCTAATTTTAATATCCTCTGCATTCAGTGCCTCCACAGATTGCCCCCTCACTGACCTTTCCAATTTGGCCTTGTGTTACACACTTTCCTCGCTGCATTCCTACCCAGCATCTTCACTTGTCATATTTCTCAAATACTCTTCATGACCAGATATTTAAAGTACCTCATCCATGAAGACTTCATCAACCCCCAAAGTGCCTCCAATGCTTCCGTGGTAGCACAGCATAATGGGGTACATTTCTTAGTTGAACAGTGAGGAGTCACTGGGATTCTTACAGAGTGTCTTAGGGTCTCCTCTTGATACTCTTTCCACATTTCAGTTAAGGAATTTTCTTACATCTTTTTTTCTTCTAATAACCTTTGCCTGGAGTGTAAGTAAATTCATGATAGAGACTGTCATTTTTAAAAAAAAAAACAAACCATTTTGCCTTTCACATGTTATTACCTCCATCTTTCTGTTATCTTGTCAGTGTTGCCACCTAAATGATTGAAAATGACCGAGCATGCAGTAGAATGTAGTGAAGTTTCCTATTTCATCCATTTTTTGCATAAGTGCATTGGTATCTGTATATCCATCTGCCCAAGCACCAGTTGTTGAAAAGACTATTATTTCCCCATGAATGGTCCTGGTACCCTTGTCAAAGAACAGTTGACCATAAATATAAGACTTTCTGGATTCTCAGTCTTACTCCATTGCCCTATATGTCTGTCGTTATACCAGCACCGCACTGTCTTGATGGCTGTAGCTTGGTAGTAAGTTTAGATTTGGGATGTGCAAGTCCTCCATTTTTTTTTTTTTTTTCCCCAAAATCATTTTGTCTGTTTTGGGTCCCTTGCATTGCATATGAATTTTTATATGATCATTGTGTCAATTCCTGCAAAACAGCTGGGATCTTGATAGGGATTTAGTTGAATTGGTAGATAAATTTGAGAAATAACTGCTATTTTAATGGTGTTAGGTTTTCTGTTCCATGACTGTGGGATGTCTTTGCATTTGCTTAGGTCTTTATTTCAGTGATGTTTTAGAGATTTCAGTGTGCAAGTCTTGACGTCTTTAATTTTTTTCTAAGTATTTTACTGATGCCACTTTAATTATATGATTATTTTCTAATTTTTATTTTTGTATTCATCACTGGTGTTAGAAATAAAATTAATTTTTGTATATTGATTTTGTATATTGTAGCTTTTCTAAAATTCTTTTTTTGTCACTTAGTATTTTTTGCATATGAGATCATGCATCTGTGAACAGAAATACTTTTACTTCTTCCTTTCCAGTCTAGATTCCTATTATTTCATTTTCTTGCCTTAGTGTGCTGGCTAGCACCTCCAGTACAATATTGGATAGAAGTGACAAGAGCAGACATCTTTTTCTTGTTCCTGATTTTAAGGGGAAAGCATTCAGTCTTTCACCATTGAGTATGATGTTAGCTAGCTGTGGGTTTGCTTCAAGTTGAGGAAATTCTTTTATTAAACCTAGTTTACTGAGTGTTTTTTAATCAAAAAAAAAAAAAGGAGGGGCTGTGGGTTTTGTTAAATGCTTCTTCTGTATCAAGATTTTCATGTTGTTTTGTCCTTTATTAATATGTTGTATTAATGGACTTTTGTATATTGAATTAACTTTGCATTCCTGGGATAATCTCAGTTGTCCATGCTACATAAACCTTGTTCTATGCTGCTGGATTTGGTTTGCTAGTATTTTGTTTAGAATGTTTGCATCTATATTCATAAGGAATATTGGTCTGTAGTTTTCATATTATATATCTGTCCAGTTTGGGGATGAGAGTCATACTCCTGACAGAATGAATTGGGAGCTTTCCCTGTTCTTAAACCTACTGAGGTATTTTTTAAGTGAACTACTTGGAGACCTTCACCTGTGATCTTCAGATGCTGGGGGACACAGGGATGGTACCTGACTCTGAAAAGGCTCTCAGGGTAAGACGTGTCTGAACTGGCCTGTGGCAGTTAACTAAAGAGTACTCCTACCAATAATGGAGTCAAGATGTATGTTTCCCATAGGCCACGCTGGTCACTGAAAGAGATGGGCTATGAGCCATCTTGAAAACTACCCTGCACAAATGGACTGCCGGCCTGGAGCCAGGCACCCTGCAGCTGAGTGCCATATAATGTTGAAGCTGTTGAGGGAGGAGAGGTTGGAAGCTGCCAGCTTAGAGAATCTCAGCTGTGGTTTCCAGCAGGGTGTATTCCAGGAAAGAAAGTCATTCCCCACCCTGGCTCAAAGTAATAATTAACAGTGACTGGGTAAGGCAGGATCTTTTTTTCTAATTCCCTCCCCTCCAGAAAGGGCAGCAACAGCTCTTGAATGGGAAAGAAGGTGGAGGGAGGAAAAGAAAAACCAATTGCCCCAACACTGCTGTCTTTAAGCTTCCCACCCAAAGACCTCAGTAAGAGGCAGAATTATGTTTTCAATTAAGAGAGAGTTTGGCCTCTTGGTGTTTCAAAAGTGTAGGCTTTTTAATACCTAGAGAAACTGATGATTTGTTGATTACCAAAAAGGGACCAGAAAAGCTACATAGCCTGAGATTTCATCCCCAGAAAAACGAATCCAGAGAGCAGACTTGCAAAAAAAAAAAAAAACCGTTCTGTCTCTGCCTCTCCCACTACACATACACAGTGAGAAAGAGAGTCTTCATGATTTGGTAAATTAGACCCATGGAAAGACTCGGGACATTTAGGATGATGATATTTACGATGAGGAAGATTTCTATGGGAAACTTTTTTTTAACTTGTCTCTAATCCTATTCCAACTGAAGTTTGAATTTTTTTCCTTTCATTAACATTTACTGGGCAAATACCTATTGAATGTTTGCCATTTTGCAGTGTGCCATAGGTTTCAGGCTGATTCAGAGCTGCTTTGTTGAATCAAGAAGTCTGTTACAGGGAGACAATCTAGTTAGACCAGGCATAAGTACAAACCACTAAGGGTAAAAGAAGTATGTGAAAGTACAATGTGGGCAGAGAATTCAGATCCAAAAATACTGCAGATAGGTAGGTGATGAAGGTCAAGCCGAATCTTGACATACAGGATAGGTGTATGTGAGTGAGTTAGGTGGAAAGTCTAGTATGTCTGAGTGTCAGGCTGTAAGGGATTAAGATGAGATTGGGAAGGCAGGCAGGTCAGATAATGAGGGCCTTATAGACCATACCAAGGACTTTGGACTTTTATTTTGCAGACGTTAAGCAAAGACATAATCACTTTTCATTTTATATTTATTACAAACTGAAAGAGCACAAGTGCACATGTGGTCTTTGCAGTTAAGTTATTGCCATAATTCTAAAAAGGCAGATAATCTGAAGATAGAAGGGAGGCCACAGTCCAAGACATGCTAGGGACTCTGATTGATTCAGTGCTCATGCATGGGAAAGATAAGAGTCAAAGACAACTCCCACATTTCAGGTTTTGAGAGCTGGACGGACAGTGTTGCTGTTAGGTCTATAGAGAAGAGGAGTGGATTTTGAAGGGAAAATTATTAATAGTACAATTGAATGATGTTTTAGTTGTGTCTGAGGGATATCCAGGGAGAGCTGTCCTAAGGCAATTAAAAATATGGGTCTAGAGAAAAACGTACACAGAAGATAAAAATGTATGACTCCAGCACATAGACCATAGCTGAACCTGTGGCTAGGAAAATTCTCCTGGAAAAGGCAGAGAGGAGAGAAGGACAAGGATGGAATGCATGGAAATGCTAGCATTTGAGAGTTATACACGGAACCCACAGTAGAGGCAAATGAGAAAAAGCAGGTTTGTTTTTGTCTGCTCCAGTAGACAGACACCAAGCTCCATGAGGGCAGAGACTTTGTCTTATTCGTGGCTGTACCTGCAGTGCATAGAGCAGACTGTACATGTGCTTTGTGGACCCATGCAGTTACTGGGGTGTCTCAGAAACTTCCCATCCTCCTCCCTACTGTGTCTTTGCATAACCCTGGCTGGGCCTCCCTTTTCTCAATGTCAACTCTCACTGTAACTTTTTTTTTTTTTTTTTTTTTTTTTTTGAGACGGAGTCTCGCTCATTGCCCTGGCTGGAGTGCAGTGGCGGAATCTCAGCTCACTGCAAGCTCCGCCTCCCGGGTTCACGCCATTCTCCTGCCTCAGCTTCCTGAGTAGCTGGGACTACAGGCGCCCGCCACCACGCCCGGCTAATTTTTTTGTATTTTTAGTAGAGACGGAGTTTCACCGTGTTAGCCAGAATGGTCTCAATCTCCTGACCTCATGATCTGCCCACCTCGGCCTTCCAAAGTGCTGGGATTATAGGCGTGAGCCACCGCTCCCAGCCTCTTACTGTAACTTTTAAGAAGGGCATATATCTACGTAGTGTCATCACCATAAAGATAAATCAACCAAGTGAAAATATTTTGAAACTTTGGAAATGTATAAACTCCAAAATCATCATCAGTTACATCATCAATTATGTCCCTAAAGATCCCATCACTCTGCCTCACACTGGGGTCTTGCCTACTTCTCTGTTCCAAAAGGGCACAGTAGTGGTATCAAATCTGTTTCTTGAGGCAAATGAAGTACCTTGCTCCAAAATAATCACCCACAGCAGGCAGATAACCTCCAAGTGCTTCAAGCTGAGATTGAGCAGGAGGATCCCAGCTCATCACAACTGGGTGGTAAATATACACTTGGGCCCAAATGGAAGGAAATGCATTACCCTACAATGCATACCCAACATGCTTGCATCCAGGCCCCAAATCCAGCAAAACAATGCTATTCCCCTTCAACATGTGTTAACGGAACTGAGATATTTTTCCAATTTAAATTGTGTTCCCCAAAGTCTTCATTATTCTCTAGTGCCTATTACAATCTGTGTTTTTATGTTTACTTCATGACTGCCTAGTTCCCTCCTGAAATTTTAAGCCTCGTGAGAGTAAGAACTATCTGTTTTCTTTACTCCACTGTCCTGTACATACATACTTGTTGAATGAATGTATGAATGCCACCGTGATTGCAAAGTCCAAGGGAAATGATGTTGATTCACTGCACACTGTACAGGAGGGTGTCAACCAGACTTCCAGATTTCTACAGAAATTACCAGTAAAGGGTAGTATAAGAATGGTTCCTGCATGTGAAAAATGATCTTGGATGGAGCTGTTGTGGCATTCACCTGCTCCTCATACTCTCCTGCCACTGTGCAGGGACAGCACAACCCCCGTGCTGCTTTCTTGAGTGTAGCTCATTTCAGAAAAGCAGTAAAAGGAAAACCCACTTGTTTGCTTTATGTTCCTAAGAAGGTGGTGAGTAAATCAATCACGTTATCCTAAGAAGTGACTTGAATTTTATGAAGGCTCCTTTGTTTCCATTGCACTCCTTTCTACCCATCTCTACTCCCACCTCCACCCCCACCCTCAAATCATGCTTATAATTTCCATTATTCAATTAAGGGTGGCTTTTTTCTCATCACAAACATCTGTGTGCTTTAAATAGCTTCTACATAACCGAAGTGGAAGTAGTCATGTAGAACAGCACATGGCCACTCCAGGGGACATGAGAAGCCTCTGCCTAAAGGTAGTTCTCCCTTCTGTCATCTGATCTCACACATGGCACTGCAAACCTGCAGTTATTTAGCCATGTGCTTTGTGACATTGATTTCACTTCCTTGGGTTATTCTTACCGTCTTTAGGAACTTAAATATTTAAGAAATAAACAAATACTATTCAAAGAGAGCTGTACCATTATTATATGCATTTAAGTGAAAAACTACCACTTCCCATATATATTTATCTCATGACCACCTAATTGATAAAAACATGTTAACTGTTATCTTATATTGCCTCAGGGAAAAAGTCTGAATGTTGATTGGAGGCACTGCAGGATAGCCATTCGATACCTGCTTTTGTGACAATAAACTAAAGCATTGGATTTTGGTGGATTAGGGATAAAAATGGCTTGACAGATCATCTTGTCCAGCCCTCAGTATATAGATGAGAAGACTTAGGTCTCAAGCTCTGAAGCGCTTTGCTCAGGATCGCTGGCCATTTCATATATGTAACAAGCTCCCACTTCATGCTCATTTCACAGTAGCGTGTCACTTTCAGGTCAGCTTCCTTCAGTGGGCGTTGTCTTTGCTTAATTAAATGTCAGGAGGTCCCCCCAGAAGGCTTGACTCAGGGAAGGAGGGCAGACCCTCCCAGTTCTCTCACTGACTAGCTTTCGTTTGTTGGATTGTTTTTACTGATAAAAAAGTTCAGAAATTAGAGCCAGGTTCCTGTTCACGTTCCCTACCCAAGCCCCTGAAGAAGCAAATTGGTGAATGTTCCCCAAATTCTTTTACTCTCTAGTATACAGTAAGCAGTACTGCCAAAAAGTTTCCCAAAGTCATGTTCCTCTTAGATATTTTTCCTTGAAAACTGTTGTCTGGCATGGAGATCCAACCTGTGTGGAAAGTTCCAGATGCCCTGGTCCTAGCTTCACCTGCCCTGCTTTTGCTTCCTGTTCTCACTGCTTGTCTCCAGGTTTCCATTTGAAGGCTTGCAGTGCTACTGTGCCCTTACTGTTAAATCCTGCCTTGCTTGCCATGTTTTATAGACAAGGAAAGCATTTTCTACCAGAGCTCAGGAGCAGCCTTGAGGTCAGGGGTAACGTTTTTCATTGGTAAGTATTCAGTAGTTGCTGAATGACAATTGGGTGGAAAGGGGAGGGGTGCCTTAGAAAAAATGTCTGTTCTTTGTGGTAATGAAATTGCTTCCAATTTATTTTCTGATCTCTTTGAGAACTATTTCCTGTCGTCTTCCCGCACCATGCATTCTGATTTCTGGGGCATTCAGTGCTCCCTCCCTTCCTTTATTCAAGGGGCTCTTGGAAAAGAAATCTCTGAAGAAAAAATGTGTGGGCAGTGGGAGACTTCTCATTCTCTCCACCAAATACTTAGCCCTTTCATTCATGAGAAACCCCTGCTTTAGGATGGTGTGGATCTGAGTCAGCAGGGCTGGGTTCATTTGTATATACTCCAGGTTGTGGAGGTTGTTCCTGGGTCTTGGCCTTTCATTTTGGGAGTGCTCCACACTTCTGTCTCCATATACTATGTATTTAAGAAGCTTGCCTTTCGATTTCCTGCCAGTGGCTGGATCTTGGGGATCACTGCACAATGCTTGTATGCCCCACTGGAGAAGTCTCTCATGGCACCTTTCCCCTCCCATGGTGGTGGAATGCTGTCCACAGAAAGCTTCTCTTCACTGTTCAGAGACTCTAAAAATAAGACCTGAACTGACTTGCTCTGCCTACTGAAAGGGGACCTCCTTATATTCACCATTGCCCTCACACCCTTTTCCTTGGAGTCTGTCTTTAGGGTCACCCTGGGAGCTGCCTGGGCCTCCACCTTCTTAAGGAGGCAACTCCTGAGAGCTGGGTAGGGACTGTCTTTGTCCAGACTGTCTGAAGAGCATCTTGTTCTTTACCTCCCTCTCCTGTTCTTGACTATTGCCTTCACTGCTGCCTCGCTCTCGTCTACCAGGGTGGTATTATAAAGTATGTCCTTGGAGGTGAGCTGTTTGACCAGCTCCTTGTTGCCTAGAAACCTAAGAAATTGTCAGAACAATCCGGCATGCATCAGCTCTGACCTTTGGAGCTTTGACTGGCATTATTTATAAAAGGCTTTCTGCTCTGTTAGCCGAGCATTGGCTTCATATTTCTCCATGGACTCCAGAAAACTGGGTTTCTTTTTTGCAAGTTCTCTTGTTTTCAGTTGAGAACGGTATTGAGTAGGACTTCTCTGTTTCCTTGAGTTTTATGTTCTCTCCAAATATGGAATAGCACTTGCTTCCCTGGGTGCCAACGCTGGCCGACCAGCTCTGAAAGTTGCTCTGCTTGTGGTTCTTCCCTGAGATGCTAGTTGGGCCTGGGAATCTTCCATTTCTCTGCCCACCAGGTGACCTGGCAGTCAGTGTTCTGTCAAAGACCTGTGAGGGTGCTTAGTGAACTGTGGGCACTATGACCACAGGGTACTATTCTGGGTCCCAGTGTTTGTTTTTAAGAACTCTGTAGGTTGACAGGACATGCTGTCTGGTGGCCAAGTGCTTCTGCCAAGAGTATGGGGCCTGGGAGACATGTTTCCTGGCCTGCTTATTGCAGGCCTAGCTTCCACCTAAGAGCTATCCGCTTCCCAAGGGGACATCCACCATGTCTCTGTGATAGGAGCTGAATAGTAGGGGCAGGACTGAAAGGTCTGTATGTTTGCTTTTCAGTCAGGTACAGGTGTTGGAGGTTTCTTAAATTTGGTTTCTTTTGATCTCCCTGGCAGGCAGTGATGGGGAAGTTTTTAGTAAGGTTATTAACAGAGATAGAGGATTTAGAGTTAAAATTTAATAGGGAAATTTTTCTATAGGATGGTTGAAAATGATGCTTTGTATAGTTTTATTGTATGAACTTTTCAGGGATAGAATTAGTCAATTTGTAGAAATTGGGCCGCCTCTGTTATTGTGATATATTAGAACTGTATTGAATGATGAGACTTCCCAAAAGTTTAAAACAAAAAAAGGAGGCAGAAGAGAACGAGGATATAAATGAGGACACTCTCGCTGAGGACACATCAGCTGTTAGCAGTCTGTCTCTGTGTACCGAGCTCAAGAACTGTGACTTTGGTTGGAAGTTAGACCTTTTCTATCCAGCTTCAGACATGGTAACCTTCACATAAGCTGCTGGATTTGTTCTACCAGAAATTTAGTCTGTTGTGTGACTCCAGCCACTTTGCAACTCAAGATTATTACTTGTTCAGGTTTCTTTCATTAAATAGCTAACCATTTAACAACTATTATCTTCTTAGGGTCGACTGATGGTTACCCATACAGTATATACATCATCCATATCCTTTCCTCTCCTACTATATCTCACTCCTATTTTCCAGTCCATCCTCATCTCTCCTCAAGATCAACAGACCCCAACCTCTTTTACTTAAACGTTGTATTCCTGAAGTAGTCCTGCCCTTTCCTTCAGCCTGCGAAGCCTTCTCAAAGACTTCTTTTCCATGCATCTAGACTCTGCCTGGTTATTCTCCTTCCTTCAGAGTTATTTCTTTGTCAAATGCTGCTAATGTATAAAAACACAAAGCTTTGATAGTTCCTTCTGTCCCAACGGAGCCTTACGCTTGGCTGACATTTAGGGTAAAGGTGGTATTTTTATTAGTAAAATTAAATGATACAGAAGTGAATTCTAAAAATAGTTACATAAATCTAAGAGAGTTTTCATGAATTCAGGTTGCCCCAAAGATTTAGGCCATACCTCTTCCATGGAATGGCTGTCATGCAGTTTGGATGGTTGACCTCAAAATTATTCCCAGCCCCAGAAGTGGAGTAGGTATATTAGTCTAAGGCAGTCAGGGTAATGCTATCTTCCATGCCACAGATTGGCTTGGAATGGGGATAACCAAAAGCACTTTGGGCCTGTGAGATTTGACAGAGTGTTTACTGTGAGCCTAGGGAAAGAACATGCCTGCTCTCATGTGAGAGTATGAAGAAACACTGCCTAAGCAAGGAATCATGTGGCTCCAGTTTTTACTGTCAGCCTTTCTACCACCAGGGAGACCAGCCTTGAGATGATGCAGGTGCATGGACAGCTGTGTGGAGGGATAGAAGAATCCAGTTTTTAAACCAGATGGCTGAGCTATTTCATTAAGTCACCCCAGAAGTCTTCAACTAACAGTATCTTAACTGGTGAACTCCTGTGACTGATACAGGAAAATTTTACTTCGTAACAAAGTATGATAATTCCTTTGTGCAGGAAGGAGGTTTTGTGGAAATGATGTTGATTCACTGCACACTGTACAGGAGGGTGTCTCTTTGACACCACCAACCTTAAATAGTAGGAAAGCCATCACAGTGGGTTGGGTGGTTGGATTGCTTTATTGCAACTAATAAAGGGTCAGTTGTGCAGTTGTTAACTATCTTTCACTTCCCTCAGAACTGTATCTCCTAGCCCAGTGCCCTATAGGTCAAAAATGCCAGTTTGTTGTACAGTCAGCAGAGCCCAGTACTATGCTTTAAAACATTCGGGGATAATCATCAAATATTTAATCAGAACAGATGCTGCCTGTAAACAACCACTGCAGCCAAGAACAGTCTGCATCTGAAACACTGCCTGCAACTATAAATATGCCCATATGCTTGAACAATTTTAGTGTTGTAAAAATCTTGTTTTTATAAGCAATTAGTTTCATCTCCTATTATATGAGGATTAACTTTGCAGTGATGTACTGATGTTAAAAGAGAAAAGAATCAAAAAAGCCTTGGTTGTGGTGAAACCCAGCAAAATGTGGGTCTGCACCAAGTTCCAGATGAATATCAAACAGCACTGTCCCAGTTGGATTAAGGTGATGACACCCCTACCATGGCTACAGTACCAGGTCATTTGATTTTCCCCAGGGTCATAGGAGTGTTAGCCCAGGTGATCAGCTCAACACCCCCTGAGATCCATGAGGTATATACTTTGAAATTTCAATTCCATTACTACTGACTGCATCTCAATCCTATGTTAATACTTTCTTGAGTAATATTCTGTTGACCTAGTTATCCACGTTGGAAACTTCAAAGGCATCATCTTCAGCTCTTTGTTTCTGACTCCCTATCCAGTTCTCCAGTTCTGTATACACCATCCCAGAAATGGTCCTCGCATCCAGTTAATCTCTGACATGGACTAATAGGCCTTTCTACAGCTTCAGTGTATTCTCTTCTCTGCTTCTGGAACCCAGGATTTAGGTGCTACAGTCATACTATCTTTGACATTCCATCTCCCTGGAGAATTTGGAAATGGGGAAATAACATTACTCTTAACAAAGCAAGATTAACAGTCCTGTAACCAGACCCAAGGCACTGACCCTTCTGTGAAAGCCTATATCCAACCAGCTACAGGAACCTCTACAGAGAGACTAAAAAAGGCCAGCCCTGGAGGAGCCAGTGGTCAGGAGAACATAGGCATAAAGCCTCCTAAGGATGTAGCCCATCAACCCTGGGAGTGGGTTCCTATAAGGAATAGGCACTTCGGGCAAATATGGCCCGATGACACCAGCCACTGGGATCTTCTGACTCTCTCCTGTATAATGTGAGTTCATTTGTTTATTGTGTTTAAAGTGAATTCTGCCTCCCTAAAGGCTGAGAACTTCCTTTGGCTCAGTGTTCACTTCGTTTGGCCTCTGACTTCCAACTGATGCATCAAGCCAATGCGCAAGAAAAGTTAATAAATAAAAATAAGATTTATTACAGAGCCAGCTGGGCACTCATACATACATGGAGGAGTCCCTGTGTCATTGGAACACTGTAGCTTTTCTCTACAACAGTCCCAGGCTAGGCAGCTCTTTGTAGGCCCAAGGGAATTGATGCATAAGTAAGGCATGGTCTTCCTTGACTACACATCTTGTATACAAGGTATTAAGGCCCTTGGCCACCTGACTTCGGCCCATTTTTTCAATCTCAACTCTACCCTAAATTCCCCACACAGGTCATTCATTCTCCAATGAGGTTATTCTCCTGATCTCTGTGTGGGTTCTTATACATAATGGAATTGTGTGTTTTTCTCCTGTTTAAAGTTTGGAACATCATGTTAGCCATCATTTTATTCTCTTTGCTTTCACTGTATTGCACTCACATACTGTATGTGGAATCAGTGCTACCCATTAGACCCATGGCTCATCAGTGGGAAATGGTGTCAGATCTCACAGAGGGCAGCTTCATGGGGCTCTAGGTTCTTCAGGCTTCCTTCACAGCCTAAGCTCCATATTTAAATCCAGCATTCAACCCTAATCACTGCTGTTCACTAGCATCTGCTACATATTCTTGCTGACAGACACTGTGTTTGCTCTTGAAAGATAACAAAATGCTTGAAGCTTCCCTCCAACGAGTGATAATTCACTGAAGCTCAGAGGCAGCAGGAGCTCCAGTCTGCTCTGCTGCTCTGAAATTGTGGAAAGTAGGAAAGGTGTCCAGAGGTCATATGGCCCAAGTGATGACATATCTGAAGCACAGAGAGGGGATGGGCTAAGAGTCACCTGTATCCAAAATTCAAGTTAACACCTATCAAGTTGTGAAAAGTTACTTTGGGACATCCCAAAGTTACACAGAGAGCTAGAGCTAGGACTCAGACCTGGAACACCAGACTTCAGTCTCTCTGAACTGCACTGGGTTGTCTCTGCTCAAGCCTTATTGGAGAGAGAACTGACAAAAGGCAAGGCTAAGGAGTGCTCTTTGTGGATGCAGCAGGAGAAGAAACACCCTTCCAATGAGGGGTCCACACAGAGTTCAAATGTCCCCTTTGTTCATACTGAACGTGGGTATGGTTTTCCTCTTTTGCTGTCTGCACAGGTGGCATAGAAGGCAGCACCTGATCCTTCAGGTCTGGGGGAGGAGTCCCCAGATAATGCATAGATCTTTTAAACTCTTCACGTCAAACTGACATCTGCTTATGTAGCTCAGCTCAATGTGTTAGTCATTTTGTTTCGTTTATTATCAAACACATCTTCTGAAAAATGAGAAGAGGAAGGGAAAAAGGAGTCTGGGAAAGGACCACACTTTCTACCACCCCTGTAAACAGTGAGCTTTACTCTGCAATACACCAAGTGGAAGGAGACAGGCTATGAGATGGGCACAGTAAAGAGCCACCTAAGGGAAGTGGGCAGAACTCCAGAAGACTTCCTGAGGAGGCATTTATTCTTTATGAATCTTTGAAATGTTTTTTTAAATCATCTTTGATTTGACTTTTGCTCTAAAAGTATCACAAGGTAAGACTCAGCTGTGAAACTAAGCACATCCGATAGTCAAACTATGAAAACTTTTACACGCTAGTGGGGCACTGTGACACCACTGATTTCCTTAAACTGAGCTCCTTTCAAGGTGTTTTGACCTAACTGGCCTTTGGGTCGGATATAGCTTTTACATACTTTTGGTAGGTAACTACGGGTTCCTATTTGTCAGGGAAAGTGGGTAAGAGTTAGCTATTCCCCACAACCTTGATAGCAGCTTATAAAGAGAGCCAGTGTCAAATCAATTTGTGCCACAGGCATTATTTTAAAAGCATTTCTTAGAAAGCACACACAGGAGTGTTCAGGCAAGAGGTACTGTAAGCCCTTTGCTTTTTCGGGGCTTACAACCTCTCAATTTAAATGAAAGGTTTATTACACAAGGTATTGGTAACAGTGACCAGCAATAGGCTCTGCTGTGTTACTACTGGCATCAGTCAAAACATGTTCTGACCTCGTTTCTGTATATGTTTATATGTTTAGAGGTCAAGCCCTGTGTGTCCTTTCTGAGGGCCATGTTAAAGGCCTCCTCAGATTCCTATACTCTATTCTTGCAAAGCTGGAGAGGTTCTTTAGAAGTATTTTAGCCGGGATACGTATATCGAATACCCTCAACTTCACCAATGCAAGCCAGCTTCTAACATACTAATTAGCAAGCCACTGATTTTATCAATAAAAACCCATTTCTAACATTTACTGTGGAATTAGCAAAGTTTCTGGTGTACATTGGATATGAAAGCTCCAGTAACAGACTCAGAAGAAATGGAGACCTGTGAAATGACAAATAATTTAGACTAATCCTCTTAAGTTCAACAAAGTACAAGAAAATATGGATAGAAAAATGAAATTTGGAAAACAACATCTGAACAGAATGAGAAGTTTAACAAATATAAACAAAAACAATAGAAATTCTAAAGATAAAGAATACAGTAACTGAACTGAAAATCTAAGTAGAACGCTTCAACAGCAGACTTGATCAAGCAGAAGAATCAATGAGCTCAAAGGTAAGACATTTGAAATTATCCAATGAGAAACAAAAACAAAAAAGAATGCCTATAAGAATTACAGGACACATCAAGCTAGCTAACTTTTGCATAATAGGAGGTCCTTAAGGAGAAAAGAAAGAAAAAGGCCTAGAAAGCATATTTAAGGAAGTAATAGCTGAAAAATTCCCAAATCTGAGAAAAGATGACAAAATTCAGGAACAGGAAGCTGAGGTCACCGATCAGATTCAACCTAAAGAGTTCACCAAGACACATCACAACCAAGTTATCAAAAATCAAAGACAAAGAATACTGAAAGCAGCAAAGATAAGAAACATCACATTCAAGGTAGCCCCAATACAGATTCAGTGGCTTTATCAGCAAAAGCCTTACAGGCCAGTAGAGAGTGGGATGGTATATTCAAAGTGCTGAAGGAAACAAAGCTGTTAATTAAGAATACTTTACTTGGCAAAGGGAGAAATAAACACTTTTCCAGATAAACAATGCCTAAGGGAGTTTGTCACTACTAGGCCTGCTCTACTGGAATTACTAAAAGGGAGTTCTTTAGGCTTAAATAAAAGACTGCTAGTTAATGAGAAACATAAAAGTAAAAAACTAAATGGTATAAGTAATTCATAGTCAGAATTCTCTAGTATTGTAAAGGTGGCAGGTAAAGCAATGTTATTCCTATTAGGAGGTTTAAAAGATGAAACTATTAAAAACAACTGTAGCTACAATAAGTTGTAGCTACAAGAAGTAATTGTAACTGTAGCTACAATAAGAGATACAAATTTAAAAAAGTGTAAACTTTGACATCAAAATCACGAAAGGCGGGGGGGTTGTGAAAGCGTAGAGTTTTTGTATGCAACTAAAGGCAAGTTTTTATCGCTTAAAGTAGCCTAAGGATAAAATGTTTTAAGTTAGCCTTACAGCAAATACAATGGTAATCGCATATACTATAAAAGAAAGGATTCAAAGCACACCACCACAGAAAACCACCAAACCACAAAGGAAGGTAGCAATAGGGAAAAAAGAAACAAGGGACCTACAAAACAATCAGAAAACAAATTACAAAATGACACTAGCAGTTTCTTACCAATAGTTACCTTGAATGTAAACGGATTAGATTCTCCAACAAAAAGACATAGAATGACAGAATGGATTTTTTTTTTTTTTTAAGTCACAACCACATACTGCCTATAAGAGACTCACTTTTTTTTCTTTTTCTTTTTCTTTTTTTGAGACGGAGTTTTGCTATTGTCAAGGCTGGAGTGCAATGGCATGATCTCAGCTCACCGCAACCTCCACCTCCCGGGTTTAAGCAATTCTCCTGCCTCAGCCTCTCGAGTAGCTGGGATTACAAGGGCCCACAACCACGCCTGGCTAATTTTGTATTTTTAATAGAGACAGGTTTTCTCCATGTTGGTCAGGCTGGTCTCTAACTCCCAACCTCTGGTGATCCCGCCGCCTTGGCCTCCCAAAGTGCTGGGATTACAGGAGTGAGCCACTGCGCCCGGCAAGAGATTCACTTTTCTACTAAACATACACATAGACTGAAAGTGAAGGGATGGAAAAAGATATTCTATATAAATGGAAATTGAGAGCAGGGGTAGCTATACTTCTATCAGACAAAATAGACTTTAAGTCAATACTATAAAAAGAAAGAAGTTTGTTATATAATGATAAAGGGATTAATTCACCAAGAAGACATAACAATTGTAAAAGTATATGCACCCAACATTGACCCACCTAAATACATAAAGCAATTTTTAAATGATGTGAAGAGGGAGATAGGCTGCAATACTATAATACGGGACCTCAATACTCTACTTTTCACCATGGGCAGATTGATCACCTAGACAGAAAATCAATAAAGAAACAATGGATTTCAATTACACTTTAGACCAAACGGACTTAACAGGCATATATGAAACATTCCATCCAGAAGCAGCAAAATACATTTTGTTCTCAAATGCCCATGGAACATTCTCCAGGATATATGTTAGTCCACAAAACTAATCTTAAGTTTAAGTGGACAGAAATCATATCAAATCCCTTTTCTGATTACAATGGCGTGAAACTAGAAATCAAGAACAAGAATCAATTCTGGTGGAAAATACAGCAATATGTGGAAATTAAACAATATGCTCCCAAACAACTAATAGTTCACAGAAGAAGTCAAAAAGTAAATAAAAAATTACCTTGAGACAAATGAAAATGGAAACAAAACTTATGTGATGCAGCAAAATCAGTCCTAATGGAAATTTATAGCGATACAAACCTACGCCAATAAAGAAGAAGGATCACAATCTCACTTTTCACCTAAAGGAACTAGGAAAAGAACAGACTAAGCCCGAAAGTTAGCATAAAGAAGTAAGTAACAAAGATCACAGTTGAAATAAAGACTGGAAAAAAATGAACAAAACTAAGAGTTGCTAAGAGTTGGTTTTTTTTTTTTTTGAAAGATAAAATCAACAAATTCTTACCTAGACTAGGAGAAAAAAAGAGTACTCAAATAAGATCAGAAATGAAAGAGGAGACATTTACTACTGATATCACCAAAATACAAAGGATTATAAGAAACTACTATGAAGTTATGCACCATCAAATTGGATGACCTAAAGAAATGAATAAATTCCTAGACATATACAACCTACAAAGAGTGAATCATGAAGAAACAAATCTGAATAAGCCAATAACAAGAAAAGAGATTGAGCCAGTAATAAAAAGTATCCCACCAAAGGAAAGCCCAGGATTAGGCAGCTTCACTACTGAATTTTACCAGACATTTAAAGAACTAATAAAAATTCTCAAACTTTTCCAAAACAATGAAGCAGAGGGAATACTTCTAAATTCATTTTACAAGGGTAGTGTTACACTGTTATTAAAGCCAGAGAAAGACACTTTAAGGACAGAAACTTACAAAGTAATATCCCTGATGAACATGGATGCAAAAATCCTCAACAATATATTAGCAAACTGGATTCACGAATACAAAGAATGATTCACCATGATGAAGTGGGATTTATCCTTAGGATGCAAGGGTGGTTCAACATATGCACATCAAAAAGTGTGATATACCACATAACAAAATGGAGGGTGTAAATCAAATCATATGATCATCTCAATGGATGCAGAAAAAGCATTTGACAAAATTCAACCTGGTTTCATGGTAAAAACTCTCAACAGATTAGGTATGGAGGCCATGTACGACCCTCATCACTTTTTGACATAGTACTAGAAGTCCTAACCAGAGCAGTTGGACAAGAGAAAGAAAAAAAAGGCATCCTAATAGGAAAGGAATAGGTTAAATCATCTGTAATTACTGATGACATAACCATATACAAAAAACTGTAATGTCTCCACCAGAACAAAACTAAAACCTGGTAGAACTGATACACAAACTCAGTAAAGTTCCGTAATACAAAATCATCTTACAGAAATCAGTAGTGTTTCCATCTACTATTAATGAGCTATCTGAAAAGGAAATTATGAAAATCTCATAATAGCAACAAATATTAAATACTGAGGTGTAAATTTAAGGAGGTAAAAGATCTGCATACTGAAAAGTATAAAAGGACAGGGTCTTCAATAAATGGTGTTGGGAAAACTGGATATCCACATGCAAAAGAATTAAATTAGACCCTTATTTACACCATATAAAAAAATAGATTTAAAACTTAACATATAAGACCTAAAACTGTACACCTACTGAAGAAAACATAGGGGGAAATCTCCACAGCATTGGTCTTGGGAATGATTTTTTTGGATATGACTGCAAAAGCATGGCAAAAATAGACAAATGGGGTGGCATCAAAATAAAAGACCTGCACAGCAATGGAAACAACACAGTGAAGAGGGAACTCAAAGAATAGGAAAAAATATAAATGATATATCTGGAAATGGGTAAATATCTAAAATACATAAGGAACTCAAACAACTCAAGAGCAAGAAAACCACCTGATTTTAAAATGGGCAAAGGAATGAAGAGACCTTTCTCAAAAGACATTCGGTACATGAAAAAAAAAAAATGCTCACACTAATTATTAGAGTAATGCAAATCAAAACCACAGTGAGATGTCACTTCACACCTATTATATAATGGCTTTTATGAAAAAGATGAAAGATAACAAGTGTTGGGGAGGATGTCCAGAAAAGTGAACTCATGCATTGTTAGTGGGAATGTAAATTAGTACAGCCGCTATGAAAAACAGTATGGAGGTTTCTGAAAAAAATAGAACAACCATATGATCCAGTAATCTCACTTCTGAGTATTATCCAAAAGAACAGAAATCAATATGTTGAAGGGATATCTTCATTCCCATGTTTATTGAAGCATTACTTACAGTAGCCAAGACATTGAAACAATTTAAGTGCCCATCAACAGATAAGTGGATAAAGAAAATGTGATACATATACACAATGAAGTACTAGTCAGCCTTTAAAGGAAGGTAAATCCTGTCATTTAAGACAACATGTATGAATCTGGAGGACATTATGCTAAGAGAAATAAGCCAGGCACAGAAAGACAAATATTGTATGATCTCACTTATATGTGGAATCTTAAAAAAGTTGAATTCATGAAAGTAGAGAGTAAGTTACTAGAGGCTGTGGGGCATGTTGGTAAAGGAGGGAATCGGGAGTTGTTAGTCCAAGTGTACAAAGTTTTATTCTTTTCCAGTGGAGAAAACAGGACAAAGGCAGGAGGAATGCTTAATTCCAGGAGTTCCAGACCAGCCTATGCAACGTAGTGAGACCCTGTCTCTATTTTAAATAAAAATAATGTAAAAAATTTTAAACCCCTAGGAATAATGTTGCTATGAAAATTAATGTTCAAGTTCTGGTGTGGATATGTTTTTATTTCTCTGGAGTATATACCTAGATGAATGATTGCTGTCATATGGGAACTACGTTTAGCCTTTTGAGAAACTGCCAGACTGCTTTCCAAATTGCCTTGACCATTTTACATTCCCATCATCAGTGTGTGCAGATTCTGATTTCTCCATATCTTTGCCAACATTTGTTTTTATCTGCCTTTTTCATCAAGTAAGACTTCAATGGAATTTCTAGAGATTAAAACAGCAATACCTGAGATGAAGAATCCACTACATGGGATTAACAGCAGATTAAACATTGCAAAAGAAAATATTAATGTACTTGAAGATGTACAAATACAGATTATCCAAATGATAAAAGATTTTTCAGAGATTTTCAAAAGAGACGTGGAACAACTTCAATCAGAGTAATATAGGTGGAAATCAGAGATCCCTAAGGAAAGGGAAAGCAGGGGCGGCAGAAAAAAATATTTGAGGAAATAATAGCCAAATAATTTCAAATTTGTTTTTAAAAACTATAAACTCACAGACTTAAGATTGATGAGCTAAAAGTACATAAGAAAAATAGACAAATGCACATAACCAAATTTCTCAAAATAGTCATAAAAGAAATCATACATATATTTCAGACAGAAGCAAAAGATAGCAGCTGGAAATACGGATCTACACAAAGGGATGAATTGAGTGTATGTGTGTGCAATAGCCTAAATGCCAGAGAGGAAAAATGGAAATGCACTACTGTAAGGGTCATGTACTATACATAAAGGGATATATCACTTGGAGCTAGACTGTGATAAAGATGTATACTATAAACCCTAAAACATCCACTGAATTAAAAAAAAATTATAAAGCCAGGCGTGGTGGCTCTCGCCTGTAATCCCAGCACTTTGGGAGGCCGAGGTGGGTGGATCACCTAAGGTCAGGAATTTGAGACCCACCCTAGCCAACATGGTGAAACCCTGTTTCTACTAAAAATACAAAAATTGGCCAGGCACGGTGGCACATGCCTGTAATCCCAGCTACTCAGGAGGCTGAGGCAGGACAATCACTTGAACCCGGGAGGCAGAGGTTTCAGTGAGCCAAAATCGCGCTCCAGCCTGGGCTACAAGAGCAAAACTCCATCTCAAAAAAAAGAAAAAAAAATTGTAGTTAATAACCTAAAAAGGAGATAAAATGGAATCATATAAAATACTTTTTATGGGTAAGAGGTCGGTCCCCACCAAAGGATATATTGAGGTTCTAACTCTCAGTACCTGTAAAAGCTGTAAAAGTGATCTTATTTGGAAGAAGAATCTTTGGCAGATGTAACCTATTCAAGATGAGATTAGGCCTAATCTATGCTGGGCCCCAATTCAGTAATTAATGTTCTTATAAGATGAGAAGAATAGACAGATAAAGGGAGAAGATGGCTATGTTATGATAGAGGCAGAGATTGGAGGGATACATCTACAAGCAAAGGAATGCCAAGAATTGCTGGAAAATGCTAGAAGCTAGAACAGGCAGGAAAGAATTCTTCCCTACAGGTTTCAGAGAGAATACGGCCCTGATGACACCTTGGTTTCAGATGACTAGCCTCCAAACTGAAACAATAAATTTCTGTTGTTTTAAGCCATCCACTTTATGTCACTTTCTTACAGCAACCCTAGAAAACTAATACAATGTTCAATCTCAAGGAAAGCAAAAAAAGAGGGGAAAAAAATGGGATAAATAGAAACCAAATAGCAAGATGACAGATTTCAATTTAGCTGTAATAATAATCATATTTATGCAAATCATATAAAAATGACATTTAAAAGGCAGATAATTGGATTTTAAGAAACCAATTATACTTACAAGAAATGCACTTTAAATATAAAGACAATAGGTTAAAAGTAAAAGAATGGAAACAGATATACCCTGCAAACATGAATCAAAGAAAGAAGGAATGACTATATTAATACCAGCAAAGCATGCTTCAGAGCAAAGATCATTAGCAAGGGTAAAGAAGTTTACTTCGGGCCAGGTCCAGGCGCAGTGGCTCACACCTGTAATCCCAGCACCTTGGGAGGCCAAGGTGGGTGGATCAAGAGTTCAGGAGTTCAAGACCAGCTTGGCCAAGATGGTGAAACCCCATCTCTACTAAAAATACAAAAAAATTAGCCGGGCGTGGTGGCAGGTACCTGTAACCCCAGCTACTCGGGAGGCTGAGGCAAAGAAATGCTTGAACCCAGGAGGCAGAGGTTGCACTGAGCCGAGATTGTGCCACTGCACTCCAGCCTGGGCGACAGAGCAAAACTGCATCTCAAGAAAAAAAAAATTAACTTCATAATTATAAGGAGATTAATTTAAGAATAGGACATAACAATCTTGTTTATGCACCTGATAACAGACCCTCAAAATACCTGAAGCAAAACCTGAGGGAACAGATTTTATTGATACACCTGTTTTAGTCACTGGTGGAATAAATGTACAGTAAATAGGAAAAAGAGAGAATCCTCCCTAACTCATTTTATGAGGCCAGCATCATCCTGATACCAAAGCCTGGCAGAGACACAACAAAAAAAGAGAATTTTAGACCAATTTCCCTGATGAACATTGATGCAAAAATCCTCAGTAAAATACTGGCAAACTGAATCCAGCAGCACATCAAAAAGCTTATCCACCATGATCAAGTGGGCTTCATCCCTGGGTTGCAAGGCTGGTTCAACATACACAAATCAATAAACATAATCCATCATATAAACAGAACCAAAGACAAAAACCATATGTTTATCTCAATAGATGCAGAAAAGGCCTTCGACAAAATTCAGCAGCCCTTCATGCTAAAAACTCTCAATAAATTAGGTATTGATGGGACATATCTCAAAATAATAAGAGCTATTTATGACAAACCCACAGCCAATGTCATACTGAATGGGCAAAAACTGGAAGCATTCCCTTTGAAAACTGGCACAAGACAGGAATGCCCTCTCTCACCGCTCCTATTCAACATAGTGTTGGAAGTTCTGGCCAGGGCAATCAGGCAGGAGAAAGAAATAAAGGGTATTCAATTAGGAAAAGAGGAAGTCAAATTGTCCCTGTTTGCAGATGACATGATTGTATATTTAGAAAACCCCATCGTCTCAGCCCAAAATCTCCTTAAGCTGATAAGCAACTTCAGCAAAGTCTCAGGATACAAAATCAATGTGCAAAAATCACAAGCATTCTTATACACCAGTAACAGACTAACAGAGAGCCAAATCATGAGTGAACTCCCATTCACAGTTGCGTCAAAGAGAACAAAATACCTAGGAATCCAACTTACAAGGGACGTGAAGGACCTCTTCAAGCAGAAATACAAACCACTGCTCAACGAAATAGAAGAGGACACAAACAAATGGAAGAACATTCCGTGCTCATGGATAGGAAGAATCAGTATCGTGAAAATGGCCATACTGCCCAAGGTAATTTATAGATTCAATGCCATCCCCATTAAGTTACCAATGACTTCCTTCACAGAATTGGAAAAAACTACTTTAAAATTCATATGGAACCAAAAAAGAGCCTGTATTGCCAAGACAATCCTAAGCCAAAAGGACAAATCTGGAGGCATCATACTACCTGACTTCAAACTATACTACGAGGCTACAGTAACCAAAACAGCATGGTACTGGTACCAAAACAGATATAAACCAATGGAACAGAACAGAGCCCTCAGAAATAATACCACACATCTACAACCATCTGATCTTTGACAAACCTGACAAAAACAAGAAATGGGGAAAGGATTCCCTATTTAATAAATGGTGCTGGGAAAACTGGCTAGCCATATGTAAAAAGCTGAAACTGGATCCCTTCCTTACACCTTATACAAAAATTAATTCAAGATGGATTAAAGACTTAAATGTTAGACCTAAAACCATAAAAAACCCTAGAAGAAAACCTAGGCAATACCATTCAGGACATAGGCATGGGCGAGGACTTCATGTCTAAAACACCAAAAGCAATGGCAACAAAAGCCAAAATTGACAAATGGGGTCTCATTAAACTAAAGAGCTTCTGCACAGCAAAAGAAACTACCATCAGAGTGAACAGCCAACCTACAGAATGGGAGAAAATTTTTGCAATCTCCTCATCTGACAAAGGGCTAATATCCAGAATCTACAAAGAACTCAAACAAATATACAAGAACAAAACAACCCCATCAAAAAGTGGGCAAAGGATATGAACAGACACTTCTCAAAAGAAGACATTTATGCAGCCAAAGACACATGAAAAAATGCTCATCATCACTGGCCATCAGAAAAATGCAGATCAAAACCACAATGAGATCCCATCTCACACCAGTTAGAATGGCGATCATTAAAAAGTCAGGAAACAACAGGTGCTGGAGAGGATGTGAAGAAATAGGAACACTTTTACACTGTTGGTGGGACTGTAAACTAGTTCAACCATTGTGGAAGACAGTGTGGTGATTCCTCAAGATCTAGAACTAGAAATACCATTTGACCCACCCATCCCATTACTGAGTATATACTCAAAGGATTATAAATCATGCTGCTATAAAGACACATGCACACGTATGTTCATTGCAGCACTGTTCACAATAGCAAAGACTTGGAACCAACCCAAATGTCCATCAATGATAGACTGGATTAAGAAAATGTAGCACATATACACCATGGAATACTATGCAGTCATAAAAAAGGATGAGTTCACGTCCTTTGTAGGGACATGGATGAAGCTGGAAACCATCATTCTCAGCAAACTATCACAAGGACAAAAAAACAAACACCGCAAGTTCTCACTCATAGGTGGGAATTGAACAATGAGAACGCTTGGACACAGGAAAGGGGAACATCACACACTGGGGCCTGTCATGGGGTGGGGGGAGCAGGGAGGGACAGCATTAGGAGATATACCTAATGTAAATGATGAGTTAATGGATGCAGCACACCAACATGGCACATGTATACATATATAACAAACCTGCATGTTGTGCACATGTACCCTAGAACTTAAAAGTATAATAAAAAAAATAAAATAAATAAATAAAAGAAAATCAGCAAGAATATAGAAGACTTGAGCAACATTATTAACCACCTTAAGTAACATTTATAGAACAGCCCATGTAACAACATCAGAATACACATTCTTTCTGAGTATATGTGAAACATTTACCAAGACCATATTCTGGGCCATAAAACAAACTCAAGTATCAATATATTTAAAACTGACTACAGAGTTATGAATCAGCAAAATGGTGGAAGTTCCAACCCTTACTCTGCCAGGGAAGCATCAGGAAAGAACAAAAAACTGGCTAAAGTAATCTTATGGGAGCTCTGGAAAACAGTGAAAGGCCTACAGCAACCAAGCAAATGACCATTGAAGAAAAACCCGCGTTCAAAATGGTAGAAAATTGTATGGCATTTTCACTTGCACTTGCCCTGCCACTCCCGTGGCAACATGAGATCTTGGTTTGTAGAAGGTGGGAAACCGGTTCCCAATTTTCTCCCTTCAACCAGAGGAGCAGAACAGACCTTATTTGAAATGTTCCAACCTGTCATGGGACTGCGTGAAGGAATGATCTCTCTCACCTAACCTGGATCTCAGATAGGGAAAGGTGGCAGCTACAGGTGGTGAAAGCTGCAGTGGTACCACAGACCCACAGATGCCTGGGGCAAGCAACTATGGGTGGAGACATACAATGGACCACCTAAGACCTCAAGGAAAAACTGGGTTGAGACTATTCAGGAAATTAAAGCATTCAAAAGTAGCTGTTTAGGCTGGACACTGTGGCTCAAGCCTGTAATCCTCCTGAGGTCAGGAGATTGAGACCAGCCTGGCCAACACGGCGAAACCCTGTCTCTACTAAAAATACAAAAATTGGCCAGACGTGGTGGCACACACCTGTATAGGAGAATTGTTTGAACCTGGGAGGTGGAGGATGCAGTGAGCTGAGATGACTGCACTCCAGCCTGGGTGACAGAGCGAGACTCCATCTCAAAAAAAAAAAAAAAAGAAGAAGTAGCTGTTTATATAGGGAAATTGAGAACATTTCACACAGGCATAGGAAACATGTATACTCAGAAAAGACCTGAGAAGACCTTAAACTTTTGACTCAGCTGCTCCCTAAGCTTAGATATACCCAGTTAATCAGTGAACGAATACTGTGGCATAAAGACTCTCTGCAGAAACTGGGAAAGTTGGCTCTATTTTCAAATGCTCAGTTTTCAACCAAAAATTAGAAAGTATACAAAGAAACAGGAAAACATGGCCCATGGAAAAGAAGAACATAAACTGGCAGAAAATATCTCTACAGAACCATAGAAATTGAACTTGGATAAAGACTTTTAAAATGTCTTAAATATTTTCAAAGAGCTAAAGGAAAACAAAGAAAAAAACTAATGGAAATCAGACAAATTATGTGTAATAAAATGAGAATATCAACAAAAAGAAATTATAAAAAGGAACCTAATAAAAATACTTAACTTGAAAAACACTAAAATGGAATTAAAAATTTTACAAGGGGGGATCCAACAGCAGATTTGAGCTGGAAGAAGAAAGAGTCAGCAGACTTGAATACAGAACACTTGAAGCTGTTGAGTCTGAGAAGCAGAAATAAAAGACTGGAAAAAAGTGAACAAAGTCTAGGGGACTGGTGCCACACCATCAAAAGAACCAATATAGGTAAAATGGAAGTCCCCAAAGAGGAGAGATTGTTTGAAGAAATAATGGCTGAAAACTACTCAAATGTCTTGAAATACATGGATATACCAACGTAAGAAGACCAAGAAACTCTAGGATAAATCCAAAGAGACCCACAATAAGACACATTATATTTAAACTATCAGAAACCAAAGTCACAGAATCTTGAAAACAGCAAGAGAGAAGCCACTCATGTACATGAGATCTTTAATAAGATTATAAGCTGAATTTTGTTAATAGAAACCTTGGAAGGCAGAAGAAAGTGGGATAATGTATTTAAAAGAGCTGAAGGGAAAATGAACAAAAATCAATCAACAGAGAATTGTATATCCAGAAAAATTTACTTCAAACAGGAGCTAGAAATTAAGACATCCCTAAATAAAAACTCAGAGAGTTCATTACCACTAGACCTGCCCTATAAAAATGCTAAAGGGAGTTCTTTAGGTTGGAACTAAAGGACACAAGACAGTAACTCAAACCCGTATAAAGATGTAAAGAACACTGATAAAGGTAAGCACATGGACAAATATAAAAACCAGTATTATTTTAATATTGGTGTGTTGACTTTTTATTTTCTACAGGATTTAAAAACCAAATACATAAAAATGTATAAATCCATGTTAATATGTAAACTATGTACAAAGATGGAATTTGCGACATCAATAATGTAAATTAGATGGGGCGGAGCTGCATAGGAGTAGAGTTTTTGTACGCAATTGAACTTAAATTGGCATCAGTTTGAATTACATTGTAAGGATAAGAGATAAGAAAGAATCAAATCATATGTAAATCCAAAAGCAGTAAACAATAAGTGAGAAATACGTTGGCATTTAAGTCTGAGGGCAAAATGTTCTAGAAATCTTACAAAAGATAACAGAACAATTTCCAGTTTCTCTTACAGCTCAGATCAATGGTTTAGTGTCATATGTAGCAATTAGAAATCACATGAAAGAAAGAAAAATCCTAAGGATATCAGATTTGTCTGGTAGTTTTATTTTACATAAATTTATATAATTTTCACATTGATTCTCTTTTAAATACTGAGTTCTACTATACTTTCCTCTGCTTATAACTTTTATCTATTTAATTTACACTTAATTATACTTCCAGGCTGTTGTACATTCCTAGTGCTTTCATTTTTTTTCTTTTTCTCAAAGATCATTCTCAACAATTAAAGGGCTCAGAAAACATCCTTTTTGTCATCTTTTCTATAATCTCACAGAGAAAGAGGTGGAGGTGGAGGAAGGATTGGAATTGAGTTAATAATTCCTGAATGCTTATATTGTTCTAGGTATCTCATTTACATTATTATTTAACCTTCCTAAAATCCCCGAATGGGAGAGATTTAAAAAAATAAAATTGTAATAACTTTAAAAGTTGATACATTGTCCTCCTGGTAACCACAAAGAAAATATAAAAAAGAAATGAGAAGGGGATCAAAGTGTGACACAAAAAGATAAGCTAAACACAAAGGCAATATTGAAGGAAATGAAGAGCAAAAGAGTTATAAGACATACATAAAACAACAAAATACTGAAAGTATTTAATGATCAGTGATTACTTTAAATGCAAATGGATTAAACTCCCCAGTCAAAAGGCAGAGATAAGCAGAATGGATTTTTTTAATGACATAGCTTATGCTGTCTGTAAGACATTCACTTTAGATCTAAAGACACAAACAGGTTGAAAATGAAAGGATGGAAAAGATATATTATGTAAATGTAACCAAAAGCGTGCTGGGGTGGAGTGTGAGGGAATCTAAGATCAGATAAAATAGGCTTTATGTAAAAAGAAAAATAAACTGTTAGAAGACAATAAGAATTATATTTTATGTTGATGAAACTGGTCAATTTGCCAAGAAGATATAACAATTGTAAACACATATGCAGCAAACAGAGCTCCAAAATATATGAAACAGATATTGATAGACTTGAAAAACAGAGAGTTCTACAATAATAGAGACTTTACCACTCCACTTTTAATAATGGATAGAATAATAAGTCAGAAAATCAGTAAGGAACAGGAAACGTCAACACTATAGATGAATTGGACTTAACAGACATATAGAGAATACTTCACCTAATAGCACCAGAATAGTATTCTCAATTGCACTTGGAACATTCTCCAACATAGATCCTCTGTTAGGCCACAAGACTTAATAAATGTTAATAGACTGCGATTATACAAAATATCTTCTGTGATC
Organism: Homo sapiens; assembly: GCF_000001405.40. Lineage (NCBI taxonomy): Eukaryota > Metazoa > Chordata > Mammalia > Primates > Hominidae > Homo > Homo sapiens. The sequence continues at coordinate 25,307,980 of NC_000015.10, read as the reverse complement.
ACAATGGAATAAAACTAGAAATCAATAACAGAAGGAAAACTGGGAAATCCACAATATGCAAAAATTAAATACATTTAAATAACCAATAGGTCAAGGAAGAAATTAGAAGACAAATTAGAAAATACTCCAAGACAAACAAAAACTCAACATATCAAAATTTATGGCAGGTAGTGAAAGGAACACCAGAAGGAAAATTTATAGCTCTAAATGCTTTCATTTAAAAAATTTCTCAACCTAAATTTACACCTTAAAAATTAAAAAAAAAAAATTAAAGGCCAACAGAAGGAAGAAAATAGTAAAGATTAGTGTGGAAATAAATAATATAAAGAACAGAAAAAGAGTAGAGAAAATTAATAAATCAAAAGTTGGTTCTTCCAAAAGATCAACAAAATTGGCAAACATTTAGCTAGATTAGCTAAGAAAAAAGAAGATTCAATGAAATAAAAAATGGAAACTGGGATATTACCAATTTTGTGGAAATAAAAATGATTATTCAGAGAACTACGAATAATTGCATGCCAACTAATTGGATAACTTAGATGAAGTGGTCAGATTCCTAAATACGCACAACCTACCAAGACTGAATTATAAAAGTCTGTATAGATGTGTAACTTGTAAAGAGATTGAAAGCATAATCAAAACCACCTACTGGAGAAAAGCCTAGGACCAGTTGGTTCACTGGTAAATTCCACCAAAAATTTAGAAAACAGTTAACAATAGTCTTTCTCAAACTTTTCCAAATAATTGAAGAGGAGGGAACACTTTGAATTTATTCAGTGAGGCCAGCATTGCCCAAAAACTAAAGCAAGACTAAGATACTATAAGAAAGAAGATTACAGAACAATGTTTCTTATGAATACTGAAGTAACATGCCAAAAAAAAAAAAAATGAATCTAGGCACAGACCTTACAACCTCACAAAAATTAACTTCAAATGGGTCATACACCAAATGTAAAATGCAAAACCATAAAATTCCTAGAGAAAACCTAGGTGACCTTGAGTATGGTGGTAACATTTTAGATGTAACACCAGAGTCATATGAGATAAGTAATTGACAAATTGGATTTTATTAAAATTAAAAATTACTGCTCTGTAAAAGACAAGATAACCACAGACTGATAAAAATACTTGCAAAAGATATATCTAATAAGGAACTGTCATAAAATAATCAAAGAGCTTTTAAAACTCAACCCAGTGCAAAGAAGACTTTTAGGGTAATGAAGCTATTCTATCTAATACTACAACGATGGATACATGTCATTATACATTTCAAAACCCATAGAATAAGGCCAGGCATGGTGACTCATGCCTGTTATCCCAACACTGGGGGAGGCTGAGGCGGGCAGATCACTTGAGGCAAGGAGTTCAAGACCTGCCTGGCCAACATGGTGAAACCCCATCTCCACTAAAAATACGAAAATTAGCTGGGCATGGTGGTGTGCGCCTGTAGTTCCAGCTACTTAGGAGGCTGAGGTATGAGAATTGCTTGAATCTGGGAAGCAGAGGTAGCAATGAGATTGTACCACTGCGCTCCAGCCTGGGTAACACAGCAAGACTCTGTTCTGTCTCAAAACAAAACAAACCCTAGAATATATAACACTAACGATGAACTCTAATGTAAACTGCAGACCTCAAGTGATGATGTTGTATGCAGGTTCATCAACTGTAGCAAATATACTACTCTGATACCTTTGAAGAGGTACTTAAGGTAAAATGATCATATGGGTGGTCGCTAATCCAATCTGATTGGTGTCCTCAGAAGAACAGAAAATTTGGACAGGCTTAAAAAACACCAGGGATGTGTACACAGAGAAAAGGCTGTGTGAGGACACGGCAAGAAGGCAGTATCTGCAAGCCAAGGAGAGAGATTTCAGAGTAATGGACTTCTGGTCTTCAGAATTGTGAAAAAATAAATTTCTCTTGTTTAAGCCACTCAGTCTCTCATATTTTGTTATGGCAGCCCTAGCAAACTAAGACAAGTGGCCATGAAGATGGCAAGCCCAGACTCATGCTGGTTACTAGGGCCAGAGAATCCAATATAGACCTTATTCTGAAAGAACTGTGGTTTGGGTATGGACTTGTCTTATGGCTGCCTGGCTGTACAAGGTCTTGTCTTTGTTTCATCAGGGTCAGAGCAGTCCCAGGTCTGGGGCAGCTTCCCAAGTGGCTTGTGGTGAAAGCATTTAAAGGTAAAAGTTTTTGCCACAGCCGCTTGGGGCAAAGGATGTCAGTTCAGATGAACAATAAGCAGACTGAAAAAGGTCAGAAAAGAAGATAGATGAGGGAATAAGGACTTTTAAAACACTAAAACTCTTGCATCTACTGGGAAATTAAGAAGATCATGTGCATACCCAGGGTAGGATTCATGGTCCAAAAAGATCTGAGATGATGTTAAGCTTTCACCTATAGGTGGCCTTCAGTCAGTACACAAGCAGGTAGTGAAAGTTAAGAGAGAGTTGTAAATGGCCTGACTAGGCATTGAATGAGGGCCCAAACACAGAGCAAATCGGCAAAGGCATTATTATTATTATTTTTTTTTGAGATGGAGTTTCATTCTTGTTGCCCAGGCTGGAGTGCAGTGGTGTGATCTCAGTTCACTGCAACCTCCACCTCCCGAGTTCAAGTGATTCTCCTACCTCTCAGCCTCCCGAGTAGCTGGGATTACAGGCATGTGCCACCATGCCCGGCTAATTTTATATTTTCAGTAGAGACAAGGTTTCTCCGTGTTGGCCAGGATGGTCAACCTTAAGTGATTTGCCTGCCTCGGCCTCCCAAAAGTGCTGGGATTACAGGCATGAGCCACCATGCCCAACCGACATTATTTTTTTAAATCTCTTTCCCTCCTTTTTTCCTCTTTTCTTTTTCTGTGTTTCTTTTCTTTTTCTTTTATTGGCTCTATGCACTTAAGGGAACTTTCAGAACACTAGCTGACTATGAAATTAACAGAATACAGAATTCAATGGACCCACATGATCAAGAACACAGACTTTTCAAAATACTTTAGAAAAGTCACTAATGAGCAAACAACAGCAACATGCAACAAGTGGAAACAAAACCTAAGGAGGGAGGAAAATTATTTCTAAAATAGCCACGTTTATACTACTCAAAATGTCCAGTTTTCTAAAAAAAAAAAAAAAAAAAAAAAAAAAAAAAAGACCTGTTCACAGAAAAAAAAGAAATTAATATAAAATCTCTATGCAAAAGCTTAGGCAATGGACTTAGTACACAAATACTTAAATCAACTGTCTCAAATATGCTTAAAGACTTTAAAAAATACAAATAAGTAAAGAAAACCAGGAGAAAAATGTCTTTCCAAATAGAGAATATCTATAGAGAGATAGATATTATACAAAGTAGCCAAAGAGAAATTTTGGAGCTGAAAAGTTCAATAAGTAAAATGAAAAATTCACTCTATAGGTTCAAGCAGATTTGAACAGCAGAAGAAAAAATAGTAAACTTGAAGATAGGTCAGTTAACGTTATTCAGTCTCAGGGAGAGAAAAGAAAAAGAATGAAGAAAATTAGGAGACCCTAAAAAACCCGTGTACACAGTGGGATTTGCCCCAAGAATATAAAGGTGGATCAACATATGAAAATCATAAAATATACCACATTAATCGAATGAAAAGACCACATGATAATCTCAATTATGCAGTACATAAAGTCATAAAATCTAACACCATTTTATAATAAAAATACTCAACCAATTAGAAATAGCAGAGCACTTCCTTAATATATTAAATGGCATCTAAGAAAACCCCACAGCTAACATTGTGCTTAATGGTGAAAGACTGAAAGCTATACCCCTAGGATCAGAAAGAAGACAAGGATAGTTGTGAACAACTTCTATCATACATTATACTGAAAATTCTAGCTACAGCAATTAGGTAAGAAAAAGAAAGAAAGGCATCCATATTGGAGATCAAGAAGTAAAATTATCTATTCACAGAGCAAGATATATAGACAACTTTAAAGAAAAAAAAAACCTACTAGAGTTAATAAATGCAGCAAAGTTTCAGATAATTCAATAAAAGCACAATAATCAGTTCTATTTCTATACACCTGCAACAAGCCATCTAAAAGAGAAATTAATAAAATAATTCCATTTAAACAGCATCAGAAAGGATAAAATGCTTAGGTATAAATTTAACCAAGGAGTTACAAGTGTCATATACTAAATGTTGCCGAAAGAAAAGAAAAAAAGATATGAATGGCAATACATCCGTGTTTATGGATTGGAATACAATATTGTTAAGATGGCAATACTACCCAAAGTGATCTGTAGATTCAATATAATTCCTATGAAAATCTCAACTACCATTTTTTTAAATGAAAAGCCAATTCTGAAATTCATATGGAATTGCAAAGACCCCAAATAGTCAAAACACTCTAGCAAATGAAAATCACACTTGGAGGATACATACTTCCTGATTTCAAAATTTATGATAAAGCTACAGTAATGAAAATACTGCAGTGCTGGCATAAAAATAGGCATATTCATGGAACAAGATCTAAAGTCTGAAATAATCCCATACATCTATGATCAATTGATTTTTGACAAGGGTCCCAGATCATTCCCTGTGGTAAAGAATGATCTCTTCAACAAATTGTGCTGCAACAACTGAATATGCAGTTGAAATTTGAAACTGAAAATATGAATTTTCAATTCAATGCAAAAATTGAATTTGGACCCCTACCTCGTAGCATACACACAAATTAATGGAAATTAGATCAATAATCTACATGTATAGACCCAAACTATAAAATTCTCCAAAGATAATGAGAAAACCTCATGACACTAGGTTTTGCAAAAGCACGAACAACAAAAACAACAACAAAAGCGGATAAATTGGATTTATCAAAATTAAAACCTTTGTGCATAATGGTCTACCACAAAAGTGAAAAGGTGACCTTCAGAATGGGTTAAAATACTTATAAATCATATCTGATAAGCGTTTACTGTATTAAAGAACTCATAAGTCAACAAGACAACTCGATTTTTAAAATGGACAAGGCACTTGAATAGACATTTCTCTAAAGAACACAAATAGTTAACAAGTACATTGTAAGATGCTCAACATCATTAGTCATTAGGGAAAGGCAAACCAAAAACACAATGAGATACCATTGCGTATTCACTAGGAAAATTATAATTATAAAAATATAAAATAACAATATTGGTAAGGATGTGGAGATATTGGAACTCTCATCCATTGCTAGTGGGATTTTAAAATGACAGAGCCACTGTGGAAAAACTTTGGCAGCTATTCAATAAACTAAACATAGAATTATCATTATGACCTAGGAATCAACTTTTAGCTATACAACAAAAAGAATTGAGTTATTCAAATAAAACTGATACATACTACAACATGGTTGAATATCGAAAAATAGTATGCGAAGCGAACGAAGCCAAACATAAAGGTCACTTATTGTATAATTCAATTTATACAAAATATCCATAATAGGTAAATTCATAGAGACAGAAAAGTAGGTTTGCGGATGCCAGTGGCCGAGAGAAGGAATGGGAATTAACTGCTTAATGAGTATGAAGTTTCCTTTTGGGGATGATGAAAACATTTAGGAGCCAGGTAGAGTTAACGTTGCATAACATGTGTATTACCAAATGCCACTGTATTGTACACTTTAAAATGATAAATTTTATGTCAATTTTACCTCAGTATAAAAAAGATTGGCAAAAGGAATTTTTAAAATGATGATTCAATAATATGTTCTCTATATGAAAACTCACTTCAAATTCAATGGCACAGATAGGCTGAGATTAAAAGAATGGAAAAGATGTATCACGCAAACAATTTTTTTTAAAAAAGAATGGGTATATGAATATAACACAAAGTAGATTTAAGAGCAAATAAAAATACCACAAAGATAGGCACTATATAATCATAAAATAAGCCACCAAGAGGGCACAATGATTCCACTTGTGTATGCACCAAACAACAGAGCCTCAAATATGTGATGCACAAACTGATAGAACTGATAGGAGAAATAGACAAATCCACAATTATGGTTGGAGACTTCAATTTCCTCTCTCAGAATCTCATATAGCTACTAAGCAAAAAAAAAAAAAATTAGCAAAGATATAGAACTGAAAAGCACCATCAACCAACAAGATCTCATTGACATTTCTAGAATACTCTGCTAACAATACAAAACGGGCATGCTTTATAATTATATATATTATATATATATAATAATATAACAGGCATACTTTATAATAACATGGAATATTCACAGCACAGACCATATCTGGGCCATAAAACAAAGCACAATTTTTTAAAAAATTGAAATCATACAGCGTGAGCTATCTGTACAAAATGGAACAGAACTATTAGACAACAGAGAAACAGGAAAATCTACAATATCCTTGAAAACTGAACAACACAATTCTAAGTAATCTGTGAGTCAGAGGAAGTATAAAAAGAAAAAATTTAAAAATAGAACTAAATGAAAGTGAAATTACAACATATAAAAATTTGTGGGATGTGACTAAAGCAGTGTTGAGATGGAAATTTATAGCACTAAATGCTTACATTAGAAAAATGTCTCAAATCATAATCTTAGTTCTCATTTCAATAAAGTAGAAAGAAGAGCAAAATAAACCCAAGGAAATCAGAAAGAAGGAAATAATAATGACTAAAAGTAAGGTCTGTTATTCTCCCTCTTGAACCAGGAAACAGAAACCAGAGCCCCACAGTAGAAATGTGGGCTGCCATCTTCAAGACTAAGGTAGGGAAGGACGTGGGGCAAGGACACATAAAAATAATACGAAGTTTTCTTCACCTTTTTAAGTTGCCTTCTCAATTCAGCATTTGCTTTACTGGTGTAAACATTTTACCATTTTATAGAATTCTTAGAAAGTTAATTCTGACCACTTTTGTTCATATTTTTCAGTGTTTCTGTGAAGGGAAACCATAGGTCTTGGAGATGACTTCTCTGCCATTTCCCTCTTCACTTTTGAAAGATAATCTCACTGGATACAGAATTGCAAATTGATAGTTTTTTTTTCAACATTTTAAACATTTCACTCCATTCTCTTCTTGCTTGTATGGTCTGATGTATTTCTTATGTATGTATGATGTATTTCGTATGTATTTTCTTGATATTTATTTTCCTCTTTGTCTTCTTTCAATATTTTCTCTTCACCTTTGGTTTTGTCAGTCTGAATATGACATACTTGGTTGCAGACGCTTTACTAAATTTCCTCCTTGTTGTTCTCTGGGCTTGCTGTATCTGTGGTTTAGCATTAATTTTGGAAAACTCTCTGCCATTATTACTTCAGATTTTCTATTCCTTTCTCCCTTTATACTCCTACTGTCATTTGCATTAGGCACATTACATCTTTTGTAATTGTCCCACTGTTTTGGAGATTGTGTTACGTTTTTAAAATTCTATTTTTCTTTTGTATTTCAGTGGGGCAGTTTTTGTTGACATATTTTCAAATCCACTGATTCTTTGACCTTGTCCAGTCTACTGAGGAACCCATCACAGGCATTCTTTATTTCTTGTAGGTTTTTATTCCTAGCATTTCCTTTTGACTTCTTTCTTAGAGTTTCCTTCTTGCTGATCACATTACCCATCCGTTCTTGCATGTTGCCTTTTTCTGTTAGAACACTTATTATATTAATCATTTATATTAAACTCTAGGTATAATTGCCAAATCTCTGCCATATCTGAGCCTACTTCTGAGGCTCAATTTGTCTCTTTAGACTAACTTTTCCTGCTTTTTAACATACCCTCTAATTTTTTTATTGAAATAAAACGCAATGTATCAGGCAACAGAATCTCAGATAATAGGTCTTTGTGTGAGGTTTTATGTTTATATGGTTAGGGCTATGTTATGTTTAATTTTTTTGTAGCTATAGGTGTCACATATTCAATTTCCTCTAGTATCTTTGTTTTGATCTCCCCTACTATTTTTGGATTTCCTTAGAAGATCTTTCTTAAATACAATCAGTGTCTTTCACCTCTTTCAGTTAGAATTCACTGCTATTACACTGGAGTCCTGGTTGATGTGGTGATATGGTGTTGGGAGGAGAAGTGTTCTTTTTTTTTTTTTTAGGTAGCCTTTTTTTATTATTATTATACTTTAAGTTTTAGGGTACATGTGCACAATGTGCAGGTTTGTTACATATGTATACATGTGCCATGCTGGTGTGCTACACCCATTAACTCGTCATTTACCATTAGGTATATCTCCTAATGCTATCCCTCCCCCCTCCCCCGACCCCACAACAGTCCCCAGAGTGTGATGTTCCCCTTCCTGTGTCCATGTGTTCTCATTGTTCAATTCCCATCTATGAGTGAGAACATGCAGTGTTTGGTTTTTTGTCCTTGCGATAGTTTACTGAGAATGATGATTTCCAATTTCATCCATGTCCCTACAAAAGACATGAACTCATCTTTTTTATGGCTGCATAGTATTCCATGGTGTATATGTGCCACATTTTCTTAATCCAGTCTATCATTGTTGGACATTTGGGTTGGTTCCAAGTCTTTGCTATTGTGAATAGTGCTGCAATAAACATACCTGTGCATATGTCTTTATAGCAGCATGATTTATAGTCCTTTGGGTATATATATATATATATAGCAATGGGATGGCTGGGTCAAATGGTATTTCTAGTTCTAGATCCCTGAGGAATCGCCACACTGACTTCCACAATGGTTGAACTAGTTTACAGTCCCACCAACAGTGTAAAAGTGTTCCTATTTCTCCACATCCTCTCCAGCACCTGTTGTTTCCTGACTTTTTAATGATCGCCATTCTAACTGGTGTGAGATGGTATCTCATTGTGGTTTTGATTTGCATTTCTCTGACGGCCAGTGATGATGAGCATTTTTTCATGTGTCTGTTGGCTGCATAAATGTCTTCTTTTGAGAAGTGTCTGCTTATATCCTTTGCCCACTTTTTGATGAGGTTGTTTGTTTTTTTCTTGTAAATTTGTCTGAGTTCATTGTAGATTCTGGATATTAGCCCTTTGTCAGATGAGTAGGTTGTGAAAATTTTGTAGGTTGCCTGTTCACTCTGATGGTAGTTTCTTTTGCTGTGCAGAAGCTCTTTAGTTTAATGAGATCCCGTTTGTCAATTTTGTCTTTTGTTGCCATTGCTTTTGGTGTTTTAGACATGAAGTCCTTGCCCATGCCTATGTCCTGAATGGTAATGCCTAGGTTTTCTTCTAGGGTTTTTATGGTTTTAGGCCTAACGTTTAAGTCTTTAATCCATCTTGAATTAATTTTTGTGTAAGGTGTAAGGAAGGGATCCAGTTTCAGCTTTTTACATATGGCTAGCCAGTTTTCCCAGCACCATTTATTAAATAGGGAATCCTTTCCCCATTGCTTGTTTTTCTCGGGTTTGTCAAAGATCAGATAGTTGTAGATATGCGGCGTTATTTCTGAGGGCTCTGTTCTGTTCCATTGATCTATATCTCTGTTTTGGGAGGAGAAGTGTTCTATAATCTTATGGTTAAATCTGAGTTGTGAGGCCAGGTGCGGTGGCTCACGCCTGTAATCCCAGCACTTTGGGAGGCAGAGGCAGGTGGATCACGAGGTCAGGAGATCGAGACCATCCTGGCTAACGTGGTGAAACCCCGTCTCTACTAAAAATACAAAAAATTAGCTGGGCGCCTGTAGTCCCAGCTACTCAGGAGGCTGAGGCAGAAGAATGGCGTGAACCCGGGAGGTGGAGCTTGCAGTGAGCCGAGATCGCGCCACTGCACTCCAGCCTGGGCAACAGAGCGAGACTCCGTCTCAAAAAATATAAATAAATAAATAAATATAAAATAAATCTGAGTTGTGACTTTCAGAAGAGTTTCTTAACCTATTTTTTGCTTCCCTTATATAAATCAGAAAGGCTAGATGGAGCTTGAGCCATCCAATTCCTTTTCTCCTACATCAGACAAGGCTCAGGCAAAGTAGCTTCCCTTGCAGGGAGCCCCCTGCCGTGTGAAAGAAAATGCTCTGAGAGTGTTTAGAAATAACTACTTGTCCCCTGGGCTTATTTCAAAATAGTTGCTTTTCCCTTCCTCCTATCTGAAGCATCAGGGGATTTTTCTGCAGTCTTCACTGTAAGAAACTTGCTGGGGCTCTTGGAAGTCTAGTTTACAAAAGTGTGTGGGGTCATCAAAAACTGGGCACTTAGGAGTTCCTAACTCTCAATCCAGTCCACATTCAATCTCCAGAAATTTGTCAATTACCACTTAACATGTTCATACGAGTTGCTGGTTTCAGCAGTTTCTGCTCCTGATAAACTGTGATTTTTTTTGTATTTGCCTACATCTCCAGTTTTCGCCCGTTACCTCAATTCTATGGTTAGTTTAAGAAATCGTTGACTTTAGTTTGTTCAGATTTTTCCTTGTGACAATAGTAGTGATGACTTCCAAACATATCAGAGCAGAAACCATAAGTCTTTAGTCTTCTTTTCTTATGATGTTTGGTCTTGATATAAGGGTAATACGGACCTCATACAGTGAGTTATAGAGTGTTCCCTCCTTTTCTATTTTCTGGAAAGAGTGTATGAAAAATAGATATTAATCCTTTTAAAGTTTGGTAGAATTCACCAATGAAAACATCTGGTCTTGGGATTATAGTTTGAAAATTAAATTACTTACTCAATTTCTTCTTAAAATTTTTATCTATTCAGTCTTTTTAACTGTAAATGGTGTATTCATGTTTTTACACCAGCTGTGGTAGTTTGTGCCTTTAGAGGGATTTGTGTATCTCATATAATTTAATTTTTTGACATTCACTTTTTCACAATATTCTGTTAGAATTCTTTTAATTTCTGTAAGGTGATATCTATACTTTCATTTATGTCTAGTAACTTGAATCTTCTCTCTTTTGTTCTTTCTCGGTCAAACTAATAATACGTCAATTTTACTGATATATCAGAAGAACCAACTTTCAAGTTTATTAATTTTCTCTATTGTTTTTATTTTCACTACTTATCTCCATGCTAATCTTTATTATTTCTTCCTTCTGTTTACTTTGGGTTAAGTCTGCTCTTTCACTCTCATTTCTTAAGGTGAAAAATTAGGTTATTGGATTGAGATTTTTTTAAAATTTAGGGATATACTGTTATACATTTCCCTTGAAGCACTGCTTTAGCTACAACCACAAAATTTTGGTATGTTGTTTCTTCAGTTTTATTCATCTAAAATATTTTCTAATTTCTCTTGTGATTTGTTCTTTGATTCATTGGTTACTTTGAAGTATTTTTAAATCTCCATATCATTGTGAATTTCCCACATTTTCTTCTGTAATTGGTTTAATATTTTGCAGTCAGAGAATATGTGCTGTATTATTTCAATTCTTTTAAATTATTAAGATATGTTTTACAGCCTAATATGTGTCATCCTGAAGAATATTCCATGTGCACTTCAGAATAATGTGTATTCTGCTATTGTTGGATATCGTATTAAGGTGTTGTATGATAATGTGTAGTTTTTTATTTCCTTTTTGCTTTTGACTTGTTGTTCTGTGTATTACTGAAAGTTTGGTATTGACACCTCCAACTGTAATCATTGATTTTTCTATCTTTCTTCAATTCTAGCAGTTTTTGCTTTGTATATTTTGGGCTCTATTGTTTGGTGTATATGTTTATAATTGTTGTGTCTTATTATAAAATGTTCTTTTTTGTCTTTAGCAACAATTTTTGTTAAAGTATATTTTGTCAGATATTAGTATTGCTGCTCTAGCTCTATTTTAATTACATTTTGCATGGTAAATATTTTCACGCCCAAATGGAACTCTATCTATTTGTGTCTTGACTCTAAATATTCTAAATACAGATAACATAAGGTTGAATTATGGTTTGGATTTTTCTTCTCTATTCTGATAATCTCTGCCTTTTGATGTAGTATTTATTTCATTTATCTTTAATATAATTATAAGATAGGGTTTAGGTCAACCAATTTGCTATTCATTTTCTATAAATCTTACATGGTTTTGTTCTTATATTTCTCCACTATTGCTTTCTTTTTGTTAAACAGATATTTTCTAGTGTACCATTTAAATCCCATTGTTGTTCATCTACTATATATATAATATATATTTTATATATATTATATATATAATTGAGGGCCACCATGCCCAGCCTCAAGTGCTATATTTTTTTAAAGGCTTTTTTAGTGGTTGCCTTAGTATTACAATTAAATTAACAATTAAAAATAATCTAGCTTGAATGGATACCAATTAATTTAAATAGTTTACAAAAACTTTTCTCCAACATAGGTCAATTCCTTCACCCCTAATTTATATTACTATTGTTTTAAAAATTACAACATTTTTTCTAGCTTCATTGATGTATGATTAACAAATCAAAACTGTATATATTTAAGATGTACACTATTGTTTTGATATTCATTATACATTGTGAAATGATTACTATAATGAAGATAATTAACATATCAGTGCCTTCAGATAGTTCTGTTTTGTGTGTATTGAGAATATTGATATTTACTCTTAGCAAATTTCAAGTATAAAAAATATTATTATTAACTATAGTAATGCTGTTGTACACTAGATCTCTAGAACTTATTCATTTTATAACTGAAAGTTTGTACCTTTTGACCAACATCTCCCCATTCTCCCACCCTCCAGTTCCTGGAAACCGCCATTCTCCTCTCTGTTTTTATGAGTTTAACTTTTTAAAGGATTTTAAAAGTTGGATTTCCTTCTTTTTGAACACTAAATAGATTCCACTGTGTCTATATACCACGTTCTCTTTATCTAATCATCTACTGATGAACACTTAGGTTGATTCCATGTCTTGGCTATTGTGAATAATGCTGAAATAAATATGAGTGTGCAAATACCTCTTCAAGACAGTGATTTTAATTCATTTGGATATATACTCAATAGTGAAATTGCTGGATCATATAGTAGTTCTATTTTTAATTTTTTGAGGAACCTCCATGCTGTTTTCCATAAGGGCTATTCCAGTTTAAATTCACACCAACAGTGTATAAGGATCTTCTTTTCCCTTTTCTCTACATTCCCCCAGCTTGTTTTCTTTTGAGTTTTTGATAATAGCCATCCTAATAGTTGGAGGTGGTATTTCACTGGAGCTTTGATTTGCATTTCCCTGATTATTAGTGATGTCAAGCATTTTTTCATATGCCTGTTGCCTATCTGTAAGTCTTCTTTGAAAAAATGTCTATTCAGGTTCTTCACCCATTTTAAAATTGGATTATTTGTTTGTTTATTTCTATTGAATTTTATGCATTCCTTATATATTTTTGGATATTAACCCTTTATCAGATATGTGGTTTGCAAACATTTTCTCCCATTTCATAAATTGCCTTTTAATTCTGATGATTGATTGTTTCCTTTGCTGTGCAGAAACTTTTTAGTTTGTTAGGGTCCCACTTGTTTAGGTTTGCTTTTGTTGCCTGTGCTTCTGGTGTCATATCAAAAAAATCATTGCCAAGACCAATGTCAATGAGTTTTTGCCTAAAGATTGTATGGTTTCAGGTCTTATATTTAAGTCTTTATCAATTTTGATTTGATTTGTGTGTATGGTATAAGATAAGGGTGTAATTTCATTCTTTTGCATTTGGATATTGTCTTCCCAGTGCTGTTTATTGTAGAGACTATACTTTCCCCATTGTGTACTCTTGGCACCTTCGTTGAATATTAGTTGACTCTATAAACGTGAGTTTATTTCTGGGCTCTCTATTCTGTTCCATTGGTCTTTTCTGTCTGTTTTTATGTCATGCTGTTTTGATTAATAAAATTTTGAAGTTAGGTAGTGTGATGTCTCCAGCTTTACTGTTCTTGCTCAAAATTGCTTCATCTATTTGAGTCTTTTGCGGTTCCATGCAAACTTTAGGAGTGTGTTTTCTATTTCTGTGAAAAATGTCATTGGAATTTTAGTAGGAATTGCACTTAATCTGTAGGTTGCTTTGGGTAGTATGAACATTTTAACAGTATTAATTCATCTAATCCATGAACATGGGCTATCTTTCCATTTATTTCCATTTATTTTCAGTTTCTTTGGTATTCTTTAGTATTTTATTTTTTGATGATATCACAAATAGGATTGTTTTCTTAATTTTTTGGATAACTTGTTTTTGGTGTTTAGAAATGCAACTGATTTTTGTATACTGATTTTGTATCCTGCAACTTTAGTGAATTATTTTTTTAAGCTCTAATTAAAACAGCATTTTGGTGGAGTCTTTAGTGTTTTCTATATATAAGATCATGTCATCTACAGAGACAATTTAACTTCATTCTTTCCAACTTGGGTGCCTTTTTTCTTGCCTAATTGCTCTAGCTAGAATTTCAACTACTATGTTAAATATAAGTGGTGAGAATGGACATCCTTGTTTTGGTTCTGATCTTAGAGTCAAAGCTTTTTACTTTTCACCATTGAGTATATTACCTCCAGGTTTGTCATATGTGGCTTTTATAGTGTTGAGGCACATTCTTTCTATACCTGATTTATTGAGAGTTTTTAGTTCTGAAAGGATGTTGAATATTGTTAAATGCTTTTCTAAATCTACTGAGATGATGATATGATTTATTTTTTATTATACTTTAAGTTCTAGGGTACATGTGCACACATGTGCTGTGTTGGTGTGCTGCACCCATTAACTCGTCATTTACATTAGGTATATCTCCTAATGCTATCCCTCCCCCTACCCTGACCCCACGACAGGCCCCAGTGTGTGATGTTCCCCTTCCTGTGTCCAAGTGTTCTCATTGTTCAATTCCCACCTATGAGTGAGAACATGCAGTGTTTGGTTTTTTGTCCTTGTGATAGTTTGCTGAGAATGATGGTTTCCAGCTTCATCCATGTCCCTACAAAGGACATGAACTCATCTTTTTTATGGCTGCATAGTATTCCATGGTGTATATGTGCCACATTTTCTTAATCCAGTCTATCATTGATGGACATTTGGGTTGGTTCCAAGTCTTTGCTATTGTGAATAGTGCCGCAATGAACATACGTGTGCACGTGTCTTTATAGCAGCATTATTTTTTTTAATTATACTTTAAGTTTTAGGGTACATGTGCACAACGTGCAGGTTTGTTACATATGTGCACATGTGCCGTGTTGGTGTGCTGCACCCATTAACTCGTCATTTAGCATTAGGTATATCTCCTAATGCTATCCCTCTCCCCTCCCCCCACCCCACAACCATCCCCAGTGTGTGATGTTCCCCTTCCTGGGTCCATGTGTTCTCATTGTTCAATTCCCACCTATGAGTGAGAACATGCGGTGTTTGGTTTTTTGTCCTTGTGATAGTTTGCTGAGAATGATGGTTTCCAGCTTCATCCATGTCCCTACAAAGGACATGAACTCATCATTTTTTATGGCTTATAGCAGCGTGATTTATAATCCTCTGGGTATATACCCAGTAACAGGATGGCTGGGTCAAATGGTATTTCTAGTTCTAGATCCTTGAGGAATCACCACACTGTCTTCATGTCTAAAACACCAAAAGCAATGGCAACAAAAGACAAAATTGACAAATGGGGTCTAATTAAACTAAAGAGCTTCTGCACAGCAAAAGAAACTACCATCAGAGTGAACAGACAACCTACAGAATGGGAGAAAATTTTTGCAATCTACTCATCTGACAAAGGGCTAATATCCAGAATCTACAAAGAACTCAAACAAATTTACAAGAAAAAAACAAACAACCCCATCAAAAAGTAGGTGAAGGATATGAACAGACACGTCTCAAAAGAAGACATTTATGCAGCCAACAGACACTTGAAAAATGCTCACCATCACTGGCCATCAGAGAAATGCAAATCAAAACCACAATAAGATACCATCTCACACCAGTTAGAATGGTGATCTGTAAAAAGTTAGGAAACAACAGGTGCTGCAGAGGATGTGGAGAAATAGGAACATTTTTACACTGTTGGTGGGACTGTAAACTAGTTCAACCATCGAGATGATCATATGATTTTTATCCTTCATTCTGTTAAAGTAGTGTAACATTTGTTGATTTGATTATATTGAACTATCCTGCATCCGAGGCATGAATCTCACTTGGTCATGATGTATGCCATTATAATGTGTTGCTGAATTAGGTTTGCTAGTATTTTGCTGAGCATTTTTGCATCTATATTTATCAAGGGTTTTGGCCTGTAATTTTCCTTTCTCAAAGTGTTCTTTTTAAATCTTTGATATCAAGGTAAAACTGGCCTCTTATAATGAATTTGAAAGTGTTTTCTCCTCTTCAATTTTTTTGGAAGAGCTTAATAAAGAGTGGTATTAATTTTTTTAAATGGTTGGCAGTCTTCACCAGTGAAGCCATCTGATCCTGAGCTTTTCTTTTTGTGAGATTTTTGAATATTGATTCAATTCCCTTATTCATTATTGATCTGTTCAGATCTTCCATTTCTTCATGATTCAGTTTTTGTAGGTTGTATGTTTCTAGGGATTTACCCATTGCAAGTTAACTAATATGTTGGCATATAGTTTTCTCTTAATTTGTATGTCTGTGGTATCAGTTGTAATGTCTCCTCTTTCATTTTTTATTTTATTTGAGTCTTCTCTTTTTTTAGTCTAGCTAAAGGTTTGTTGATTTTATTTTTTAAAAAACTAACTCTAAGTTTTATTAATAGTCTCTATTGTTTTTCTAGTCTATGTTTCATTTATTTCTGTCTGATCTTTGTTAGTTCCTTCCCTTTGATAACATGGGGCTTGTTTTTTTTTCTTCCTTGTAGTTCCTTGAGGTGTAATGTTGTTTATTTAAAATCTTTTTTTAAATGTGTTTATCAATATAAGCTTACCTCATAGAACTGCTTTTGCTGTGTCCTGTATGTTTTGGTATGTTGTGTTTCTACTTTGCTGTCACAAAATTATTTTGATTTTTTTCTTTGACCCATTGGTTGTTCAGGAATATGTTAATGCTATATATTTGTAAATTTCCAGTTTCCATCTTGTTATTGATTTCTAGTGTTATACTATTGTGGTGCAAAATAATTGATATTTCAGCTTTATTAAATTTTGTAATATTATTTTGTGAGCTAACATATAATCTATCCTGGAGAATGTTCCATGTGTGCTTGAGAAGAATGTGAATTCTACCACTGTTGGATGAAATGTTCAGTATAATGTCTGTTAGATCCATTTGGTCTAAAGTGAAGTTTAAGTTAAATGTTTCCTTATTGATTTTATGTCTGGATTATCCATTTTTGAAAGGGAGGCACTGAAGTTCACTACTATTACTGTATTGCTGTATATTTCTCCTTTTATATGTATTAATATTTGCCTTATATATTTAGGTGCTTCAATATTGGGTGTATAAATATTTACAATTTTTATGTCTTCTTGAACAATTAACTGCTTCACCATTTTGACCTTCTTAGCCTTTTGATATAGTTTTTAACTTAAAATCTTTTCTGTATGCTGTAAGTATAGATGCCTCTCCTCTCTTCTGGTTTCTATCTGCATGCAATATCTTTTTCTGTTCTTTTAATTTCAGCCTGTATGTGTCCTTAAAGTGGAAGTAAATCTCTTGTAGGCAGCACATAGTTGGGGCTGGGTGGTTTGTGTGTGTGTGTGTGTGTGTGCGGTGTTTGTTGTTGTTGTTGTTTCTAAAATCCATTTGTCCAGTCTGTTTTTTTGTTTGGATAATTTAATCCATTTACATTTAAAGTAATTATTGACACGTAAGGACTTACTGTTTTCATTATGTTAAATTTTTTCTTGCTCTTTTTACTTTGTTCCTCCCTTGCTGTCTTCCTTTGTAATTTGATAATTTTCTGTAGTGTTATGTTTTGATTCCTTTCTCTTTTTCTTTTGTGTATCTACTAGAGGTTTTTCCTTTATAGTTACCATGACACTTACATAAAACATAGGTATAACAATTTATTTTAAGCTGATAACAAATTAAATTTGATTACATATGAAAACTACACTTTTACTTCCCTACCCTTGCATGCTATGTTTTTAATGTTCTAATTTACATCTTTTTATACTGTAGTATGCATTGACAAGCTATTGCAGCTATGGGTTTTTTTTAATACTTTTGTCTTTTAACCTTCATAGCACAGTAAAATTATTTATACACCATCATTATAGTATCAAAGTGTTCTAAATTTGACTATGTACTTTCCTTTACCAGTGAGGTTTATCATTTCATATTACTAACTATTGCCATATCATTTCAGCTTGAAGAACTCCCCTTAGTATGTCTTGTAAGGCAGGTCTAGTGGTGATGAACTGCCTCAGCTTTTGTTTGTCTAGGAAAGTTCTTCTCTCTCCTTCATTTCTGAGGAACAGATTTGCCAGGTAAAGCGTTGGTTGGCATTTTTTTCCTTGCAGCACTTGTATAGTTCATCCCACTCTCTCCTATTTTGTAAGGTTTCTACTGAGAAATCTCTTGAATGCCTTAAAAGGGTTCCCTGTATGTGATGAGTCTCTTTTCTTTCGGTGCTTTCAAATTTCTTTTTTTAAAACATTATAAATTTTCCAATAACATTTACTGAAATTATATGTAAATAATAATGACAACATAAGAATCCTGTCTCCCTCTTAGTGATTGGTGGTTTATTCATCGTCTTGATTTTGCTTTTGACAGTTTGATTATCATGTGTTTTGGTGAAGTCTTTTTGGAATGTATCCTGTACGGGGATCT
This sequence comes from Homo sapiens, assembly GCF_000001405.40. NCBI lineage: Eukaryota > Metazoa > Chordata > Mammalia > Primates > Hominidae > Homo > Homo sapiens. The sequence goes on along the minus strand of NC_000015.10, from coordinate 25,289,358 downwards.
TTGAGCTTCATATACCTGGATGCTCATATCTTTTCCTAGATTTGGAGAGTTTTCAGCCATTATTTCTTAAATAAGTTTTCTACCCTTTTCTCTCTTCTCCTTTATGACTCCAATAATCCTTATATTAGTTCTCTTGATGGTGTTTTATACATCCTGTAGGCTTTCTTTATTTCTTTTCATTCTTTTTTTTTTAATCCTCTGATGAATAATTTCAAATAGCCAGTCTTCAGTTTCACAGATTTTTTTTTTCTTATGCTTGATCAACTTTGCTGTTGATACGCTCCTTCATTTCATGCATTGTATTCTTTAGCTCCATAACTTCTGGGTTTTCTTTTAAGATAATTTTTCTCTTTTTTGAATTTCTAGTTTTGTTCATGAATTGTTTGCCTGACTTCACAGAGTAGTCTATTGGTGTTCCTTTTAGTTTGCTGAGCTTCCTTAACATAATTGTTCTGAATTCATTATAAACCAATTTGTAAATCTCCATTTTTGGGGAGTTGGTTATTGGAAAATGATTGTGTTCTTCTGGTGGTGTCATGTTTTCTTGATTTTTCATGTTTCTTGAATTATTGTGCTGCTGCCTTTGCATTTAAAGAAACAGTCACCCCCTCTGGTCTTTACTGACTGGCCTTAGGAGAGAAACACTTTCATCAGTTAGTCAGGTTAGGGATTTTGAGGTTCTCTCAGACATTTTCTATGGATGAACCTGCTTCACACATCTTGTTCCCTCAAGGGGGCAAATTCTAAAGGTTGTATGCCTTCTGCATTAGTCCATTCTCACACTGCTATAAAGAACTACCTAAGACTGGATAATTTATGAAGAAAAGAGGTTTAATTGGCTCACAGTTCAGTTCTGCAGGCCATACAGGAAGCATAGCTGGGAGGCCTCAGGAAACTTACAATCATGGCAGAAGGCAAAGGGGTAGCAAGCAAGTCTTACCAAGGTGGAGCAGGAGTGCAAGAGAGTGAAGGGGGACATGCTACATACTTTCAAATAACTGGATCTCATAACAACTCTATCACAAGAACAGCAAGAGGGAAGTCCACCCGCATGATTCAATCACCTCCCACCAAGTCCCTTGTCCAACACGTGGGGATTACAATTTGACATGAGATTTACGTGGGGACACAGAGCCAAATCATATCACCTTCTCTAGGTTGCATAAAGCCAGGCCAGGTGCTGAAGTCTCATTTTTTTTTTTAGGGTAGTGTCCTGAAATTCTCATGTATGTGAGCTTTTTTCCAGTTCTACAGAGTGGAGCCAGCTGTCAACATGTGCTTGCAAGCCATCTGCAGAGATACTCACTCGCTTTTCACAGGAGCGCACTTGGGAGCCAGCCAAAGAGTGGGTGAGGCATTTGGAGCATTCGGGGTTTTGTTGGCAAGATGGGAGGGATGCATCCCCTGTGGCTTATAGGTGGGTTCCTGATGGAGTCCATGAAGTAACTGGTAGGATCTATGGCAGTTCCAAGTATGGGCTGCTGTTTGAGTCCCCATCTCTCTTTCCTGCTTTTACCCTCTCCCAACCACTCCACCTTGCTGATCACCTCAATATTCTGGGTGAGATGAAAATAAAGTGGATCTCTTGGGCAGGGGCCTGTATGTCTTGAGAAACTGGACACTTACTTATTATACTCTCCTTTTCCTCTGTGGAAGAAATAATGGGCTCTTGTTACTGAGCTGTGCCACTTTTGGGGGTTGGTGATGCAGGTAAAGTGAAACTGTTTATACCCTTTCCAATGAATCTATTCTTAGATTTCTTTACTCCTCTGGTGTGCTGAAGTTTTACTGTCAACTCCTGAACTCCCACAAGGTACTCTTGCCCATGGATGGTTGTCAAAATTGATACTTATGTGGGAAACACCTACAGAAAATTCCTATTCTGCCATTTTGGTGCTATAACCCAAAATTACATCTTTATATAATACCATCAACACAAGTTTATAATTGAGATTATATTTTAAATCAAATAGGAAAAGACAAATGTTACAAACAAAATAAATTTATACTTTGTTTTAAACTTACACATGTAGTTACTTATACTGGTTCTCTTTATTTCTTCTCGTGGATTTGATTTACTCTCCAGTGCCTTTCTATTTCAGACCGAAGGAGTTCCTTTAGCATTTCTATTAGGACAAGTCTTATAGAGAACATTTCTCTGAGATTTTGTTTAGGAATGTCTTCATTTCTTCTTTTTGAACAATAGTTTTGTTGGATCTAGAATGATTGGTTGAAGGTTTTTATTTCATCACTTTGGTTATGTACATTGCCTTTTTAGCCTGCATGGTTTACAGTGAGAAGTCAATTGTCAGACTTATTGAGGATGGTGTGTATGTTATGAATAATTTTTTTCTTACTATCTTCAAGAATTCTCTCCTTATGTTTGTCTTTTGACACGCTGACTATGATGTGTATAGGTGTTGGTCTCTTTGAGATTATCTTAATTGGATTTTATTGGTCATCTCGGGTATATAAATTAATGTTTTTCTTAAAATTTGGGAAGTTTTCTTTCCTTCTCCTTTTTTCATCCTTCTAGGGCTCCAGTTTATGTATCCATTGGTATGAGAGATGCTGTTCTACAGTTCTTTGTTGCTCAGTTTTCTTCATTTTTTCCCACCTTTGTTGCTCAGACTGGATAATCTCAGTTGACATATCTTCAAGTTCACTGATTCTTTCTTCTGCCTGCTCAAATCTGCGAATAGAGGCCCTCTTGTTTCAATTGTCTAATTTTTTTGCTTTATATTTTTTCATGTTGTCTTTTCTTATAATTTCTATCTCTTTATTGGTAGTCTATATTTGGTAAGACACTATTTTTATACCTTTCTTTAACCCTTTTGACATGTTTTTCTTAGTTCTGTGTACGTATTTTTAATAGCTGGTTCAATGTCTGTGTCTAGTAAGACCAACATCTGGTCTTCCTCGAGGATAGTTTCACTGACTTCATCTTATCCTCTTTGTGCCATATTTTTCTATTTCTTTGCATGTCTCGTAATTTTTTGTTGAACACTAGACATATTATGTATAATGTGGCAACTCTTTAAATCATATTCTCCCCTTTCCCAGAGTTTATTTTTGTTACTGCTTTTTTTTTTTTTTAGATATGATTTTCCTGGACTAATTCTGTAAAGTTTATATGCCCTGTAGTATGTGGATACTGAAGTCTCTGCTCAGTTAGGTTAGTGCACAGATAATGACTAGAAAGAGATTTCCTTTAATGCTTCTAACTAACATGCCTCTCACCCTTTACTAAGGTGCTGTGTGTGTGTGTGTGTGTGTGTGTGTGTGTGTTATGGTTCCCATTCAGCACTTAGGTAGTTCACAACTCTTCCTTAGCTTGCCCAGAGCATAAAAGGAAAGCCAGAGGTAAACAATTACATGCATGTGGCTTTTTTTTTTTTTTTTTTTGAGACAGAGCCTTGCTCTGTCGCCCAGGCTGGAGTGCAGTGGCACAATCTTGGCTCACTGCAACCTCCGCCTCCCGGGTTCAAGCGATTCTCCTGTCTCAGCCTCCTGAGTAGCTAGGATTACAGATGCACGCCACCACGCCTGGCTAATTTTTGTGTTTTTAGTAGAGACCATGTTGGTCAGGCTGGCCTCAAACTCCTGACCTCATGATCCGCACGCCTCGGCCTCCCAAAGTGCTGGGATTACAGGTGTGAGCCACTGCACCCAGCCTGCATGTAGCTTTCTAGATAAACAGGAATGTATCAAAGCTTTTTGAAGCATCCTGTAGATATCTCATTCCCAAGATTTTAGTTTTCAGTTTTTGATCAGCTTCTTGTTTATCCCAACTGTTACCAAGACTTCAGGCAGTTGTGATAGTCAACAATTGCCATGGATTCTTTTTGACCAATACCTTGAAATTGAGATTTCCTTACTGAGTGAGCTCTGAGTCAGTCCAAATGAATATAAATCCTATAGATTGGGCTTTAGAGGTCAAATAGTGATAATTCTATGGGGATGGAACTTTTTGGGAAATTTCCAAACCTTTCTTCTCCAGTGGTTGCTATCCTGCTAATTTTTAAGACTATCTCAGCACTAGGGAGAAAAGCATGGGAAGGGGTCATATTAAAATGCCACAAAGCTGGCTGTTCTTACTGATTCAGCCATTTTTCTTGAATTAATGTTCTCTGGAATTTTGTAAGCCTTTGGTTAATTTCCAAAGTTTTGGAAAATTAATTTCAACTATTTCTATCAAGGCTGTTATTGGTTTTATGGAGGAGTAGATTTTTGGAGTTTCTTACTCTGACTTTCCAGAAGTGATTTTCCTATATTGGTTGATCTTTACATATAAAACCAACCTTAAATTCTTTGGGTAACTCTCACTTGGTCATAAAGTATTTCTACATTTCATTTGCCAAAATTTTGATTAGATTTCTTTGCATTTATGTTCCTAAGGAATAATGTATATTCTTCTTTTTAAATTTCTGTGTCTCTTTTTCTTACCTGGGTATTGCTGTCCAAATGGAATAAGTTGGGAAATATTCCCTTCTTTTAAATGTTCTGGAATCTTGTAGAGGATTGGTATTTTTTTTTTCATTTCATATGAAGCTATAGGTACCTGAAGTTTTCTCTGTTGGAAGGCTTTTAACTACAAATTCAATTTACTTGATACAGGGCTATTCAGGTTATTTACTTGTTCACTGAGTTTTTGTAGTTCGTGTCTTTCAAGGAATTTTTCCATTTCATTTAAGTTATTGAAAAATGTTGGCATACATTTTTTTTTTTTTACATAGGGTCTTACTTTGTCACCCAGGCTGGAGGGCAGTGGTACAAACATGGCTCACTGCAGCCTCAACCTCCTGGGCTCAAGTGATCCTCTCGCCTCAGCCTCCCAAGTGACTGGGACTACAAGTGTGCAACACCACACCCAGCTAATTTTTGTACTTTTTGTGTAGACAAGGTTTCAACATGTTGCCCAGGCTGGTCTCGAATGCCTGAGCTCTAGCAATCCTCCCACCTCGGCCTGCCAAAGTGCTGGGATTACAGGGGTAAGCCACCATGCCTGGCTGACATGCCCCTTTTAAATAATTTTTCCTTATTATCATTTTAGTATTCATAGAATCTGTAATGATTTGCCCTCCTACATTTTCAAATATTGGTATTTGTGTTTTGACTTTTTTTCTTAAATTGGTCTGGTTACAAGTTTATCAATATCTTCTCACTAGGCTATTTTTAAATTTTCTCAATTTTTCTCTGTGTTTTGTTGTTTTATATTTCATTGATTTCTGCTCTTATCTTTATTAGTGCCTTTATTTTACTTAAGTCTGGGTTAATTTGTTCTTTTCTAAGTTTCTTAAGGTAAAATACAAATTTACTGATTTAAAACCTTTTTTCTTTTCTAATATAGGCATTTCAGTGCTATAAATTATTCCCTATATCCTGTTTTGTCAGTATCCCATAAAGTTTTAGATTCTATATTTTTATTTTTATTCAGTTCAAAAGACTTTTCAATTTTCCTTTCTTTGTATCTTTTTTAACCAATAAATAGGTCAGAAATGCTAATTTAAATTTCCAAACATTTAGGAGATGTTCAAGAGATATTCCTCTTATTTCTAATTCAATATCATTGTGGAATTAAATTAACATGGTTTACATGAATTTAATTCTTTAAATGTATTAAGACTTATTTTATGGCCCTCCCATCAGTGAAGATTTTTAAAGGAATAGGGCTCTGCTTATTTTTATTACCTGACATGCTGTTACTTGTTATAGCCATTCTATCTGCCAAAAACATGCAGAAAAAAAGCACACAAATCAATTGGAAAAAAATACATAAATATTAACTATAATGAGACCCCACAATTTGGTCCCATTGTAGTTGTGTAATGTTCAAGTTTCCTATATTCTCTTAAAACTTTCCCAACATTATTGACACTAATAATTCACTTTATAAACACTGATCCTTTAAAAAAATATTCTAGATGTTTCTATATTCAATTTTTTACTCAAGCACTGTACACAATCAACAACAAATACTTCAAAATAAATGAAACACCAGACCCCTCCCTTAATGTAAAACCCTAAGGTGAAGTCTGTGTAAGAAAGCTATTATGATAGTGCCATTTTCTGAGAGAAAAGAAAGGCATGTACAAACGGGCTATGTGAGATAATTCAGGAGGTCATCATATTGAACCAATTCTAAAAGTCCTCTCTTTCTATCAAGGAACATTCAGCTAGACTAGTTGAAATCGGAAAACAATCTTTCAGAATCCTGAGATAACTGTACTCATCATGATCTTGGTAAGGCAGCTCCTGACAAATTAGCACTTCTATAACTGGGTTACTTTCCAATAGAGTTGTTATTTGCATTAAGAATTCAGTATACACTTCATCTTTACATTATTGAAGCTGGCAATATGTCAACCTTATAAACTTCAGCAGAGTCTCTTCTCCTGAAGGGGATAGCACAGTTTGGGAGATGGCACTTTTGACATATATAAAAATTAGAATGGAGTAAGTAATGCTGCATGAATCAATTTTCAATATTTATCACTTTGATTATTGGAGCAAAAAGGGATCAACACTAAAACAACACCTACTATAAACCTGCTTTCAACTTTGTCTCTCTTTACTCTCCTAAGCAATTTTTATCCATATCTGAAAAATAATATTACTGCCAAATGCTCATCTATGGATTGCATTACTACATACAATCCTATATTTTGGCTCTATCAAGGCTTCCCTGCCATGTGTGTTTTTCCATTTTTCTCTTAGATGTGTTTATCCAAACCAAGGGCATCATTAACATAAGCTTACACTTCAATCTCTATCTCATCATGCCCACTTTGCTGCAGTTTGTTAATCTAATTGTAATTTTCAGGAAGCAAGTAAGTAAATAATGGATTTACCACACATATAGGCTAGCCAAGAAAAATGACATTGGATTTGTCTTCACACAAACTGTATACTTTGAAAGTACTGACATAAGATAATCATAAAATATTGTGTACACAGGGATTTGAGCCTGCTATGTCTTTGGGGAATGCTTGATCTGTGGGCTCATTCCAGAACTGGGGGAGCCATGTTTTCAGCATGATTCTAACCATAGACAGAGTGCATTGGCAACTCGATGTTCTTGCTTCCCTGTCAGGTACACACACACACACACACACACACACACACACACACACACACACAGACACACACAACCTGGGCTCTCATCTAAATAAGCCATACAACGTTTATAGGGTGGTTGGTTCAAAATAAAAGCATGTATTTCAGTACGTATTGGACCTTTCAATGAGATAATAATGTCCATGTTTTATAGCCCTTTCAGCACACTTCTATAAAGCTATATAAACATTATACAAGATAAAATTCTTTGTGTTCTGTATAACTGATTGACTACTTCAACCTGATACCTTCTCTTATGCTTTTACGTATCTCTTATTTGTTCATTCTCAAGAATACATTGCCAGCACTAAGGACAAAGATATGGCTTTTAAAAATACCAAATATGAATCTGTTCAAATTATCTGGAAGGAAACACACATAATACCAAAATTTTAAAAATTCCTGTTACAATGTTAAAATTGAGAAGAGTATTTTAGGGAATTGTCCTGATAAATTTCTCTAACTTTATAGTGTGGATGGTATCCTGGTCAATTTCTTCATGTTAACAGGACTTTATCAATCTAATCAATTTTGTCCTTTTACTGTCATCTTTGCATTGCCTATCACAAGTTATTAATTTATTAAGTATTAATTTATAAATATATACATAATTTTTTTTTTTGAGACGGAGTCTCGCACTGTCTCCCAGGCTGGAGGGCAGTGGCGCGATCTCGGCTCACTGCAAGCTCCGCCTACCAGGTTCACGCCATTCTCCTGCCTCAGCCTCCCGAGTAGCTGGGACTACAGGCGCCCGCCACCACGCCCGGCTAATTTTTTGTATTTTTAGTAGAGATGGGGTTTCACCGTGTTAGCCAGGATGGTCTCGATCTCCTGACCTCGTGATCCACCCGCCTCGGCCTCCCAAAGTGTTGGGATTACAGGTGTGAGCCACTGCGCCTGGCCTCATAATTATTATAAATAAAACTGAAACCTGTATAGTTTACCCAGGCAATGGCTCTTTCAAAACTTCTGAATTTTAGTCTTCAAATTTCTTTTGCAATTAGGAATATTTAAGTGATTGGAAATAAAAGACTATCCTGGTATGACTGTCAGTGATAAATGCTATAGTTATGGCATATGTTTTGTAAAAGGGCTGCCAATTTTCACTGTACTAACTATAACCTATTTTAACCTATTTTAATAATATTAAACATATTTATCACTTAAGAATCTATATTAAATAATAAAATATATTTTATGTTTAAATAATAAAATATATTTTATGTTGTATAAATATATACATAAATATATATCTGTTGTATAAATATAGATGTTGTATAAATTATATCTATGTTGTGTGTATATATACAATGTAGATAACTTTACCTTGACATTCTAATACATTACTGAAATAATGGTAACCTGAATATTTCATGATTTGACTATAACTCATTAAAGAAATCACATGGACCTAATTTTCAAGCATTACTCATTCTGGGAATGCTCTACAGAAACAGAGGCATGAGTGCATAAAAACTGGCATATTCCGATTATAAATGTATGGTATCTTGCAGTAGCAAAATGTTGATAACCATTATTCTGAAAACAAGAAATGGCTAAGGAAAATGTGGTGTCCTTCACATTCACTGAGGACACTGGCACATCTATAGTTTTTGACATAGAGACCTCAAGACCTATAGGACCTCAGGAGATTGTACAACATATATTACTACCAAAATGTCAAATCTAAAGCTCATTTACAGTAAAGTTAATTGGTTATGATCAATACATCTTATATAGAAAGATAAATGGATTGATAGATACTTGTATTAGCATAGAAAGTTTTTCCCTAATATAGGGCAGATGATTAAACATATTTCCTCTGGAAAGCATGGGGAAAAGGTTAAAAATACATCTGTCATAAATAATTTTATATTCTTCTATATTGTTAAGCTTTCTTAAAATGAAGTGATTACTCTTGGCAGTAATTTATGGCTGAAACTCTTTGATCTCAGACTAAAAAAGGGAAAATCAGGGAAGCAGGATTAAAAGTTGAAACACATTTTAGCTTTAGTATGTCGAGAACTCAAAAGGTGAAAAGCACTTAAATTTATCAGTTGTGTATTGACTAAGTAATCTCCAAGGAAATCCTTAAGCAAGGAGTTCACTGTTCTGACTTTTGGCTTTATACTTTACCCAACTTCATCAATATTTCCCCAAATTCTAAACTGTACAATGCATGTGGGCCTCTATTAAGATCTATGAGAAACTTCTTTGCATGTGGTGTAGAAATAATCACACTAAATCTTAACAACTATATTTGCTTGTATATTCAATTATGTAGCACATAGAATAGAAAAGCATGAAGGTATCACATTAATTCCCTCTCTGCAAAACAAGAGACATGTGCCAGTTCAAGTGATCTGTCAAAGAAAGTATAAAGAATTGAGTACCAAAATACATGAATATGTGGGGACAATACTGCAATCCTTAAGACTTGAGATTGTTCAGCATGTTTTTATAACAGAGAAAAAAGTATAAGAGAATTTAAGAATATACATAGAAAAAATATAAATGTGTTAAAATAAAAATACTTGAGTAACTACTCATGACATGATTTGCTAAAAAGCCCTGTGCTAAAGAGAGAACCCACTTGATCTATTATGAGGGCATCAATCAACAAGCACCATGTAATACACAATCTACTTGAGACTTTTTTTATGTATTAACCAATATTTTGACTAGTTCGATAAGTTTTTTTTACTTTCTATCGAAGAATAATATACATGTAGAAAAGTGCATACACTAAAATTGTAAAGCTCAATGTATTTGCATGATGCAATCACAGCAAGTACTCAACACACAGATCAAGAAATAAAAATTACATGCATTCTAGAAACCAGCCAGGTGTCTTATATCTATGATTATCTCAGACATGCCATCAAGAGAAGAAAATTTCCTATATAACTTACCTTGTTGCAACAATGAGGAAAAGACTAATTCAAGTCAATATTTAATAATTAAATTAGAAGCAGAAATATAATGTAGTATGACCACAAAGATATTATGAACCATGGAGTCTCTATTCTGAAACCCCAATAATTAAACAGATGGGGAAAATCTGTTAATATTTTGGCACACCTGGATTTCACTACAATACATTTTGATCCAATATGAAATTGCCAAAAATTCTCTTAAATTCTACATTTTTCCATAAAAGCAAAAGAGAGTTAAAATTAAAAGAGAAATGATAAGGATTCAATAGTGTAGGTGACATGGTGAGGGTCTCAATGAGGAAAAGGACATATCATGAAAATGTCCTCCAATAAGCTTCTGAAAAGATGTACAAAACGACCTAAAGACCTAGCAAAGAGCACATGACATATGAATTTCAAAAGATAATGGCTTAGCTACTCACCCCTGTTCTCTGAAGTGGAGGATCAGATTCCAGGCCTTCTATCTCAGCAAAACATGAAAGAAAAAAAAAGCAAAAATAATCTTAGAAAATACTCCACAGTAAAAATAACAAAGCAATAAACTTGGTTCCACTGTCATTATTTAATAGAGGCATGCCATATTTCCTTCTTTCAGCACAACACTAATGAGATTTTCAGACATATCACAGTTGCTTGACCCTTAATTCAATCTTCTAAAGTTTTTCATTTGTTACTTAAGAAATATTTCCTATATGTAAGTATCTATCTACAATTAAAGCAAGTCTTGGGTCACTAGGCACACTAAAGTGCACACTGACTCATAAGACAGGATGCCACTGCCCTCTTCGAAGAGATAGAAAAGGCACGCTCACAGGGGTACTATGTTGTCACTGAGGGATCCCCAAATAGAGCCAGGCTCTGAGAGTCTTATTTGTCCTATTGGAGGGCCGCACATCTGGACCTCAGATTGACATCTGGAATGAGTCCCTCAGCATCCTCAGACAATTATTCTCATCATCGATCCAAACAAGCACCCTCCCAACAAATAAGCGTTTCCACAGCCAGGCTTATTTTGTGCATGGTTATCTAATGCATCATCAGTGAGAACAGTAAATGTACAGTAGACATTTGTTTAGTATCTGAATAATGGAACTCTCATATACATAGCATGAAAAAACATATGACTGAATTGTTCTAATAAAATTAGATTAAAATCTGGCCGGGTGCAGTGGCTCAAGCCTGTAATCCTAGCACTCTGAGAGGCCAAGGCGGGTGGATCACGAGGTCAGGAGTTCAAGACCAGCCTGGCCAAGATGGTGAAACCCTGTCACTACTGAAAATACAAAAATTAGTCGGGCGTGGTGGCAGGCACCTGTAATCCCAGCTACTTGGCAGGCTGAGGCAGGAGAATTGCTTGAACCCAGGATGGGGAGGTTGCAGTGAGCCAAAATCACGCCACTGCACTCCAGCCTGGGCAACAGAGTGAGACTATGTCTCAAAAAAAAAAAATCTATTGGGGGACTTTATAAAAACTCTTTAATTAACTAAAAGTTTAAGGAGTAAGTGGGGTAACAGAATAATATATGGTATGATTACAGTACTAATATGTATAGAAACATCTATGTTATGAATGTGCCAGATAAAGATGTAAAAAAACAATATTTAGAACATGTGAATTTCACTACAAGATTATTTTCACCCAACATGAACAGTGAAAAAAGGAAATATATCAATGATTCTCCACAGTTGTTTAGGTCATCTCAAAAAGAGATTTAAACAAAGAGAAGAAACAATAATAAGGAATCCTTGAACAAGGTAGGGACACCCATGGGGAAATATATCTACCAAAAGAATAATCTCCTTTAAGCCTCTGAAATAATGAACTCACAGTCTTTGACATTCTGACATCATTGCCCACAGAACAAAGAATTTCAAAAGTACCAAAGTGGCTGCTCACCTCTTTTCCCTGAAGTTTCCTTGAAGTTGTTTCAGCTTTTAACCTGCAGCAAAATATCACATAGAAAATAAATCAGATCAGAGAATGCTCCAAATTAATAAAAAATAAAGCACAAGATTGGTTCCATTATAATTTCTTATCATACAGGCATCTCAGCCCTCTACTCCTTGCTACAAACGTCAGCATTGCTTGATCTCATCACCTTTGTCATTTCATTTATAATCTGTTTCCTCCTTGAATTCTTTACTCTGAAAATAGCCAATTTCCTCTCTACCAAGCTATCCAAGTGACACAGTAGTTGTATCTTGAATGGGAAATGCTAAAGTTGTGGTCTACCAATAAAGATTTTATGAAAATACACTGTGCTGTGAAAAATGAAAGACACGTGATAGTGCTATTGTGAGATAATTGAGGAGTTCACCAGTTAGGCCTGCTCCGAATGTGTTATTTATCCTGTTGCAATAGAACAGATGGCCATTCATTCAGCCACACCTCAGCATCTCAGATACTTGTACTTATCCTTGATCCAGACAAGTCTACTACCAATAAGTAAACATTCCTCATACCACACTGATGCTCCTAACATTGTATCCCCTGCATTCAGCTTATAGCAGAAAACAGCACAGGTGGATGTCTGACTTGACTTTAATGAAACTGGCTTTCACAACAGCTCCAGAAGCTTCTCAGAACCCTTTGGTCTAAGCAAAATGTGAAGTGATATTGCAGTGGGATGGCTGTCAATGCTGATATATCTACTGAATATGATAGAAATAAAAAGTCAGGAGTTAACTATGAACTTGGATTATATCATTTAAAAGATTATTAAAGTATGTTAGGATCTATTTGACAGCAGCATACAACATGATATTCCTTCCATCTGACAGGTGTATATTCCCTATCCAGGGTAGAAGACTAGCATACAAATGTCACTAATATTGTGACAAAGTAGAAATAAGACAACTAAACACAGGAGGAGGAAAAAAAAAAAAAGAGGAAAACCGAAAGCACTTTGCATGAGAATAGGGGAGTGCTGAAGAACATCCCCCAAACTGATAAATCAGAAGTAAAAGATTAACTAGGAAAACACAGAACTAACAGAATTAAGAGAGGTACAAAAGTAAACACTCCAACAAAAACAAAAACTCTCCTAAGTATGAATAAATAGGCAAGCAAAGACTACACCGTGACAAAAGAGCGTAGCAAATATAAAGAAAATACAAACACAATAAATATCAGTCATAGCTACACACACACACACACACACACACACACACACGTGAGTGGACTCCACACACCTACTAGAAGAAAAATATTTTCAGTGGGCTCACAAAATAAAACATAATATGTTTTCTATGAGAGATGAATCTAAAACAAATGGATTCTAAAAGACTGAAAATAAAGGGATGGGCGAAAGTATATCAGGCACATGAAAACAAAAAGAGATAGGAGTAATCTTTTTTTTTTTCATGCCAATCGCATGCAAGCGTAGTAATTCTTATATCACACAATGTATTCAAGTCCCACCATGTTAATCAAGGCAAAGAAGGACACTTTTTTTATGCTAAAAGATATAATACACATGAAGATTTGACCCTTATGGAGACTTATATACCAAATAACATAATAACCACCTTTATGAATAAAAAACTGCATGAGATGTATGAGATGTAAGGAGACAAGACATAGATGATCCCATAATAGAAAACTATAATACACCATTATCAGAAAAAGACAGATCAAGTGGGCAAAAATAGCAACATAAAAATAAGGTAGATTTTATGGCTACATATTAAACTTGACAGATAATAGAAGATCTGTGTTGTTCTTAAGTGCCCATGGCATAGTCACAAAAAACTGATTATATATTAGGTTGGAAAGAAAAATTAGTAACTCAAGAAATATTAAAAACTGCACTATCTGATCACAATGCAAAAACATAGACTTTACTAACAATAAGATAAAGGCGCTTTCACCAAGAAATTTTAAAAATATCCTATTAACTCCTGAGTAAAAGGAAAAATATAAACAGAAAATACATATGTTTAAATATGTAAATACATATTTTGTATGTAAATATGTTTTTCTATGCAAATATATATTTACATATTATTTTAAAATATACAACATATGAGAATCTGTAATATGCATTTAAAGGCAGTTCTAGAGGAAAATTCATTGCACTAAATGTTTTTATTTTAAAAAATGAAAAAGATGAATGAAACAATTCAATTTTCATCTTAAAACACTAAAAAAGAACAAAAATAAAAGAAAGTACAAGAAAGAAAGGAATAAGGATCAAAGCAGAAATTAATGAAGATAATATTTTAAAAACCATAGATGTAATTAATAATTGAGAAGCCTGTGGTTTTTAAAAAATATTAACTACATAGGCACTCTACTAGCTAACTTTATCAAAAAAGGGAGAAAATACATATATACAAAATAATGCTTTATGAGCACTTGAATATAATGTGCATTCTGCTATTGTTGGGTGTTGTGTTCTACATATGACAGTGGAGTCAAGTTGGTTAATAGTGTTCTTACATCCACCGTTACTGATTATCTTATCCATGTTCAATCACATACTAAGAAAGGAGCATTGAAATTTCAAACTATAATTGGGAATGGTCAAATTTTTCATTTCACTTCAAAAGCCTGTCTTGGAAACGTAACCCTCAATGCAACAGTGTTTAATAAAGCAACATTTAAAAGGTGATTAGGCGGCCGGGCGCGGTGGCTCACGCCTGTGATCCCAGGGCTTTGGGAGGCCAAGGCGGGCGGATCGCGAGGTCAGGAGAATGAGACCATCCTGGCTAACACGGTGAAACCCCGTCTCTACTAAAAATACAAAAAATTAGCCGGCCGCCGTGGCGGGCGCCTATAGTCCCAGCTACTCGGGAGGCTGAGGCAGGAGAATGGCGTGAACCCGGGAGGCGGAGCCTGCAGTGAGCCGAGATAGCACCACTGCACTCTCGCCTGGGCGAAAGAGCGAGACTCCGTCTCAAAAAAAAAAAAAAAAGGTGATTAGGCTGTGAGAGCTCTGCCCTCATCAATGGATTAATGCTGTTATTTCAGGGGTGGGTTCCTATAAAAGAAGATATTTGTCCCATCCATACCCTCTCTTTGCCCTTCTACCATAGGATGACAGAGTGAGAAGGCCCTTATCATATGCCAGCCCCTTGATCTTTCCAGCCTCCAGAAATGTGAGCCAATAAGTTTCCACTCATTACAAATACCCAGTCTGCAGTATTCTGTTACATCAGAGCAAAATGGACTGACACAGAAAACTGGTAACATAAATGCAGTATCTTTTGTATCTAGATATCCAGTTGTCCTAGCAACATTTGTTGAAAAAACTCTTCTTTCCCATCACAGAGAGGACAATGTCCAGATAACATGGCTTCTTGGGGTGCAGGAAACATAAGGTTCAAAAGCCGGTGCAGGAATCCAGGATGCTAATGCTCCTATTTCAATATGAGGGAAGTCTAGGTCTCACGCTGTGTGAATCAAAAGCATTGTTCAAATCTTGTTGACTAAAAGTAATTGGTCAAGTAAACAGCAATATCCATAGTGATCTGGGAACACACCATTCAGCAGAACTCAAGAATGGGCAGGTCAACTTGGTATTTTTCAGGATTTGAGTCTCTGATATATATGGGTGAAATGAGATAGAACACTTCGCCGCTGATTTTAAAGATTTTAGAAAGGTTAGAAATCTTTTGTAAACCAGCACAATGATCAAATACATCATAGGAAAAAAAGCTGGAGTTTATTTGGGGCAAAGGGATATTAAACCTGGAGATTTTATCCAGCCTGGGAATCTCTGCCTTTTAATTTACATATTTACTGTATTCACATGTAATTTTATTATTTAGTTGAGTTTATTATGTCATTCTTCTTCTCCTCTGTGTCTCATGTGTTTTTGTTCCTCTATTCCTCTTTACTTCTTTTTCATTAAGTAATTATTTTATAATGTAGCATTTAAACTTCCTTAATAATTTTTTTCACTATATGTTTTGAATTTTTTCAGTGGTTGCTCTAGGGTTTACTGCATATATCTTAACTCACCCAAATAAGTTTCTAATTTACACTAGCTTAATTTCAGTCTTATACAGAAATGTTACACCTATATAGCTCTATTCCCTTTTTGCCATCTTTTGTGGTATTATTATACATATTACATTTATTGATGCTATAAGCCAAGAAAGACATTATAATAAATATTAATCTACCATCTGTAGTCATTTCCTTAGTCTTGTATTGCTTTGCATCCACCTATCTTCTTTGGCAAATATATTACACTTTTATATGTTATAGACCCCAAAATACATTATATACATATTATTTTATAGAATTTATTTTAAAATCACTTCAGAGAAAAATTACATTTCTACTGTCTTTTATATTTATATAATTACCTTTACAAGCATTTGCTTTGTAGTTGTTGATTTGAATAACTACCTAGGCTCACTTGCTTTCAGCTTGAATAACTTCTTTAAGTATTTAGAGAACTCTTTTAAGGGGGTTTTGAGAGCAGTAGATTCTCCAACTTTTTTTTTTTTAATTGAGGAAGTCTTTATTTTGCCTTCATTTTTGAAAGACAGCTTTGCCAGGTACAGAATTCTTAGGTGACAGGTTCTTTTTTCTTTGAGCATTTTTAATATGTTATGCCTTTGCTTCTGGCCTCCATTGCTTCTGCTGAAGTCAGCTGTTAATCTTCCTGGGGTTCCCTTGTAAGTAACAAATCATTTTTCTCACACTGCTTTCAAGACTTTCTTCTTGTTTTTGACTTTCAGATATCTTACTGTGATGTTTCCATTTGTCAATCTTTGCATTTATTCATTGGAATTCATTGAGCTTCCTGGATATGTCAGTTATTGTTTTCCACAAATATGGGAGGTTTCAGCCATTATTCCTTCAAATATTTTTTTCTGATCCTTTGTATCTCCCCTGCCTGTCTGGTACTCCCATATGTGTATGCTGGTATGCTTAATGATGTTCCACATTCTCTGAGACTCTCTTTGTTTCTTTATTCTTTATGCTTTCTGTTCTTTTGAACATAATCTCTATTGTTCTATCTTCAAGTTTACTTCTTGTTTCTTCTCCCAGTTCAAATCTACTATTGAGCCTTTCTAATAAATTTTTAAATTTTAGTTATTGTACTTTTCAACTCCAGAATTTTCATTTGGTTCTTTTTAATAATTTCTATCTTTTTATTGGTATTCACTATTTTGTGTGACATTGTCATCATACCTTCACTTTTTTTTTTTTGAGACAGAATCTCACTTGTCACCCATGCTGGAGTGCAATGGTGTGATCTCAGCTCACTGCAGCCTCTGCCTCCTGGGTTCAAGTGATTCTTGTGCCTCAGCCTCCTGAGTAGCTGAGACTACAAGCGTGAGCAACCATGCCCAGCTAATTTTTCTATTTTTAGTAGAGACAGGGTCTTGCCACGTTGGCCAGGCTGGTCTGGAACTCCAGCCAGTGAATAGTGCTGCTATGAACATTCATGTGTATGTATTCATTTGAACATTTGTATTCAATTCTTTTGAGTGTGTACTTAGGAGCAGAATTGTTGGGTTACATGGTAATTTTATCTTTAACTTTTTGAGGAACTGCCAAAATGTTTTCCACTAAATCAGGAGGAAAGAATTGATAAGTGGTCTTCTAGAAGCTAATAGAAACAGGTGAGAGAAACTATATCCCAAATATATTTCTTTATCTTAAGCTCAAACTAGAATACCCCAGAAAAGATAAGGACCAGCCAGTCTAGTTTTCATGTCATCTCATGTCCTCAAGACAACATAAGGTCTTATTGTTGAAACAAGCCATGGAACTCTACAATCACATATTCACTTTGTCTGAAAATACCTACCAGAGTGGCATCCTTAAATCCTGGTTGAAAGTTCACAGGAGACCAAACAGATATCTGGGTGTGTCAGCTGTGCTGGTGTCAACAAGCCAAAGAGTACTCTTCCTCAGTCATCCTTATCTAAGGGGAGGAGGATAAGACAGTAGATCAAGATGACAAATATTACCTCCTGTATGTATGGCTTATGCATGCTATTTCTTAATGAAGAGATATGATTAGTACTGGAAAAACTGATCCATTAGATAGGCTATAGGCCATTTATTCATCAAACAGAATAAAGACTAACTATACAGGTCTCTTGAATTTGGAGAATATCTCAGGTAGTTTAATGCAGAAATAAGACCTTCAATTGATCAGTCTTGTTTACATATTCAAGGAAGCCATATCAATAACAATTGGCATTAACATGTTGCTTGCACTCCATCATATAATGATCATACTGGAGCCAGGTGAAACTCAGATTTTAGAAAACAGACATCATACTACTCATAATTGTATTTAATTTAATGAATGATGGGATATGTATATATCAGAATTAGAACATGTAGCCATAATGCCATAGTCTTTATGTTGTGAGTCATCATCAATAAACCACAAACATTGTAAAAACATAGCAACCTGACATATATAAATTAGAAGTTAATATGTTAACTTCTATATTTAGACCAAATGAGCATCACATCTTAGAGATGATACCAATAATCACAAAACTTGTCAACATTATATCGATGCAATTTTAGTAAAAAATAAAGTTTCCCTCTTGTAGATCCTGGCAAGTATGCTAGTCACTCATTGAGAAGAAGAATGCATAACGATAATCATGTGGCCTGAAGGAACGGCCCTGACTGTCATTCATATAAGTGTCCATAAAGGTCTTATTTACCATTGGCATTATTCACAGCACACACTTTCATCATAATGAAAACGAAGCCAAAGGTACTTGAGAAAGAAAAGTCAGGCACCAGATTGCTCATCAATTTATCTAATTTCAAGTTTCATGGGCAAACACATATTATTGAAACTCACATTTTTATCCCAATTGCAAGGACCCTTAAGTCATAAAGATTCATTAATGATCAAAACATATCCTAGCACTGTTAAAATATTATACTAACATTACAGAAAATTTTGTCTGTATATTTAGACCACGATAACTGTAGCGCATTGAGCAAAATTCCAATGTATCATATTTCTCAACCCTGAAAACAATCAATCGTAGGGCAAAAGTAAGGATTTTCTCATGAGGATTGCATCACATGTGTCAGTCAATCATTGAGAAGAAAACCCTATCGTGATATTCATGTTGTCTGAATGAATAAATCTAATTATTATAGAGCTCAGTCTTCACTAGTTCAATTATCTATTTGAAATTTTTCAGTCAGCAAAGGCAGCCTCTCACCTCCACTCAATAGAATAGTGCCAGTAGGACTTACTAAATCATCCAATGAGAGAAAAAGAGCAAGGGTCTTAGTGCCAAATATCCAAGAAAATTAGGAATTGTAGGAAACTTAAATAGCACTTAAAGAATCAGAATTTATAGTTTACTTAGAAGCACACAGATAGAAGCGTGCAAAACAAGTTTCGCAATAAGATTCCATTGCCAGAATCCCAAAATAAAGTCCCCAATGGAAGGAAACTAAGAAATCCAAACTTCTTGTCTCACAATTGTTACCTAGGCTGGGCCTCAGCGTAATCCAACTGAACTTAATTTTTACGTCATCATTTCTCTTCAAGGTAACATCTCATCATTGACCCAGCCCATGGCACTCATGTGCATATGCACACTTGGATCAAATATGCTTACCAGAGATGGTTTCCTTAAACACTGATGGTAAAGTGGACTGGATGCCACATTTTCAGTGCCAGGCAGTTGAGTGGTGTCAGTTTCTCCCTGAACAACAGGGTAAAGGGTTTTCTTCCTCCACAGTCTTTTCTGTAAAAGACAAGAGTAGGCTATAGTCAAAGGGTGGGATTACATCTCTTATATGTGCATGACTCCTAATTGCTGTTCCTAATTTCTACAAGACTGAGATGTGTGATACTCCAAATATGACCCGTTACTTAAGCTGTGGTAGACCACTGATTCCCCGTGTACAGTAAGGGCCAAGCACATAGGTATCATGTCTTTTGATGACCTGGTAAGGGATTATTTCCCTGCAGAAATAAAAGCTTCTTATCGTCTTCATATCAGTAACAACTGGCATCATACATAGTGTATGCATTTCTTTATAATGAATCTAATGACACCTGAGTGAGACTCAGGATAAGGAAATGAGATTTCAGACTACCTGTATTGTATTCAATTTCAATCAAGGGTAACCTATAGCTGAATCTCAAGCCATTCCCTAAAATTGCCAAAGTCTTTCAGTTGTGAGTAGTGCCTCAATGATCCACAAACATCATAACACCATACACAGCAACCAAAAAATAAAATAATAGAAAAGGATTGTCTATTTGTGCAATCACTAAAGAGTTGATTGCAATGAATTACTAAATGTCACATCTTTAAATCAAAGTACGTTCAGGCAAAAAAAAAAAAAAAAAAAAAAGGAGTTTTAATGAGGACCTCATTAGATCAGTCACTCATTGGAAAGAATAGATCATTGCTCACTAATTTTGTATGAACAGGTAAATGTAATCATTTTGAAGGCCAATGTTTAATATTCAAATGGTCCACTTGAAATTTTTTAATTACGAAAGACAGAACTCATATATATAATCCGTGTAATGACACACCTCTTGCTGGATGAACATTCTGAAGCACACCATGAGGAAAAAATAAACCAAGATATTCTCTCTAATAATGTATGAGTATTAAGAATAAAGACAAGATAAAAGAATTTTAAAAGTTCCTTTAGAAGTAGGTAGAGGCAAATGATGTAAGATTCCCCCAAGGGTTTCTTCCTACCAAGTTCAAAATGGAATAACCCATACCCCCCAAATCTAATGACTTCTCACACCTTCTTGCAAGGATTGGCACTATTTTGAGCCTCAGCTTAATTCTATTGAGCATGATTTTTACATTATTACGTCTCCTGAAGATACTCTTTATACATATATTTACGTTGTCTTGTAAACCCTTACCAGAATAGCATCCTTAAACAACGGTTGCAGGGACAGAGGATCAGTTAAATTCACTGCAGCATGCCTGTGCGGTAGCACTTGCCTCTGTGACAACACCAGAGGGTGCTCTTCTCAGCAGTCTTTATCTACAGGCATAGGAATGGGACCATAGTTCAAAATCAGACATAAATTGTTCATGTGTATATGGCTTACACAGGCTATTTCTTAGTGGACAGATACGGTCCGTACTACCACAAAAAGACATATTACTAAGGCTCTAGACCATTGACTCATCAACATCATAAGGACAAGGTATGCCAGGTTTTTGACACTGAGTAATCTGCGATATTATCATATATCATACTATAGAGATGGTAAACATGACTGAACACATTCCAACATTATTTTAATATAATCTCAGTAAAAAGTGAACATTTTTTGAAAGAATTCCATCAAGTAGGCCAGTCACTCATTGAAAATAAAAACCTATAATGAGATCCATGATTCTAAATTTGTGAACCCAGTCATTTCAAAGTCCATATTAGGAATAAGTGTCATCATTTCTAACATGTGCTTTCATTATTCTGAAAATAGTGGGGTCACATGTGTGAAAGGAAAATAAACTTGGGACCCCAATTTACTACGCCAAGAGAAAAAAAAAATAAGCTGAAAGCTGAGTCATGCAAGAATTTCCTTTTGATCTTAAGCAGATAGCTACAGATTAAAGGTTAAAGATCTCCACAGGTAGCTTCTCTATGTTCACCTTATCTTATGTAAAGTGCTGATTTACTGAGCATGAGATGAATACATTATTGACTATACCCCTACCTGCTCCTTTTGTCTTGGAACATACGGATTATCATACCCTCCCTTTTCCCCCTCCAGCCCACTTTTCCCCTTTAAACACTGAAGCCCTCAAAATCATCTTTGGAGAAAGACATAGACCCCAGACGGTTTCTGTGATTTTGGGTTTATTTCTTCTGAGCATGTGCTTAACCTTGGCAAAATCCACTTCTAAATAAACTTCTAAATCTCAGATACTTTTTGGTTTACACATGATAGGAACTGAAATTTGAGTATCAATTTGGTGATCAAATTACTAAATATTTAAGTTTTATAGGCAAAGTACATACTGATCCTCACATTCTCCTCCCCATTACCACGGTCTCTTCCATTACCATGGTCTCACAGTTACAGAAAGTTCATCAGTAACTCAAAACAGTGAAACACTGTTAGAGCCCCCACAATAATAATATAAAAAATTTTTGTCTAGTCATGTATCTACAGCCAAATGTATATTAAATATTGGACTAGGTAACAGTGAATTTAAAAAATCTTCAATATTGATTGTATGAAGTTCAGATAAAAAGTAAAGATTTTGTCATAAGGATTATATCATAAAGCAAAACTCATATTGAAGTTCAGATTACCTGAAGGTGTAAAACTAATTCCCTTAGGTGGGAGTCTTCCATAGCTCAATGTTCTAGATAGA
Source organism: Homo sapiens (assembly GCF_000001405.40). Taxonomy (NCBI): domain Eukaryota; kingdom Metazoa; phylum Chordata; class Mammalia; order Primates; family Hominidae; genus Homo; species Homo sapiens. The sequence goes on along the minus strand of NC_000015.10, from coordinate 25,266,982 downwards.
ATATACACGTCGGTAAAGGAAGCTACTGATCTTTTATAATAGAATGGCACATCTCTTGGCAGCATGTCTTACTGAAATACACAATAAGAGAAAAAGCCAAAGAATGAGACCTGAATATACCTTACTATTAGAAATTAAAGGTCACTGAAGCAAAGCTTATAGGCTGAGAATTTTTTGTTCATTTATAGGTGCACTGATACAGTTGGGCAAACAAGTTACCCATAAAGATTTTGTTATTTCAAGTTCAAAATAAAATTCCCCTTGAAGGGAAATAAGAAGTCACTATTATCTGTTTCAGCATTTTCATCTAGGTAGGCTGAGCCTCAGCATAATCCTATTGAGTGTAATTTTAAGGCATTATTTCTCACCAAATCAGAAGATTTCATTATTGATGAAAGACATAGTACTCCCCATGCACACTTGAGAAGGCTTCCTGAAGCTGTGATGCTAGGATGCATTGGTGTCAAGAGCATTTTCATTAAAGGACACCTGGGTGCTGTCAACTGTCCCAGTCACAACAGGCCAAAGAGTGCTTTTCTTCCATATCATCATCTAAGGGACAGATGTAGAGCAAATGTCAAAGGGAGAACTACATCTCACCTGTGTATATGAGTCATGTTTGTTAATTGAGCAATATTGACAATACTAAAAAAATGACCCATTATAAAGGTTTTAGTCCACTGGTTCACAAAATATAATAAGGACAAATCATACAGGTCACTTGGCTTTGGAGAAGCAATTCAGTGGTTTTCTGCAGAAACAAAACATCCCATTAATCATCGCTTTATATATTCAAGGAAGCTGTATCAGTAACAATTAGCATGGTTTACTGTATATGAACTTTCATAAAATACAGACACTCTGGAAGCCACTTGCATCTCAGGATCTAGAAATCAGTTATCAGGGCACATGGAGTTGTATTCATTTACATGCATCTTGGCCAAAATGCCCAGTTTTCATATTGTGAACCCTCATCAAATGACCCACAAACATGACAAAATGGAATAACATGAAAATATTATAATAGGTAGAGGTGAAGGCCAGGCACGGGGGCTCAAGCCTGTAATCCCAGCACTTTGGGAGGCAGAGGTGGGCAGATCACAAGGTCAGGAGTTCAAGAACAGCCTGACCAACATGGTGAAACCATGTCTCTACTAAAATTACAAAAAAATTAGCCAGGAATGGTAGCACGTGCCTGTAATCCCAGCTACTCAGGAGGCTGAGGCAGGAGAATCGCTTGAACCTGGGAGGCAGAGGTTGCAATGAGCTGAGATCGCACCACTGTACTCTAGCCTGGGCAACAGAGCGAGACTCCGTCTCAAAAAAAAAAAAAAAAAAGGTAGAGGTTAATCTATGTCTACTCTTATATGTAGATGAAAAGAATATTACATTGTTTCATCATTATTTCAGTAAAATTTCAATAAAAAGACTTGTTTTAATCATGAGGAAGCCATAAAGAATGTCAAGTCACTTACTGAGGAGTAGAATGCCCACTGGGACACATATGTTGCCGCTTTGGTGAACCTACTCACCTCAAAGGCCCTTTCAGGACCAACTGGAAGCATTCACAGCCTGTATTTTCATTATACTGAAAATGATGAAGTCACATGATATTTGGGGTTTATAATTCAGATACTAGTTTACCCATCAACTTATTCAGTTCTCTGTTTCATGAGGAAAGCAAATTACTGATGTTACATATTTGTGTCCACTGGCATGATATTTCTGTTATGAAAAGTTTACCAGTGAGTAAACTGGCCATACCATTACAATATCTTAACACTTTTAAGGTAAAACAAGAAAAAATTTGATGTAGTTGTATATATGTACCCAAGTGAACACTGCATGTTAGATTGGGCATTATTAATCAAGTGAAACAGAAAATAAATTAATATGTTCTCAACTTTCAATCCCACCAAATTCAGGTAAAAAGTAAAGATTTTGTCATAGCATCATATCAGATAGGTCAGTCACTCACTGAGAAGAAAATCTATACTGAGATCCAGATTTTTTAAATGAGTAAACATAATAGCCTTAAGAGAGAATCATCACTAGCCTAGTGATCTATTTTGAATGTATGTGTGACGAAGGCAGTCACTCTGCTTTCATTAATGGGATGATTGCATCTCTTGCAGCACTGAAAGATACAATGAAAGATACAATGAGAGAAGAAGAACCAAGGAATGAGTCCTAAATGTCTCATACTATTAGGAATTATAAATAATGGAAACAATGCTTAAAGGATGAAAATGTGTTGTTTACCCAAAAATGCATACACAGGGTTTGGCAAAGCAAGTTCGCCACAATGGTGTCTTTTTCTCAAGCTCCAAAATTATTCACCTAAAAGAAACAAGGATTTCTAACTTCTTGTCTTAGGTTTGTCACTTATGTTAAGTCTCCACATAATCCTATTGAACATAATTTTTATGTCATCTTCCCTGTCGAAGACAATATAACATCTCCATATTGCCCCAAGCCAGGGGGTTAATCTATGGAGTCATCTCCCCACAAAGGCAGAATCATAGATATTAGCATGCTTATCAGAGATAGATTAATGTTCTATGGTGGATTGGAGTTGCTACATATTCAGTGCTGGATATCTGGATGGTATAAATTGCCCTGGGTGCAGCAGGCCAAGTGGTGCTCTTCCTTTGCTCTCACCTAAGAAGAGAGTAGGCCAGGTGTCAAAAAGGAAAACATTGTTTCCCATAGTTATATGGCTCATGCATGGTTTTCCTTAATGGAGCAAAATGGTCAGTACCCCAGAAATAGCCCATTATGTAGTCTATAGACCACAGATTCACCAAACACAAGGACAACATATACAGGTTTCTTGACTTTGGAGAATCACTGGTGTGGTATCATGCAGAACTGGGATGATGCCACTGATCATCCCTTCTCTATGTAATTGAGGTGGCCATATCAGAAGCAATCGCCATGGTCACTTGCCATTTCACACTCATAACATGAAACTTCTAAAGCCACATAAAACTCAGCTTCCAGAAATCAGATATCAGGCCACTCAGAATTGTATTCATATTTTATTATTTCTTTTACTTGCTTACTTTGAATTTAATTTGAATTTTCCCCCTAGCTTTCCAATGGGAAGGATTATTTATTTAGATCTTTGTTCTTTTTAACATACATTCAGTGGTATAAATTTCCCAGTAGGCACTGCCTTTGTTGCGTTCCTAAATTTTTGATAAGTTGTGCTTTCAATTCCATTTAGTTTGAAATATTTTAAAAATTTATCTTGAGACTTCTGTGACCTTCAGTTATTTCAGTCTGTTGTTTAACCTCCAAGTATTTTCATGTTTTTCAGCTATCTTTTTTAGTGATTTTTGTTTACTTTCATTCCATTGTAGTCTGAGAACATACTTTGTATGATTTCTATTCTTTTAAATTTGTTGAGGTGCATTTTCTAGCCCAGAATGTGGTCTATTCTGCTGAATGTTTCATGTGTGTGTGAGAAAATGTGTCATCTGCTGTTGTTGGGTAAAGTGGTCCATAGATGTCAGTTACATATAGTTGACTGAATCAAGTTTTTGATCATGATTGATCATGTTATGCCCTTACTGATTTTCTGCTTGCTAAACCTGTCCATTTCTGATAGAGGGATGCCAATGCCTCCAACTCTAAGAGTGAATTTATCTATTTCTCTATGCAGTTCTATCAGATTTAGCTTCATGTACTTTGATGATCTGCTGTTCAGTGCGTACACATTAAGGATTGTTATGTCTTCTTAGAAAACTGATCCCTTTATCATTAAGGAATGTCCCTTTTGATCTCTGATAATATTCCTTGTTCTAAAGTCGGTTGTGTCTGAAATTAATATGGCTATTTCACTTTATTTTGATTAATGTTAGCATGGGATATCTTTCTCTATTCCTTTACTGTGAATATATTTGTGCCTTTATAAAGTAGATTTACTTACTTTTTTCTATAGAGATGAGGTCTTATTCTGTCAACCAGGCTAGAGTGCAGTGGCATGATCATAGCTCACTGTAGTCCCAAAATCCTGGGCTCAGGTGACACTCCGCCTTGGCCTCCTAAGGACTGCAGGTGCACACCACCATGCCCAGCTATTTAAAGTGCATTTCTCATAGACAACATATATTTGGGTCTTGTTCTTAATCCACTGACAATCTCTGTCTTTTAAGCGATGTTTAAAGTGATTATTGATATACTTAGATTAGTATACTCAGTATTTGTGATTGTTTTCTATTTATATCAACCTTGTAATTTGTTACTTTTTTGGTATTCTACTCTTTTTCTCCTCTCCCTGATTTTAATTGAGCATTGTATAAGATTCTGCTTTTTCATACAAAAAATTAGCCAGGCATGGTGGTGCACACCTGTAATCCCAGCTATTCGGGAGGCTGAGCCCGGAGAATTGCTTGAACCTGGGAGGTGGAGGTTGTGGTGAGCTGAAATCGTGCCATTGCACTCCAGCCCGGGCAACAAGACCAAAACTCCATCTCAAAAAAAAAAAAAAAAAAAAAAAAAAAAAGATTCTGCTTTTTCTTTTCGTTTTCTTTGTTTTTGTTTTTGTTTTTTTTTGTTGTTGTTGTTGTTTTTTTGAGACAGAATCTTGCGGCTGTCTCCCAGGCTGGAGTGCAGTGGCGCAATCTCGGCTCACTGCAAGCTCTGCCTCCCAGGTTCACACCATTCTCCTGCCTCAGCCTCCTGAGTAGCTGGGACTACAGGCGCCCGCCACCATGCCCAGCTATTTTTTTTTTTTTTTTGTATTTTTAGTAGAGACGGGGTTTCACCGTGTTAGGCAGGATGGTCTTGATCTCCTGACCTCGCGATCCACCCACCTCGGCCTCCCAAAGTGCTGGGATTACAGGAGTAAGCCACCGTGCCCGGCCTCTTTTTCTTTTTCTTTTTTTTTTTGGGGGGGGTGGAGGGTAGAGATGGGCTCTTATTCGTTGCCAGGCTGGACTTGAACTCCGGGGCTCAAGTGATCTTCCTGCCTCAGCATCCCAAAGTGCTGGGATTACAGACATGAGTCACCATGTCTGGCCTGATTCTGCTTTTTCTTCTGTTAGTATATTGATTATACTGCTTTTTTCAAAATCATTTTTAGTGGCTGTGCTGGATATTACATTATACGTTTACAACTAATCCAAGTCCTTTTTCAAATTATACTGTCCTACTTCGTGGGTTAGTCCAAGTAACTAAGAGTATTTTCTCTCCCTCATGACTATATATATATATATATATATATATTTCATACTTTAAGTTCTAGGGTACATGTGCAAAACGTGCAGGTTTGTTACATATGTATACATGTGCCATGTTGGTGTGCTGCACCCGTTAACTCGTCATTTACATTAGGTATATCTCCTAATGCTATCCCTCCCCCCTCCCCCCACCCCACGGCAGCCACTCGTGTGTGATGTTCCCCACCCTGTGTCCAAGTGTTCTCACCGTTCAATTCCCACCTATGAGTGAGAACATGCAGTGTTTGGTTTTTTGTCCTTGCGATAGTTTGCTGAGAATGATGGTTTCCAGCTTCATCCATGTCCCTACAAAAGACTTGAACTCATCCATTTTTATGGCTGCAAAGTATTCCATGGTGTATATGTGCCACATTTTCTTAATCCAGTCTATCGTTGATGGACATTTGAGTTGGTTCCAAGTCTTTGCTACTGTGAATAGTGCCACAATGAACATACATGTGCATGTGTCTTTATAGTAGCATGATATATAATCCTTTGGGTATGTACCCAGTAATGGGATGGCTGGGACAAATGGTATTTCTAGTTCTAGATCCTTGAGGAATTGCCACACTGTCTTCTACAATGGTGGAACTAGTTTACCATCCCACCAACAGTGTAAAAGTATTCCTATTTCTCCACATCCTGTCCAGCACCTGTTGTTTCCTGACTTTTTAATGATTGCCATTCTAACTGGTGTGAGATGGGATCTCATTGTGGCTTTGATTCGCATTTCTCTGATGGCCAGTGATGATGAGCATTTTTTCATGTGTCTTTGGCTGCATAAATGTCTTCTTTTGAGAAGTGTCTGTTCATATCCTTTGCCCACTTGTTGATGGGGTTGATTTTTTTCTTGTAAATTTGTTTAACTTCTTTCTAGATTCTGGATATCAGCCCTTTGTCAGATGAGTAGATTGTAAAAATTTTCTCCCATTCTGTAGGTTGCCTGTTCACTCTGATGGTAGTTTCTTTTGCTGTGTAGAAACTCTTTAGTTTAATTAGATCCCATTTGTTTATTTTGGCTTTTGTTGCCATTGCTTTTGGTGTTTTAGTCATGAAGTCCTTGCCCATGCCTATGTCCTGAATGGTATTGCCTAGGTTTTCTTCTAGGGTTTTTATGGTTTTAGGTCTAACATTTAGGTCTTTAATCCATCTTGAATTAATTTTTGTATAAGGTGTAAGGAAGGGATCCAGTTTCAGCTTTTTACATATGGCTAGCCAGTTTTCTCAGCACCATTTATTAAATAGGGAATCCTTTCCCCATTTCTTATTTTTGTCAGGTTTGTCAAAGATCAGATGGTTGTAGACATGTGGTATTATTTCTGAGGGGTCTGTTCTGTTCCACTGGTCTATATCTCTGTTTTGGTACCAGTACCATGCTGTTTTGGTTACTGTAGCCTCGTAGTATAGTTTGAAGTCAGGTAGTGTGATGCCTCCAGCTTTGTCCTTTTGGCTTAGGATTGACTTGGCAATGCAGGCTCTTTTTCGGTTCCATATGAACTTTAAAGTAGTTTTTTCCAATTCTGTGAAGAAAGTCATTGGTAGCTTGATGGGGATGGCATTGAATCTATAAATTACCTTGGGCAGTATGGCCATTTTCACGATACTGATTCTTCCTATCCATGAGCATGGAATGTTCTTCCATTTGTTTGTGTCCTCTTTTATTTCGTTGAGCAGTGGTTTGTAGTTCTCCTTGAAGAGGTCCTTCACATCCCTTGTAAGTTGGATTCCTAGGTATTTTATTCTTTGAAGCAATTGTGAATGGGAGTTCACTCATGATTTCACTCTCTGTTTGTCTGTTATTGGTGTATAGGAATGCTTGTGATTTTTGCACATTGATTTTGTATTCTGAGACTTTGCTGAAGTTGCTTATCAGCTTAAGGAGATTTTGGGCTGAGACGATGGGGTTTTCTAAATATACAATCATGTCATCTGCAAACAGGGACAATTTGACTTCCTCTTTTCCTAATTGAATACCCTTTATTTCTTTCTCCTGCCTGATTGCCCTGGCCAGAACTTCCAACACTAAGTTGAATAGGAGCGGTGAGAGAGGGCATTCCTGTCTTGTGCCAGTTTTCAAAGGGAATGCTTCCAGTTTTTGCCCATTCAGTATGACATTGGCTGTGGGTTTGTCATAAACAGCTCTTATTATTTTGAGATACGTCCCATCAACACCTAGTTTAGTGAGAGTTTTTAGCATGAAGCGCTGTTGAATTTTGTCGAGGCCTTTTCTGCATCTGTTGAGATAATCATGTGGTTTTTGTCTTTGGTTCTGTTTATATGATGGATTATGTTTATTGATTTGTGTATGTTGAACCAGCCTTGCATCCCAGGGATGAAGCCAACTTGATCGTGGTGGATTAGCTTTTGATGTGTTGCTGGATTCGGTTTGCCAGTATTTTATTGAAGATTTTTGCATCGATGTTCATCAGGGATATTGGTCTAAAATTCTCTTTTTTGTTGTGTCTCTGCCAGGCTTTGGTATCAGGATGATGCTGGCCTTATAAAATGAGTTAGAGAGGATTCCCTATTTTTCTACTGACTGGAATAGTTTCGGAAGGCATGGTACCAGCTCCTCTTTGTACCTCTGGCAGAATTCAGCTGTGAATCCCTCTGGTCCTGGACTTTCTTTGGTTGGTAGGCTATTAATTATTGCCTCAATTTCAGAGCCTGTTATTGGTCTATTCAGAGATTCACCTTCTTCCTGGTTTAGTCTTGGGAGGGTGTATGTGTCCAGGAATTTATCCATTTCTTCTAGATTTTCTAGTTTATTTGCATAGAGATGTTTATAGTATTCTCTGATGGTAGTTTGTATTTCTGTGGGATTGGTGGTGATATCCCCTTTATCATTTTTTATTGCATCTATTGGATTCTTCTCTCTTTTCTTCTTTATTAGTCTTGCTAGTGGTCTATCAATTTTGTTTATCTTTTCAAAAAACCAGTTCCTGGATTCATTGATTTTTTGAAGGGTTTTTTGTGTCTCTATCTCCTTCAGTTCTGCTCCAATCTTAGTTATTTCCTGCCTTCTGCTAGCTTTTGAAAATGTTGGCTCTTGCTTCCCTAGTTCTTTTAATTGTGATGTTAGGGTGTCAATTTTAGATCTTTCCTGCTTTCTCTTGTGGGCATTTAGTGCTATAAATTTCTCTCTACACACTGCTTTAAATATGTCCCAGAGATTCTGGTATGTTGTGTCTTTGTTCTCATTGGTTTCAAAGAACATCTTTATTTCTGCCTTCATTTCATTATGTACCCAGTAGTCATTCAGGAGCAGATTTTTCAGTTTCCATGTAGTTGAGTGGTTTTGAGTGAGTTTCTTAATCCTGAGTTCTAGTTTGATTGCACTGTGGTCTGAGAGACAGTTTGTTATAATTTCTATTCTTTTACATTCGCTGAGGAGTGCTTTACTTCCAACTATGTGGTCAATTTTGGAATAAGTGCGATGTGGTGCTGAGAAGAATGTACATTCTGTTGATTTGGGGTGGAGAGTTCTGTAGATGTCTATTAGGTCTGCTTGGTGTAGAGCTGAGTTCAATTCCTGGATATCCTTGTTAACTTTCTGTCTTGTTGATCTGTCTAATGTTGACAGTGGGGTGTTAAAGTCTCCCATTATTATTGTGTGGGAGTCTAAGTCTCTTTGTAGGTCTGTAAGGACTTACTTTATGAATCTGGGTGCTCCTGTATTGGGTGCATGTATATTTAGGATAGTTAGCTCTTGTTGTTGAATTGACCCCTTTACTATTACATAATGGCCTTCTTTGTCTCTTTTGATCTTTGTTGGTTTAAAGTCTGTTTCATCAGAGACTAGGATTGCAACCCCTGCTTTTTTTTGTTTTCCATTTGCTTGGTAGATCTTCCTCCATCCCTTTATTTGGAGCCTATGTGTGTCTCTGCACATGAGATGGGTCTCCTGAATACAGCACACTGATGGGTCTTGACTCTTTATCCAATTTGCCAGTCTGTGTCTTTTAATTGGAGAATTTAGCCCATTTACATTTAAGGTTAATATTGTTATGTGTGAATGTGATCCTGTCATTGTGATGTTAGCTGGTTATTTTGCTCGTTAGTTGACGCAGTTTCTTCCTAGCATCAGTGATCTTTACAATTTGGCATGTTTTTGCAGTGGCTGGTACTGGTTGTTCCTTTCCATGCTTAGTGCTTCCTTCAGGAGCTCTTGTAGGGCAGGCCTGGTGGTGACAAAATCTCTCAGCATTTACTTGTCTGTAAAGTATTTTATTTCTCCTTCAATTATGAAGCTTAGTTTGGCTGGATATGAAATTCTGGGTTGAAAATTCTTTCATTTAAGAATGTTGAATATTGGCCCCCACTCTCTTCTGGCTTGTAGAGTTTCTGCTGAGAGATTTGCTGTTAGTTTGATGGGCTTCCCTTTGTGGGTAACTTGACCTTTCTCTCTGGCTTCCCTTAATATTTTTTCCTTCATTTCAACTTTGGTGTATCTGTCAATTATGTGTCTTGGAGTTACGCTTCTCAAGGAGTATCTTTGTGGCATTCTCTGTATTTTCTGAACTTGAATGTTGGCTTGCCTTCCTAGGTTGGGGGAGTTCTCCTGGATAATATCCTGCAGAGTGTTTTCCAACTTGGTTCCATTCTCCCCATCACTTTCAAGTACACCAATCAGACGTAGATTTGGTGTTTTCACATAGTCCCATGTTTCTTTTTTACTTTGTTTTACTTTTTTACTTTTTTAGGCTTTGTTTCTTTTTACTCTTTTTTCTCTAAACTTCTCTTCTTGCTTCATTTCATTCATTTGATCTTGAATCACTGATACCCTTTCTTCCACTTGATCAAATCGGCTACTGAAGCTTGTGCATGTGTGACGTAGTTCTTGTGCCATGGTTTCAGCTCCATCAGGTCATTTAAGGTCTTCTCTATGCTGTTTATTCTAGTTAGCCACTCATCTAATCTTTTTTCAAGGTTTTTAGCTTCTTTGCGATGGGTTTGAACCTCATCCTTTAGCTCAGAGAAGTTTGTTATTAGCGATCATCTGAAGCCTACTTCTGTCAGCTCGTCAAAGTCATTCTCCGTCCAGCTTTGTTCCATTGCTGGCAGGGAGCTGCATTCCTTTGGAGGAGAAGAGGTGCTCTGATTTTTAGAATTTTCAGTTTTTCTGCTCTGGTTTCTCCCCATCTTTGTGGTTTCATCTACCTTTGGTCTTTGATGATGGTGACGTACAGATGGGGTTTTGGTGTGGATGTCCTTTCTCTTTGTTAGTTTTCCTTCTAACAGTCAGGATCCTCAGCTGCAGGTCTGTTGGAGTTTGCTGGAAGTCCACTCCAGACCCTGTTTGCTTGGGTATCACCAGTGGAGGCTGCAAAACAGCAAATATTGCAGAACGGCAAATGTTGCTGCCTGATCCTTCCTCTGGAAGCTTCGTCTCAGAGGGGCACCCAGCTGTATGAGGTATCAGTCAGCCCCTACTGGGAGGTGTCTCTCAGTTAGGCTACTTGGGGGTCAGGGACCCATTTAAGGAGGCAGCCTGTCTGTTCTCAGATCTGAAACTCTGTACTGGGAGAACCACTACTCTCTTCAAAGCTGTCAGGGATGTTTAAGTCTGCAGAAGTTTCTGTTGCCTTTTGTTCTGCTATGCCCTGCCCCTAGAGGTGGAGTCTACGGAAGCAGGCAGGCCTCCTTGAGCTGTGGTGGGCTCCACCCAGTTCGAGCTTCCCAGCCGCTTTGTTTACCTACTCAAGCCTCAGCAATGGTGGATGCCCCTCCCCCAGCCTCACTGCTGCCTTGCAGTTTGATCTCAGACTACTGTGCTAGCAGTGAGCAAGGCTCCGTGGATGTGGGACCCTCCAAGCCAGGCACGGGATATAATCTCCTGGTGTGCCGTTTGCTAAGACAGTTGGAAAAGCACAGTATTAGGGTGGGAGTGTCCCAATTTTCCAGGTACCATCTGTCACGCTTCCCTTGGCTAGGAAAGGGAATTCCCTGACCTCTTGCACTTCCCAGGTGAGGTGATGCCTCGTCCTGCTTCGGCTTACACTCCATGGGCTGCACCCACTGTCCAACAAGCCCCAGTGAGATGAACCTGGTACGTCAGTTGGAAATGCAGAAATCAACTGTCTTCTGCGTCACTCACACTGGGAGCTGTAAACTGGAGCTGTTCCTATTCGGCCATCTTGGAACCGGATGACTTATAATATTGCTGTCATTCATTTCACTTTTCCATAACCTATAATCACCAAATATAATCTTGTTATTATTTTGAACAAATTGTTGAAAGATCAATTATGAATCAAAAAATACATATATATTTAATTTTTCTTCATATATTTCTTCTCCAATGCTTTTCATTTCTTTATGTAAATTAGATTTTCCGACCTATGTCATTTTTATCCTTTCTGAAGAATTTCTTGTTACGTTTATTAAAAGGTTGGTGTAGTGGCAAGAAGTTCTAGCAATTTTTGTTGGTCTCAGAGAGTATTTCTCCTTCACTTTTGAAGAATAATTTTGATGAGCAGAAAATTCAAAGTTGGTACTTTTTTTTGTTTCTTACTTTTAACACTAAATATTTCACCCTGACTCACTTCTTGCTTTCATGGATTCTGAAGATAATTTCAAAGCAATTTTTATTCTTGTTGCTCCATAGGTAAGATGGTTTTCTTCCTATTGCTCCTATCAAGCTTTTCCCTTAGTCTATGATTTTCTGGACTTTAAATATGAAATGCAAAGGTGTCGATTTGTAAAATATTTTTATTCTGCAGAGTGCTCTCTGAGCTTCCTGAACATGTGGGTTTCTGTCCATCATTAATTTTAGAAAGTGCTCAAGTCATTGTTGTGTCAAATATTTCTTTTCCTTTATCTCCTTATTCTCCTGACATTGTCACTATGCATTTTTACACTTTTTGAAATGCTTCCAGAGTTCTTGGATATTTTTTACTTTCTCATTCTTTTTTCCCTCTGCATTGCAATTTGGAAATTTGTATTGATATTTCTTCAAGGGAACTAACTCCTCCTACAATATAAGCAAGAGCATTGATGAGCACAAAAAAAGGCACTTATTGTAAATTCTATGCACTGTAAATTCTATACACTGTAAATTCTATACACTGCTGTTGACGTCAAGCCTTTTCTAATGATTCTGTCCTAGAGTTTCCTTCTCCCGACTTACATTACCTACCTGTTATTCCTTGTTACCTACTTTCTACCTTAGAGCACTCAGCATGTAACTCATGTTGTATTAACCCTATCATGTGATTACTGCAACATTTCAGCCAATACCAATCTAATTCTTTAGCTAGATCTTCCACTTCAGAAGGTGTTCTTTAAATTTCTAAGCATTGCAATTTGTATTGAAGGCAAAACATGATATAAGGAGAAACGCAACTGAGACAATCCATTATCGAAAGATTTTATATTTCTTTGAAAAACCATCAATATGATAAGGTCATATCAATGAATTTCTGTGGTTATATCAAAATAAATGTCCTCTGCTGTGCTTGTCTACTTTCTCGTCTTTAGATTTCCATACAATCTGTTTCAGTAAAGTAGGAGATAGGCAGTGCATTCAACTGTAGTCCCCAATTAAAAAAAAAACTGGCAAAAATTATGCACAATCATATAATGTACAGAAAAAAAGCATATTTCTGAACAACTACAATGAGACTGTGTATTCCAACTAAAACACTATCAAATTAGGAAGTAAATAAAAATGAAAAATACCACCACCAATAAAACATTTGCTGCTGCCTTTGTGAAAGTAAAATACACAAAGCGGTAAAAAATACAAAGAGAACACACAAAAAGCACTGAAGAAAATGAAATACAAAGAGCTGCCACAACACCCATCACATAACCTCTCCTCGAGACAAAATAAGGTTCTCATCATCAACCTAACCGAGGGCACCCCCGTCACCGTGCAGGTAACCAGCGGGACCTGGACAAGCTCACCACCGCTCAATGCAGGACACCAGGCTGCCAAGAAAAGCCCAAGCTCCAGCACACCAAGGGCTGTGCACCTGGCTGACAGACACTGTCCTGATGAAAGGTGACAGCGTGCTGGCAGTCCTCACAGCCCTCACTTGCTCTTGGCGCCTCCTCTGCCTGGGCTCCCACTTTGGTGGCACTTGAGGAGCCCTTCAGCCCACTGCTGCACTGTGGGAGCCCCTTTCTGGGCTGGCCAAGGCCGGAGCCTGCTCCCTCAGCTTGCAGGGAGGTGTGGAGGGAGAGGCGCAAGTGGGAACCGGGGCTGCGCGGGGCGCTTGTGGGCCAGCTGGAGTTCCGGGTGGGTGTGGGCTTGGCGGGCCCCACACTCGGAGCAGCGGGCCGGCCCTGCCGGCCCCAGGCAATGAGGGGCTTAGCACCCGGGCCAGCAGCTGCAGAGGGTATACTGGGTCCCCCAGCAGTGCCAGCCCACCGGCGCTGCACTTGATTTCTCACCGGGCCTTAGCTGCCTTCCCTCGGGGCAGGGCTCGGGACCTGCAGCCTGCCATGCCTGAGCCTCCCACCCCCTCCATGGGCTCCTGTGCAGCCAGAGCCTCCCCGACGAGTGCCGCCCCCTGCTCCACGGTGCCCAGTCCCATCAACCACACAAGGGCTGAGGAGTGCGGGCGCATGGCGCAGGACTGGCAGGCAGCTCCACCTGCAGCCCCAGTGCGGGATCCACTGGGTGAAGACAGCTGGGCTCCTGAGTCTGGTGGGGCCTTGGAGAACCTTTATGTCTAGCTCAGGGATTGTAAATACACCAATCGGCACTCTGTATCTAGCTCAAGGTTTGTAAACACACCAATCAGCACCCTGTGTCTAGCTCAGGGTTTGTGAATGCACCAATCGACACTCTGTATCTAGCTTCTCTGGTGGGGCCTTGGAGAACCTTTATGTCTAGCTCAGGGACTGTAAATACACCAATCCGCGCTCTGTATCTGGCTCAAGGTTTGCAAACACACCAATCAGCACTCTGTGTCAAGCTCAGGGTTTGTGAATGCACCAATAGACACTCTGTATCTAGCTACTCCGGTGGGGACTTGGAGAACCTTTGTGTCAACACTCTGTATCTAGCTAATCTAGTGGGGACATGGAGAACCTTTGTGTCTAGCTCAGGGATTGTAAACGCACCAATCAGCGCCCTGTCAAAACAGATCACTCAGCTCTACCAATCAGCAGGATGTGTGTGGGGCCAGATAAGAGAATAAAAGCAGGCTGCCCCAGCCAGCAGTGGCAACCCACTTGGGTCCCCTTCCAAACTGTGGAAGCTTTGTTCTTTCACTCTTTGCAATAAATCTTGCTACTGCTCACTCTTTGGGTCCACACTGCTTTTATGAGCTGTAACACTCACCGCGAAGGTCTGCAGCTTCACTCCTGAAGCCAGCGAGACCACAAACCCACCAGAAGGAAGAAACTCCGAACACATCCGAACATCAGAAGGAACAAACTCCAGACATGCCACCTTAAGAGCTGTAACACTCACAGCGAGGGTCCGCAGCTTCATTCTTGAAGTCAGTGAGACCAAGAACCCACCAATTCCGGACACACTGGGACCAGCGGGCCGAACGCAAGTCCTCCTCCGGGCTCACCACCTGGTGGGACAAGAGGAAGACAGCTGTCCACACAGGGCCTCACAGCTCCATGAGAAGAAGTGGGAAGGGGGCGCTGGCTCACGCATGCTCATCCTCTATGGACCCACGTAATGGGATCCACGTGGAACACTGACCCATCACGGATGCAGGGCACCCTTGGCCCTCCCTGCCACAAAATCCTGGAAAGACAGGGCAAGCAGGTCACTGGGATCAGGCAAGATGCCTGGGCTGCACCCTACTGCAGGCCCCAAGAGCACCTCCACTGCCTGGGCCAGCTCCACTCAACCACCCCAGGGCCACACCAGGACCACGGGGCATGGGCCAGGGCAACCAAGCAGCTGATGGCCAACCAAGGAGGCTGGTCCTGATGCCAGGAGCCAATGCAGACCTGGCAGTCGCAGAGCCTGCCCTTGGGCATGGTGGGTGCCGGCCCTGGTGCCCACTCCAAGCAGGCACTGGAAATCAAAGCCTGGGGGCCTCCAGAGCCACATGCTTTCTATGGTGAGTCCCCATCAACGACTCAACCCCAGGGAAAAAAACACCACCCCCCATCAGGCTCCAGGAGGCCCACTGGAATGGCGTATTTCTCAATGGACAATTCCAATCAGGGCCATGGGTGAGGCACCATCCTTGAATCTCCATGACCCAACCCCAAGGGCAGATTCAAGCACCACACTCCATGGACAAAGAGCTCCCCTCTAACCCCCTCAGATGGCCTGAGAAATCCTCCAGGCCTGACCTGAGCACTGAGTCTCAACAGAACGCTGCGCTGGGTGGGGCTGAAGGAACTCTTTCCTGCCTGGACCACCGTCACTCCTGCAGAGATCAGGGAAGTTATCCTCCTTGGGTCCAATTCCCAAAAAAGCGGCCCTCCTGGAGAACCCATACCTCTCTGATGGGAATTCAGGTTGGTTCCCTGAGGAAACCCTCTTATCCCAAAGGCTGACCCTTGGTGACCCCACATGGACCGGTTCATGGCCCATGACACAAGCAGGATCCACTCACCTATGCCAGTCAATGCCGGGGGCCCGCCCGGGTGGAAGAGCTCACTGAAAGACACAAGGGGAGAATGGGGGCTCAGGAAGGAGCCACCAACCGGCCCCAACCCCGGGGAACAGGAGCCCGACACCAAGCCCCCTCAGGGAGCCTGGGCTGCCTCCTGGAGGAGCAGAGAGACAGGGTTGGACCTTCCAGATGGCCCTCAGGGCCTGCAGGTGTCCAGCGCAAAATACAGTGGCCATTCCGGGGAGCCCAGTGTCCTCTTCCAAAATTCTCACCTAGGCTGGGCCTCAGCGTAATCCTATTGAGCATGATTTTTAAGTCATCACCGCTCTTCAGGACAATATAAGGTTCTCATCATTGACCCAACCAAGGGCAACCCCCACCCCAAGCATGCATCCATGTGCTCACCACAGCTCAGTGCAGGAGACCAGGGTGCCAGGGAGGGTCCAAACTCCAGAGCACTGGGGGATTAGCACCAGGCTGATGGACACTGGCCTGGGGCCTGTGGGGGTCCAACACAAGTCTTCCTCCAGACTCACCATCTGAAGGGACAGGAGGAGGACATGTGTCCAACCAGGGCCTCACATATCAGTGCAGGGAGGGTGGGTAGGGAATACCCATATGATGGGGATCCATGCAGAACACTGACCCAACATGGGCACAAGGCACCATTGGCCCTCCTGGCCACCAAACCTTAGAAAGACAGGGTAAGTGGGTCACTGGGCTGGGGCAAGATGCCTGGGCTGCACTCTACTGCAGGCCCTGAGAGCACCTTCACGGCCTGGGCCAGCTCCCCTGAACAACCCCAGGGCCACACCAGGACCATGGGGCATGGGCCAGGGCAACCAACCTGCTCCTGGCCAACCAAGGAGCCTTGGCCAATCAGGAACCACATGGTGTCCTCTCCTTTTCTTGGACTCAAGACCCCACTACCCTGGAGGTGACCCCATGGCTCAGAAGCAGCCTGGATGGCAAATTTCCAGGACAGGTCCCTGAGCAGCAGGCCTTCCCACCATAGGAGGCTACCCTTTCCACCACTGGACCTCAAGGAAGGGATGACACCAGCGGGACACAAGCTGCCCCCTTGGCCCAAGGAAGGGCCGGCCTGCAGTACCACCAGGCGCCCAGTCAGAGCTCAGCTTTGACTCAACCTTATTGAAACAGCAACCCACCCCCAACAGGCTCAAGGAGGCGCCATTAAGATGGCCCATTACTCAACAGAGTTGGTCCCATTCAGGGCCAGGGGTGGGGGCATTCCTTGAATCTCCGCCACCTGACTGTGGGCCCAATCACCCACCACTCTTCAGGGAGGGAGAACTCCAGTGTGAGCCCCAGGGAGCCCCAGAGCTTCTGTGTCCCCCATCATGAAGCCTGGGCAGTCCTCAAGGCCTGACGAGCCCACCAAATTTCAGCTGGGAGCTGCTGTATGTTGGGCTGAAGGAACGCTTTCCTGCCTGGACCACCATCACCTTTGCAGGGCTTCAGGAAATGCGTGCTCCTAGGGTCAGATTCCCAAGGAAGTGACCCTACTGGAGCAATGTTCCCTCCCCGGGGGCACCTGGAGAAAACGCTAGTGGCCTGAAGGCTGACCCTCGATGACCCCACACTGCCTCATTTATGGCCCATGACCGCAACAGGATACACTCACCTATACTGCTTAAGGGCATGGGCCCCACCTGGGCAGAAGAGCTCAATAGAAGACACAGGGGAGAACGTGGGCTCAGGAAGGAGCTGCCAACATGCCCTATCCCCAGGAAGCAGAGCCTGGACACCAAGTCAACACAGGGAGCCTGGGCTGCCTCACGGAGGGGCACAGAGACAGGGCTAGGACCCCTGAGATGCCCTTTGGGGCCTCAAGTTCTTCAGTATAAAATACAGTGGCTAGTGGCCCTGCCGGGGATCTTGGCATCCCAGCGCTCCCTTCCAAAATTCTCACCTAGCCTGGGCCTCAGCGTAATCCTATTGAGCATGATTTTTAAGTCATCACCTCTCTTCAGGACAATATAAGGTTCTCATCATTGACCCAATCAAGGCCCTCCCCATGCATGCATCCAGCAGAACCTGGATGTGCTCACCACAGCTCAGTGCAGGAGACCAGGGTGCCAGGGAGGGTCTGAGCTTCAGCGCACTGGGGGATGAGCACCAGGCTGACAGACACTGGCCTGGGGCCTGTAGGGTCCCAATACAAGTCTTCCTCCAGGCTCACCATCTGGGGTGGTGACAGGAGAAGGACATGTGTCCAACCAGGGCCTCACATATGAGCGAGGGGAATGTGGGTAGGGGATACCCATGTGATGGAATCCATGAAGAACACTGACTCATCACAGACACAGGGCACCATTGGCCCTGCTGGCCACCAAACCTTGGAAAGACAGGGAAGGTGGGTCACTGGGCTGGGGCAAGATGCCCTACTGCAGGCCCCAACAGCACCTCCACTGCTCGGGCCGGCTCCCCCGAACAACCCCAGGGCCGCACTGGGACTATGGGGACGGGTGAGGGCAACCAACCTGCTCATGGCCAACCAGCGAGTCTGGCCCTAACACCAGGAGCCAATGCAGACCTGGCCATTGCAGAGCCTACCCTGGGCATGGTGGGTGCCCACCCTGGTGCCCTCTCCAAGCACACACCAGAAATCAAAGCCTGGGGGCCTCCAGGGCCACGTACTTTCTCTGGTGGGTCCTCATCTTGCCCTACACCTCCCACACACAGAGCCAGGTCCCACTTGGTCAATAAGAAACCACATGGTGTCCTCTCCTTTCCTTGGGATCAAGACCCTACCACCCTGGAGGTGACCCCGTGGCTCAGAAGCAGCCTGTGTGGCAAATTCCCAGAACAGGTCCCTCGACAGCAGGACTTCCCACCTCAGGAGGACATCCTTTCGGCCACTGAATCTCAAGGAAGGGGAGACCCCAGAGGGACGTGAGCTGGCCCCTTGTCCCAAAGACCACAACCCCCAGGGCTGCCTGCAGCACCACCAGGCACCAGCCAGAGCTCAGCCTTGATTCAACTGCATTGAAACAGTGCCTCCCCCTACCAGGCTCAAGGAGGTACCACTGAGATGGCCCATTACTCAACAGGGTCGGTCCCATTCAGGGCCATGGATGGGGTGCAGTCCTGAATCTCCGGGGCCTGTCTGCGTGGGCCCAATCACCCACCACTGTCCAGAGAGGGAGAACTCCAGCGTGACCCCCAGGTTGCCCCAGAGCCCCTGTTGCCCACCTCATGTGGCCTGGGCAGTCCTCGAGGCCTGACCAGCCCGCTGAGTTTCAGCTGGGAGCTGCTCTATGTTGGGCTGAAGGAACCCTTTCCTGCCGGGACCACCATCACCTTTGCAGGGCTTCACGAAATGCATGCTCCTAGGGTCAGATTCCCAAGGAAGTGACCCTACTGGAGAAACATTCCCTCCCCGGTCGCACCCTGAGAAAACCCTAGTGGCCCGAAGGCTGACCATAAATGGCCCCATGCTGCCTCATTCATGGCCCATGACCCCAACAGGATACACTCACCTATGCCGCTTAAGGCCATGGGCCTCACCTGGGCAGAAGAGCTCACTGAAAGACATGGGGGAGAAAGCAGGCTCAGGAAGGAGCCACCAACATGCCCCACCCCCAGGGAACCAGAGCCCGGACACCATGCCCACACAGGGAGCCTGGGCTGCCTCATGGAGGGGCACAGAGATAGGGTTGGACCCCCCTGAGATGCCCTTCAGGGCCTCAAGTTCTCCAGCCCAAAATATAGTGGCCCTGCCAGGGATCTCGGGATCCCAGCATCCTCTTCCAAAATTCTCACCTAGGCTGGGCCTCAGCGTAATCCTATTGAGCATGATTTTTAAGTCATCACCTCTCTTCAGAACAATATAAGGTTCTCATCATCGACCCAACTGAGGGGATCAATCACCTCGTGCATGCATCCAGCAGGACCCGGATGTGCTCACCACAGCTCAGTGCAGGAGACCAGGGCGCGAGGAAGGGCCCGAGCTTCAGCGCATCAGGGGCTGGGCAACAGGCTGATGGCCACTGGCCCAGGAACAACAGGCCCAATGCAAGTCTTCCTCCGGTCTCACCATCTGGGAGAGAGGTGGAGAACATGTGTCCAAAGTTACCTCCATGTAGGGAAGGAGGTAGGACGTGCCAGTTCACACTTGCTTATCTTCCACGGACACATGTGATGAGAGCCATGTGAAATACTGACTTGTCACCAACACGGGGCACCCTTGGCCCTGCCTGCCACCGAACCCTGGAAGGACAGGGCAGGTAGTTCATTGGGCTTGGGATAAATGCCCAGGCCGTGCCATGCTGCAGGCTTTAAGAGCACCTCCACTGCCCAAGAGGCCTCCGCTGCATGACACCAGGGCTTCCCTGGGATCACTGGGCACAGGCCAGGGTCATTAGCCAGGTCATGGCCAACCAAGAAGGCTGGCCAAGATGCCATGCGCCACTGCAGACCTGGCAGTTGCATAGCCTACCCCGGGCATGTGGGGCACGCATACAGGCGCCCTCTCTAAGCATGCACTGGAAATCACAGCTTGAGTCACATGCTTTCTTTGGTGGGCCACCATCCATACCCCGCATATCTCCGACACACTTGAACAATCAGGAGACACATGGTGCCCTCTCCATTGCTTGGGCCCAAACCTCCATCACCCTGGAGGTGACACAATGGATTCCAAGCAGCCTGAGCAACAAAATCCTAGGAAAGGTCCCTCGACAGTGGGCCTTCCCTTCTCAGGAGGTCACCCTCTATGACGCTTGATCTCAGAGATAGGGTAATCTCCAGCGGGATGCGGGCTGCCCCTCGGCCCAAAGCCCACGAGTCCCAGGGCTGACCTGCAGCACAACCAGGTATGGGCCAGAGCTCTGCCTTGACTCAACCCCAGGAAGACAACGCCACCTCCCATCAGGCTCCAGGAGACCCACTGGAATGGCCCATTACTCAACAGGGACGGTCACATTCCAGGCCATGGGTGGAGCACAATCCTTTTATCTCCAAGACCTAACCCTAAGGGTCCATTCACACACCACACTCTAGGGACTGAGAGCTCCCATGTGACCCCCGTGGCACCCAGAGCCCCTCTGGACCCCCTCGTGTTCAGGCAGTCCTCAAGGACTGACCCGAACACCGAGTGTCAGCTAGGAGCTGCCTTGCCCGGGCTGATGGAACCCTTTCCTGCCTGGACCACCGTCACCCCTGCAGGGCTTCAGGTATCCTCCTTGGGTCTAATTCCCAAAAAAGCTGCCCTCCTGGAGAACCCGTCTCTCCCAGGTGGGAATTCAGGTCGGCTGCCTGAGAAAACCCTTGTGGCCCAAAGGCTGAACCTCAGCGACCCCACATGGCCTGGCTGATGGCCCATGACCCCAGCAGGATGCACTCACCTATGCCAGTCAATGCCAGGGGGCCCATCTGGGAGGAAAAGTTCACTGAAAGACACAAGGGAGGAATGGGGGCTCAGGAAGGAGCCAGCAATGTTCCCTGGCCCCAGGGAACTGGAGCACCAACACCAAGCCCGCAGAGGTAGCCTGGGCTGCCCCAAGGAAGAGCACAGAGACAGGGTTGGGCCTCCTTCCAGATGCCCTTCAGGGCCTCCAGGTCTCCAACCCAAAATACAGTGCCCTGTTGGAGATCTCGGGATCCCAGTGTCTTCTTCCAACATACTCACCTAGGTTGGGCCTCAGCGTAATCCTATTGAGCATGATTTTTAAGTCATCACCTCTCTTCAGGACAATAGAAGGTTCTCATCACTGACCCAACCAAGGGCAAGCCCCTCTCCATGCATGCATCCAGCGGAACCTGAATGTGCTCACCACAGCTCAGTGCAGGAGACCAGGGTGCCACGGAGGGTCTGAGCTTCAGCACACTGGGGGTGAGCACCAGGCTGACGGACACTGGCCTGGGGCCTGTGGGGGCCCAATACAAGTCTTCCTCAAGGCTCACCATCTGGGGTGACAGGAGAAGGACATGTGTCCAACCAGGGCCTCACGTATGAGCAAGGGGAAGGTGGGTAGGGGATACCCACGTGATGGAATCCATGAAGAACACTGATCCAACACAGACGCAGAGCATCATTGGCCCTCCCGGCCACCAAACCCTGGAAAGACAAGGCAAGCAGGTTACTGGGCTCAGGCAAGATGCCTGGGCTGTTCCCTACTGCAGGCCCTAAGCGCACCTCCACTGCTTGAGCCGGCTCCCCTGAAAAACCCCAGGGCCACACTGGGACCATGGGGATGGGTCAGGGCAACCAACCTGCTCATGGCCAACCAATGAGTCTGGCCCTGACACCAGGAGCCAATGCAGACCTGGCAGTCGCAGAGCCTGCCCTGGGCGTGGTGGGTGCCCAACCTGGTGCCCTCTCCAAGCACACACCGGAAATCAAACCCTGGGGGCCTCCAGAGCCACGTGCTTTCTCTGGTGGGTCCTCATCTTGCGTTACACCTCCCACACACAAAGCCAGGCCACACTTGGTCAATAAGAAACCACATGGTGTCCTCTCCTTTCCTTGGGATCAAGACCCTACCACCCTGGAGGTGACCCCGTGGCTCAGAAGCAGCCTGTGTGGCAAATTCCCAGAACAGGTCCCTCGACAGCAGGACTTCCCATCTCAGGAGGACACCCTTTTGGCCACTGAATCTCAAGGAAGGGGTGACCCCAGTGGGATGTGAGCTACCCCTTGTCCCAAAGACCACAACCCTCAGGGCTGCCTGCAGCACCACCAGGCACCAGCCAGAGCTCAGCCTTGATTCAACTGCATTGAAACAGTGTCTCCCCCTACCAGGCTCAAGGAGGTACCACTGAGATGGCCCATTACTCAACAGGGTCGGTCCCATTCAGGGCCATGGATGGGGTGCAGTCCTGAATCTCCGGGGCCTGTCTGCGTGGGCCCAATCACCCACCACTGTCCAGAGAGGGAGAACTCCAGCGTGACCCCCAGGTTGCCCCAGAGCCCCTGTTGCCCACCTCATGTGGCCTGGGCAGTCCTCGAGGCCTGACCAGCCTTCCGAGTTTCAGCTGGGAGCTGCGCTATGTTGGGCTGAAGGAACCCTCTCCTGTCTGGACCACCATCACCTTTGCAGGACTTCAAGAAATGCGTGCTCCTAGGATCAGATTTCCAAGGAAGTGACCCTACTGGAGAAATGTTCCCTCCCCGGTCGCACCCTGAGAAAACTCTAGTGGCCCGAAGGCTGACCCTAAATGGCCCCATGCTGCCTCATTCATGGCCCATGACCCCAACAGGATACACTCACCTATGTCGTGTAAGGCCATGGGCCCCACCTGGGCAGAAGAGCTCACTGAAAGACATGGGGGAGAAAGCGGGCTCAGGAAGGAGCCACCAACATGCCCCGCCCCCGGGGAACCAGAGACCAGACACCAAGCCCACACAGGGAGCCTGGGCTGCCTTACAGAGGGGCACAGAGACAGGGTGGCACCCCCTGAGAGGCCCTTCAGGGCCTTGAGTTCTCCACCCCAAAATATAGTGGCCCTGCCTGGGATCTCAGGATCCCAGCATCCTCTTCCAAAGTTCTCACCTAGGCTGGGCCTCAGCGTAATCCTATTGAGCATGATTTTTAAGTCATCACCTCTCTTCAGGAAAATATAAGGTTCTCATCATCGACCCAACCCACGAGACCAACCACCTCTTGCATGCATCCAGCGGGACCCGGATGTGCTCACCACAGCTAGTGCAGGAGACCAGGGTGTGAGGAAGGGCCTGAGCTTCAGCGCCTCAGGGGCTGGGCAACAGGCTGATGGCCACTGGCCCAGGAACAGCAGGCCCAACACAAGTCTTCCTCCCGTCTCACCATCTGGGAGAGAGGTGGAGAACATGTGTCCAAAATGGCCTCTATGTAGGGAAGGAAGTAGCGGGTGCCAGTTCCCGCTTGCTCGTCCTCCATGGGCACATGTGATGAGATCCATGTGAAATACTGACTTGTCACTGACATGGGGCACCCTTGTCCCTCCCTGCCACCCAACCCTGGAAGGACAGGGCAGGTAGGTCACTGGGCTCGGGCCAAATGCCCAGCCTGCGCCATATTGCAGGCCCTGAGAGGACCTCCACTGTCCAAGAGGGCTCCCCTGCATGACCCCAAGGCACGGGCCAGGGCCATTAGCTAGGTCATGGCCAACCAAGAAGGCTGGCCCAGATGCCATGTGCCACTGCAGTCCTGGCAGTCACGTAGTCTGCCCCTGGGTGTGGTGGGCTCACATCAAGATGCCCTCTCTAAGCATGTACTGGAAATCACAGCTTGGGGCTGCAGGGCCACGTGCTTTCTCTGGTGGGTCACCAGCCATGCTCTGCACACCTCCCACCACAGAGCTAGGCTACACTTGGCCAACTCAGAGCGACATGGTGCCCTCTCCTTTGCTTGGGCCCAAGACCCTGTCACCCTGGAGGTGATACCATGGCTCAGAAGAAGCCTGAGCAACAAAATCCTGGGACAGGTCCCTCGACAATGGGCCTTCCCACCTCAGGAGGCCACCCTTCGTGACATTCGACCCCAGAGATAGGGTGACCCCCCAGCAGGATGCCAGCTGTCCCTTGGCCCAAAGCTTACGAGTCCCAAGGCTGACCTGCAGCATGACCAGGTACCAGAGCTCCACCTTGACCCAACCCCAGGGAAAAAACGTCGCCCTGCACCAGACTCCAGGAGACCCGGTGGGATGGCCCATTGCTCAATAGGGATGGTCACTTTCAGGGCCATGGGTGGGGTGTGATCCTTGAATCTCCGTGACCAAACCCCATTCACACACCACACTCCAGGGACCAAGAGCTCCCCTATTACCCCAGTGGTGCTCCATAGCCCCTCTGGCCTCCTTCATGTGGCCTGGGCAGTCCTGGAGACCTTACTGGAGCACTCAGTCTCAACTGGGAGCTGTCCTGCATTGGGCAGAAGGAACCCTCTCCTGCCTGGACCACCATCACCCTTGCAGGGCTTCAGGGAAGGCATCCTCCTTGGGCTAGATTCCCAAAAAAACTACCCTCCAGGAGAACCCTTCCCTCCCAGGTGGAAATTCAGGTCTGCTCCCCGAGAAAACCCTTGTGGACTGAAGGCTGAACCTCGGGGACCCCACACGGTCTAGCTCATGACCAATGACCCCAGCAGGATCCACTCACCTATGCCAGTCAATGCCAAGGGGCCCTCCTGGGTGGAAGAGCTCACTGAAAGACACAAGGTGAGAATGAGGGCTCAGGAAGGAGCCACCAACATTCCCCACACCAGAGAACCGGAGCACCAACACCAACCCTGCACAGGGAGCCTGGGCTGCCTCATGGAGGAGCGCAGAGACAGGTTGGGCCACCTCCAGATGCCCTTCAGAGCCTCCAGGTCTCTAGCCCAAAATACAGTGGCCTTGCTGAGGACCTCAGCATCCCATAATCCCCTTCCAAAATTCTCACCTAGGCTGGGCCTCAGCGTAATCCTATTGAGCATGATTTTTAAGTCATCACCTCTCTTCAGGACAATATAAGATTCTCATCATTGACCCAACGTAGAAAACCCCCTCCCCGCACAAAAATCCAGTGGAACCCGGATGTGCTCACCACAGCTTAGTGCAGAAGACTGGGGCACCAGGAAAGGCTGGAGCTTCAGTACACCAGGGGCTGAGCACCTGGCTGATGGACACTGGCCCAGGAAAAGTGGGCCCAATGGAAGTCTTCCTCCAGTCTCATCATCTGGGGGCACAGGTGGAGGACATGTGACCACCCTCCACGCGGAGAAGGGGGTGGCTGGTGCCAGCTCATGCTTGCTCGTCCTTCATGGTCACGTGTGATGAGATCCATGCAAAATACTGACTCGTCACCAATGTGGGGCACCCTTGGCTCTCCCTGCCACTGAACCCGGGAAGGACAAGGCAGGCAGGTCACTGGGCTTGAGCAAAACACCCAGGCTGTGCTGTACTGTAGGACCCGAGAGCACATCCACTGCCCAAAACGGCTCCCCTGCACGACCCCAGGGCTACCCTGGGACCACTGGGCACAAGCACAGGCCACCACCCAGGTCACAGCCAACGAAGGAGGCTGGCCCATATGCCAGGTGCCCCTGCAGACCCTGAAGTGGCATAGCCTGCTCCTGGGCATGGTGGGCATGCATATAGGCACCCTCTCCAAGCCTACACCAGAAATTACATTCTGGGACTGCAGGGCCACTTGCTTTCTCTGGTGGGTCCCCATCCATACTCCACACACTTCCCAGGCACAGAGCCAGCCACACATGGCCAATTGGGAGCCACGTAGTGTCCCCTCCTTTGCTTAGTCCCAAGATCCCGCCACCCTGGAGGTGACACCATGGCTCCCAAGCAGCCTGAGGAACAATTCCTAGTCTAGGTGCCTTGACAGTGGGCCTTCCCACCTCAGGAGGCCATCCTTCACGACACTCAACCTCGGAGAAAAGGCGACCCCCAGCAGGATGCGGGCTGCCTCTTGGCCCAAAGCCCACGAGTCCCAGGGCTGACCTGCAGCACCATCAGGTACCAGTCAGAGCTCCGCCTTGACCCAACCCCAGGAAAACAATGCCACCCCACACCAGGCCCCAGGAGACCCACTGGGATGGCCCATTGCTCAACAGGGATGGTCGCATTCAGGGCCGTGGGTGAGATGCAATCCTTGAATCTCCGTGACCCAACCCCATGGGCCCATTCATGTACCACACTCCGGGGGCCAAGAGCTCCCCTGTTGCCCCCATGGTTCCCCATAGCCCCTCTGACCTCCTTCATGTGGCCTGGGCAGTCCTCGAGCCCTTACCAGAGCACCAATTCTCAGGGGGGCACTGCCCTGCATTGGGCCTCGAGTTGGGCAGAAGGAACCCTTTCCTGCCTGGACCACCATCACCCCTGCAGGGCTTCAGGGAAGGTGTCCTCCTTGGGTCTGATTCCCAAAAAAGCTGCCTCCTGGAGAACCCATCTCTCCCAGGTGGGAATTCAGGTTGGCTGCCTGAGAAAACCCTTGTGGCCCAAAGGCTAAACCTCAGCAACCCCACACAGACTATCTAGTGGCCCATTATCCCAGTAGGATGCACTCACCTATGTCGGTCAATGCCAGGGGGCCCACCTGGGTGGAAAAGCTCACTGAAAGACACAAAGGGAGAATAGGGGCTCAGGAAGGAGCCACCAACCCGCCCTGTCCCTGGGGAACCAGAGCACCAACACCAAGCCCACACAGGGAGTGTGGGTTGCCTCACGGAGGAGCACAGAGACAGGGCTGGGCCCCCTTCCAGATGCCCTTTAGGGCCTCCAGGTCTCCAGCCCAAAATACAGTGACCCTGACTGGGATCTCAGGATCCCAGCCGTCCTCTTCCAAAATTCTCACCTAGGCTGGGCCTCAGCGTAATCCTATTGAGCATGATTTTTAAGTCATCATCTCTCTTCAGGACAATGTAAGGTTCTCATCATTGACCCAACTCTGGGCAGGCCCCTCCCCATTCATGCATCCAGCAGGACCCGGATGGGCTCACCACAGCTCAGTGCTGGACACCAGGGTGCCAGGAAGGGTCTGAGCTTCAGCGCACTGGGAGCTGAGCACCTGGCTGATGGACACTGGCCTGGGGCCTGGGGGCCCGACACAAGTCTTCCTCCAGGGTCAGCATCTGCAGGGACAGGAGGAGGACATGTGTCCAACCAGGGCCTCACATAACAATGCACAGAAGTTGGGTAGGGGATACCCTTGTGATGGGATCCATGCAGAACACTGATCCATTTCAGATGCGGGGCACAGTTGGCCCTCCCTGCCACCAAACCCTGGAAAGACAGGGCAAGTGGGTTACTGGGCTCGGGCAAGACACCTGGGCTGCGCCCTACTGCAGGCCTTGAGAGCACCTCCACTGCCGGTGCTGTCTCCCCAAACAACCCCAGGGCTGCACCAGGACCACAGGGCACAGGCTAGGGCAACCAACCTGCTCATGGCCAACCAAGGAGCGTGGTCTTCATGCCAGGAGCCACTCCAGACCTGGCAGTCACAGAGCCTGCCCCTGGGCATGGTAGGGCTGCCCTGGTGCCCACTGCAAGCACACACCAGAAATCAAAGCCTGGGGGCCTACAGGGCCACATGCTTTCTCTGATGGGTCCCCATCCATGCCCTGCACACCTCCCACACACAGATCCAGGCCACACTCCCAGTCAGAAACCATATGGTGTCTCCTTTCCCTGGGCTCAAGACCCTGCCACCCTGGAGGTGACTCCATGGCTCAGAAGCAGCCTAGGTGGCAAATTCCCAGGACAAGTCCCTTGACAGCAGGTCTTCCACCTCAGGAGAACACCCTTCCTGCCACTGAATCTCAAGGAAGGGGTGACCCCAGAGGGATATGAGCTGCCCCCTTGGCCCAAAGCCCATGTGGGCACCACCGGGCACCAGCCAGAGTTCAGCCTTGACCCAACCGCATTGAAACAATGCCACTACCTACCAGGCTCAAGGAGGCACCATTAAAATGGCCCATTGTTCAACAGGGTCAGTCCCATTCAGGGCCATGGGTGGGTAGCATTCCTTGAATCTCCGCAGCCTGATCGCATGGGCCCTATCACCCACCCCTCTTGGGGCAAGAACTCCAGCATGACCCCCAGGGCACCCCAAATCCCCTGTGGCCCCCATCATGTGGCCCGAGCAGTCCTTGAGCCTGATCTGCCACCGAGTTTCAGCTGGGAACTGCATTATGTTGGGCTGAAGGAACCCTTTCCCGCCTGGACCACCATCACCCTGCAGAGCTTCAGGAAATGCATGCTCCTAGAGTCAGATTCCCAAGGAAGCGACCCTCCTGGAGGAACCATCCCTCCTGATGGGTAACCTGTTGGCTCCCTGAGAAAACCCCAGTGGCCCAAAGGCTGACTCTCGACGAACCGACGCTGCCTCACTCATGGCCCATGACCCTGACAGGATGCTCTGACCCATGCCGCTCAAAGCCAGGGGCCCCACCTGGGAAGAAGAACTTACTGAAAGACACAGGGAAGAAGGAGGGCTCAGGAAGAGGATGCCAAATTGCCCCACCCCTGGGGAAGCGAAGCATGGGCACCAAGCCCGCAACGGGAGCCTGGGCTGCCTCACGGAGAAGCACAGAGACAGGATTGCCCCCCCACAAGATGCGCTTCAGGTCTTGAAATTTTCCAGCCCAAAATAAGTGTGGCCCTGCCGGGGATCTCAGGATCCCAGCCTCATCTTCCAAAATTCTCACCTAGCTTGGGCTTCAGCATAATACTATTAAGCATGATGTTTAAGTCATCACCTTTTTTCAGGACAATATAAGGTTCTCATCATCAGCCCAACCCAGGGTACACCCCTCCCTTTGCATGCAAACAGTGGAACCCGGATGTAACCCCAGCTCAGTGCAGGAGCTGAGGGTGCCAGGAAGGGCCTGAGCTTCAGCACACTTGGAGCTGGGAACCTGGCTGACTGACACTGGCCCAGGAACAGCGGGCATAATGCAAGTCTTCCTCCAGTCTCACCATCTAGGGGGACTAGAGGAGGATATGTGTCCAAAATGACCTCCATGTGGGGAAGGCAGTGGGGGGTGGGGGCTCACATTTGCTTGCCCTCCAAGGAAAAATGTGATGTGATCCATGTGAATTACTGAGTCGTCACGGATGCGGGGCACCCTTGGCCCTCCCCGCCACCAAACCCTGGAGGAACAGAGCAGGCGGGTGACTGGGCTCAGGCCAAATGCCCAGGCTGCACTGTACTGCAGGCCCTGACAGCACCTCCACTGCCCAACATGGCTCCCCCACACGACCCCAGGGCCGCCCTGGCACCACTGGCCACAGGCCAAGGCCACCAGCCAGCTCACGGCCAACCAAGGTGGCTGGCCCAGATGCCACACGTGGCTCAGGCTGCAGACCTGGCTATCACGTAGTCTGCCCCTGGGCATGGTGGGCACAAATCAAGACACCCTCTCCAAGTGTGCATTGGAAATCACAGCCTGGGATGCAGGGCCACGTGCTTTCTCTGGTGGGTCACCGTCCATGCTCTGCACACCTCCCGCACACAGAGCTAGGCCATACTTGGCCAATCCAGAACGACATGGTGCCCTCTGCTATGCTCAGGCCCAAGACCCTGCCACTGTGGATGTGACGCCATGGCTCAGAAGCAGCCTGAGCAACAAAATCCTGGGACAGATCCCTTGACAGTAGGCCTTCTCACCTCAGGGGGCCACCCTTCATGACACTTGACCATGGAGATAGGCTGACCCCAAGCGGGATGCGGGCTGTCCCTTGGCCCAAAGCCCAAAAGTCCCAGGGATGATCTGCAGCACCACCAGGTACCAGCCAGAGCTCCACCTAGACCCAACCCCAGGGAAACAACACCACCCCCCGACCAGGCTCCAGGAGACCCACTGAGATGGCCCATTGCTCAAGAGGAAGAGTCACATTCAGGGCTGTGGGTAGGGTGTGATCCTTGAATCTACACAACCCAATCCCATGGGTCCATTCAGGCACCACACTCCAAGGACCAAGAGCTCCCCTGTTACCCCTGTGGCACCCTGTAGCCCCTCTGGCCCCCCTCATATGGCCTGGGCAGTTCTGGAGGCCTTACCAGATCACCGCATCTTAGCTGGGTGTTGCCCTGCATTGAGCAGAAGGAACCCTTTCCTGCCTGGACCACCATCACCCCTGCAGGGCTTCAGGGAATGGGTCCTCCTTGGGTTAGGTTCCCAAAAAAGCCACCCTCCAGGACAACCCTTCCCTCCCGGGTGAAATTCAGGTCTGCTCCCTGAGAAAACCTTTGTGGCCCAAAGGCTGAACCTTGGGGACTCCACATGGTCTGGCTCATGACCAATGACCCCAGCAGGATCCACTCACCTATGCCAGTCAATGCCAGGGGGATGTCCTGGGTGGCAGAGCTCACTGAAAGACACAAGGCGAGAACAGGAGCTCAGGAAGGAGCCACCAACATTCCCCATGCCAGGGAAATGGAGCACCAACACCAATCCCACACAGGGAGCCTGGGCTGCATCACGAAGGAGCAGAGACAGGTTGGGCCACCTCCAGATGCTCTTAAGAGCCTCCAGGTCTCTAGCCCAAAATGCAGTGGCCTTGTTGGGGACCTTGGGATCCCATAATCCTCTTCCAAAATTCTCCCCTAGGTTGGGCCTCAGCGTAATCCTATTGAGCATGATTTTTAAGTCATCACCTCTCTTCAGGACAATATAAGGTTCTCATCATTGACCCAACCCAGGGAAGCCCCTCCTCGCAAAAAAAACTTCCAGTGGAAGCCAGATGTGCTCAGCACAGCTCAGTGCAGGAGACTAGGGTGCCAGGATGGGCTGGGTCTTCAATGCACTGGGGGCTGAGCACCTGGCTGATGGACACTGTCCCATGAAAAGTGGGCCCAATGGAAGTCTTCCTCCAGTCTCACCATCTAGGGACACAGGTGGAGTACATGTGACCACCCTCCATGGGGAGAATGGGGTGCGTGCCAGCTCACGCTTGCCCCCACCTCCATGGACACGTGATGAGATCCATGCAAAATATTGACTTGTCACCAATGTAGGGCACCCTTGGCCCTCCCTGCCACCGAACCCAGGAAGGACAAGGCAGGCAGGTCACTGGGCTCAGGCAAAATGCCCCCAGGCTGTGCCATACTGCAGGCCCCAAGAGCATTTCCACTGCCCAAAACAGCTCCCCAGCAAGACCCCAGGGCAGCCCTGGGAACACTGGGCACAGGCACGGGCTACCAGC
This sequence comes from Homo sapiens, assembly GCF_000001405.40. Lineage (NCBI taxonomy): Eukaryota > Metazoa > Chordata > Mammalia > Primates > Hominidae > Homo > Homo sapiens. The sequence goes on along the minus strand of NC_000015.10, from coordinate 25,235,574 downwards.
CAGGTCACGGCCAACCAAGGTGGCTGGCCCAGATGCCACGTGGCACTGCAGACCTGCAGTGGCAAAGCCTGCCCCTGGGCGTGGTGGGAGCAGGTATAGGCACCCTCTCCAAGCCTGCACCAGAAATCACATCTTGGGGCTGCAGGGCCACTTGCTTTCTCTGGTGGGTCCCCATCCACACACCTCTCAGACACAGAGCCAGTCACACATAGCCACTGGCAGCCACATGGTGCCCTCTCCTTTGCTTGGTCCCAAGATCCCACCACCCTGGAGGTGACAACATGGATCCTAAGCAGCCTAAGCAACAAATTCTCAGTACAGGTCCTTCGACATTGGGCTTTCCCACCTCAGGAGGCCACCCTTCACGACACTCGACCTCAGAGAAAGGGTGACCCCCAGAGGGATGTGGGCTGTCCGTTGGCCCAAAGCCCACGAGTCCCAGGGCTGACCTACATTACCACCAGGTACTGACCAGAGTTCCACCTTGACCGAACCCCAGGGAAAAAACGCCACCCCCCACCAGGCTCCAGGAGGAGAGTCACATTCAGGGCCATGGGTGGTGCAGCATCCTTGAATCTCTGCGACTCAACCCCATGGGCCCATTCATGTACCACACTCTGGGGACCAAGAGCTCCCCTGTCACTCCTGTGGTGCCTCGTAGCCCCTCTGGGCCCCTTCATGTGGCAGGGAGGTCCTTGAGGCCTTACTGGAACACCGAGTCTCAGCTGGGTGAAGGAACCCTTTCCTGCCTGGACCACCATCATCCCAGTAGGGCTTCAGGGAAGGCGTCCTCCTTGGGTCCAATTCCCAAAAACCCACCCTCCTGGAGAAGCCATCTCTCCCAGGTGGCAAATCAGGTTGGCTGTCTGAGACAACTCTCGGGATCCAAAGGCTGAACCTTGGGGACCCCACATGGCCTGGCTCATGGCCCATAATCCCAGAAGGATCCACTCACCTCTGTCGGTCAATGCTAGGGAGCCCACCTGTTTGGAAGAGCTCACTGAAAGACACAAGGGGAGAACGGGGGCTCAGGGAGTAGCCACCCACGTGTCCTGCCCCCAGGGAAGTGGAGCACCAATACCGATCCCGAATAGGGAGCATGGGCTGCCTCAGGGAGGAGTGCAGAGACAGGGTTGGGCCCCCTACAGATGCCCTTCAGGACCTCCAGGTCTCCAGCCCAAAATATGGTGGCCCTGTTGGGGACCTCAGGATCCCAGCATCCTCTTCCAAAATTCTCACCTAGTCTGGGCCTCAGTGTAATCCTATTGAGCATGATTTTTAAGTCATCACCTCTCTTCAAGATAATACAAGGTTCTCATCATTGACCCAACCCAGGGCACCCTGCCTCCCCACGCATGCATCTAGCAGGACCTGGATATGGTCATCACAGCTCAGTGCAGGAGACCACGGAGTCAGGAAGGGTCAGAGCTTCAGCACACCATGGGCTGAGCACCTGGCTGACGTACACTGGCCTGGGGCCTGTGGGCCCAACACGAGTCTTCCTCCAGGCTCACCATCTGGAGGGACAGGAGGACAAGTGTCCAACCAGGGCCTCACATATCAATGCTGGGAAGGAGCTAAGTGATACTCATGCAATGGGATCCATGCTGAACACTGACCCAACATGGACACGGGGCACCCTTGGCCCTCCCTGCCACCAAACCCTGGAGAGACAGGGCAAGCGGGTCACCTGGCTCAGGCAAGATGCCTGGGATGCACCCTACTGCATGTTGCAAGAGCACCTCCATGCCAGGGCCGGTTCCTCTGCATGACCCCATGGCCATACCAGGGACATGGGGCATGGGACAGGGCCACCAACTAGCTCCTGGCCAACCAAGGAGGGTGGCCCAGATGCCAAGAGCTGCTGCAACCTGGCAGTCCCAGAGCCTGTACCTGGGCATGGTGGGTGCCAGATCTGGTGCCCTCTCCAAGCCTGCGGACCTCCAGGGCCATGTGCTTTCACTGGTGGGTCCCAATCCATACCCTGCACAACTCCGACACACAGAGCCGGGCCACACTCAGCCAATCAGGAACCACATGGTGTCCTCTCCTTTCCTTGGGCTCAAGACCCCACCACCCTAGAGGTGACCCCATGGCTCAGAAGCAGCTTGGACAGCAAATTCCCAGGACAGGTCCCTCAACAGTAGGGCTTTCCACCTCAGGAAGCCCCCCTTCCTGCCACTGGACCTCAAGGAAGGGTTGTTCCCAGCAGGATGGAAGCTTCCCCCTTGGCCCAAAGCCCACAAGTCCCAGGGCCAGCCTGCAGCACCACTGGGTGCCAGCCAGAGCTCAGCCTTGACCCAACCTCATTGAAAGAGTGCCATCCCCCACCAGGTTCAAGGAGGTGCCACTAAGATGGCCCATTGCTCAATAGGGTTGGTCCCATTCAAGGCCATCGGTGTGGAGCATTCCTTGAATCTCCACAGCCTGACCATGTGGGCCCAATCACTCACCCCTCTCCAGGGAGACAGAACTCCAGTGTGACCTCTAGGGTGCGCCACATTCCCTGTGTCCCTCCTCCCCATATGCCCTGGGCAGTACTCCAGGCCTGATCTGTCCACCAAGTTTCAGCTGGGAGCTGCCCTACATTGGGGCTGAAGGAACCCCTTCCTGCCTGGACCACTGTCACCTCTGCAGGGCTTCAGGAAAGGCGTGCTCCATGGGTCAGATTCCGAAGGAAGTGGCCCTCCTGAGAAACCATCGCTCCCTGGTGGAGAGTAGGTTTGCAGCCTGAGAAAAGCCTAGTGGCCTGAAGGCTGAATGTCGGGGACCCCATGCTGCAACACTCATGGCCCATGATCAAAACAGGATGCACTCACCTATGCCGCTTAAGGCCGGGGGGACCACTTGGGCCGAAGAGCTCACTGAAAGACACAGGAGAGAATGGGGGCTCAGGAAGGAGCCTCCAATGTGCCCCGTCCCCAGAGACCCGGAGCCCGGATACCAAGCCAGTACAGGGAGGCTGGGCTGCCTCATTGAGGAGGGCAGAGATAGAGTTGGGTCCACCAGATGCCTTTCAGGGCCTCAAGGTCTCCAGCCCAAAACACAGGGGCCCTGCAGGGGGCTTCGGGACCCAGTGTCCTCTTCCAAAATTATCACCTAGGCTGGGCCTCAGCGTAATCCTATTGAGCATGATTTTTAAGTCATCACCTCTCTTCAGAACATTATAAGGTTCTCATCATTGACCCAACCTAGGACAACCCCTCCCCACGCATGCATCCAGCAGGACCAGGATATGCTCACCACAGCTCAGTGCAGGAGACCAGGGTGCCAGGAAAGGCTTGAGCTTCAGCGCATCGGGGGCTGGGAACCTGGCTGACAGACACTGGTCCAGGGCCATTGGGCCCAATGCAAGTCTTCCTCCAGGCTCACCACCTGGGGGTACAGGAGGAGGACATGTGTCCAAATAGGGCCTCACATCTCCATATGTAGAAGGAATAAGAGATACCCACATAATGGGTTCCATGTGGAACACTGACTCATCATGAATGCAGGGCACCCATGGCCCTCCCTGTCAGCATACCCTGAAAAAACAAGGCAGTCTGCCTGCCCTGTGACCACTGGGCATGGGCCACAGCAACCAACCCACTCCCAGCCAACCAAGGAGGGTAGAAGGAAGCTACACACCATTGCAAACCTGGCAGTCACATAGCCTGCCCCTGGACATGGTGGGCACCCACCAAGGTGCCCTCTCCAAGTGTGCACTGAAAATCACAGCCTGGGGACCCGGGCCACATGCTTTCACAGGTGGGACCCTATCCACATCCCACACACCTCCCAAACACAGAGCTGGGCTACACTCGGCCAATCAAGGGCCACATGGTATCTTCTCTTTTCCTTGGTCCCAAGACCCCATGACCCTGGAGGTGACCCTATGGCTCAGAAGAAGCTGAGGTGGCAAATTCCCAGTACAGGACCTCAGACAGTAGGCCTTCCCACCAATCACTCAAATTTGGAGAACAGGTTACCCCCAATAGGATGCAGGCTTCCCCCTCAGCCCAAAGCCCACGGATCCCAGGGCTGGACTGCAGCACCACCAGGCACCAGCCATATCTCAGCCTTGACCCAACCCCATTGAAACTGCACCACCCCCCACCAGGCTCAATATGTGCCACTGGGATGGCCAGTTGCTCAACAGGGTGGGCCCCATTCAGGGTTACAGGTGGGATGAGATCCTTGAACCTCTGCGACTCAACCCTGTCAAGTCACAGATTCCCAAGGAAGCTGACCTCCTGGAGAAACCATGCCTCCCTCATGGGAATTAGGGTCAGCTCCCTGAGGAAACCTTCATGGCCCGAAGTCTGACCCTTGGCAACCCCAAGCAGCCTGGCTCACGGACCATGACAGCAGCAGGATCCACTCACCTATGTTGGTCAATGCCAGGAGGACCCCCTTGGCAGAAGAGCTCACTGAAAGACACAAGGGGAGAACTGGGGCTCAGGGAGGAGCCACCCACATGCCCTGCCCCCAAGGAACAGAAGCAACAACACCAAGCCCGCACAGGGAGCCTGGGCTGCTACACGGAGGAGCACAGAGAAAGAGTTGAGCCACCTCCAGATGCCCTTCAGGGCCTCCAGGCCTCCAACCCAAACTACAGTGGCCCTGCCAGAAATCTCGGGATCCCAACATCCCCTACCAAATTTCTCACTTAGGGTGGGCCTCAGCGTAATCCTATTGAGCATTATTTTTAAGTCATCACCGCTCTTCAGGACAATATACGGTTCTCATCATTGACCCAACCCAGGGCACCCCCCTTCCCACATACGCATCCAGTGGAACCCGGATGTGCTCACCACAGCTCAGTCCAGGGCGCCAGGAAGGGCTGGAGCTTCAGTGCACTGGGGCTGAGCACCTGGCTGATGGACACTGGCCCAGGAAAAGCGAGGCCGACAGAAGTCTCACCATCTGGAGGAACAGATGGAGAACGTGTGACCACCCTTCATGTGGAGAAGGGGGTGGCGGGTGCCAGCTCATGTTTGCTCCCCCTCCATGGACACATGTGATGATATCCATGTGAAATACTGACTCATCACCTATGCCGGGCACCCCTGGTCTTCCCTACCACCGATCCTGGGAAGGGCAAGGCAGGCAGGTCACTGGGCTCAGGCAAAACGCCCAGGCTGTGCTGTACTGCAGGACCCAAGAGCACCTCCACTAGCCAAAACAGCTCCCCCGCAGCACCCTAGAACTACCCTGGGAACACTGGGCACAGGCCCAGGCCACCAGCCAGGTCATGGCCAACCAAGGAGGCTGGCCCAGATGCCACGTGCCACTGCAGACCTGATAGTGGCATAGCCTACCTCTGAGCCTGGTACTTGGGTGTAAAGGCACCCTCTCCAAGTGTGCACCGGAAATCATAGCCTCGGGCTGCAGGGCCACTTGCTTTCTCTATGAATGGTGGGTCCCCATTCATACTCCACATATCTCCCAGACACAGAGCCAGTCACACATGGCCTATCTGCAGTGACATGGTGCCCACTCCTTTGCTTGGTCCCAAGACCCTGCCACCCTGGAGGTGACACCATGGCTCCCAAGCAGCCTGAGCAACAAATTCACAGTACAAGTGCCTCAATAGCAAGCCTTCCCAACTCAGGAGGCCACCCTTCACGACACTCGACCATGGAGAAAGGGTGGCCCCCAGCGGGATGCGGGATGCCCCTTGGCCCAAAGCCCACAAGTCCCAGGGCTGACCTGCAGCACCACCAGGTACCAGCCAGAGCTCCGCCTTGACCCAACCCCAGGAAAACAACACTGCCTCCCACCAGGCTCCAGGAGACCCATGGGATGGCCCATTGATCAACAGGGACGGTTGCATTCAGGGCCATGGTGTGGTGCAATCCTTAAATCTCTGAGACCCAACGGAATGGGCCCATTCATGCACCACACTCTGGGGACCAAGAGCTCCCCTGTTACCCCGTGGCACCTCGTAGCCCCTCTGGCCCCCCTTATGTGACCTGGGCAGTTCTGGAGGCCTTACCGGAGCACCGAGTCTCAGCTGGGTGCTGCCCTGCATTGAGCAGAAGGAACTTTCCTGCCTGGACCACCATCACCCCGGCAGGGCTTCAGGGAAGGCATCCTCCTTGGGTCCGATTCCCAAAAAAGTCGCCCTCCAGGAGAACCCTTCCCTCCCAGGTGGAAATTCAGGTCTGCTCCCTGAGAAAACTGTTGCCCAAAGACTGAATCTCTGGGATCCCCCCATGGTCTGGCTCATGACCCATGACCCCAGCAGGATCCACTCACCTATGTCAGTCAATGCCAGGTGGACCTCCTAGGTGGAAAATCTGAAAGGCACAAGGTGAGAACAGGGGCTCTGGAGGGAGCCACCAATGTTCCCCACCCCCAGGGAACCATAGCACCAACACCAACCCCACACAGGGAGCCTGGGCTGCCTCACAGAGGAGTGCAGAGACAGGTTGCACGACCTCCAGATGCCCTTCAGAGCCTCCAGGTCTCCAGTTCAACATACGATGGCCCTGCAAGGGACCTTGGGATCCCAGCATCTGCTTCCAAAATTCTCACCTAGGCTAGGCCTCAGCGTAATCCTATTGAACATGATTTTTAAGTCATCATCTCTCTTCAGGGCAATATCAGGTTCTCATCATTGACCCAACCTAGGGAACCCCCTCCCCACACAAACATCCAGTGCAACCCAGATGTGCTTACCCCAGCTCAGTGCAGGAGACCAGTGTGCCAGGAAGGGTCAGAGTTTCAGCGCACCAGAGGCTGAGCACCTGGCTGACAGACATTGGCCTGGGGCCTGTGGGCCCAACACAAGTCTTCCTCCAGGCTTACCATCTGGAGGGACAGGAGGAGGAAATGTGTCTAACCAGGGCCTCACACATCAATGTAGAGAAGGGGCTAAGGGATACTCATGTGATGGGATCCATGCTGAATACTGATCCCTCACGGACACTGGGCACCCTTGGCCCTCCCTGCCGCCAAACCCTGGAAAGACAGGGCAAGCGTGTCACCTGGCTCGGGCAAGATGCCTGGGCAGCACCCTACTGCAGGCCCCAAGAGCACCTCCACTGCCCAGGCCTGCTACCACACACAACCCCAGGGCCATACCGGGGACACAGGGCACAAGACAGGGCCACCAACCAGCCCCTGGCCAACCAAGCATGCTGGCCCAGACGCCAAGAGCCGCTGCAGACCTGGAAGTCCGAGAGATCGTACCTAGGCGTGGTGGGCGCTGGCCCTGGTGCCCTCTCCAAGCCTAGGGGCTTCCAGGATCACATGCTTTCTATGGTGGGTCTCAATCCATGTCCTGCCCAACTCTGACACACAGAGCCGGGTCACACTCAGCCAATCAGGAACCACATCGTGTCTTTTCCTTTCTTGGGCTCAAGACCCTGCCACCCCCTGAGGTGACCCCAAGGCTCAGAAGCAGCCTGGGCAGCAAATTCCTAGAACAGGTCCCTCGACAGCAGGCCTTGCCATCTCAGGAGGACACTCTTTTCACCACTGGACCTCAAGGAAGGCTTGTCCCCAGCAGGATCAGAGCTGCTCCCTTGGCCCAAAGTCCACAAGTCCCAGGGCCTGCAGCACCACCAGGTGCCAGCCAGAGCTCACTCTTGACCCAACCTCATTGAAACAGTGCCGTCCCCCACCAGGCTCAAGGAGGTGCCACTAAGATGGCCTATTGCTCAACAGGGTTGGTCCCATTCAAGGCCATGGGTGTGGAGCATGCCTTGAATCTCCACAGCCTGACCGTGTGGACCCAGTCACTCATCCCTCTCCAGGGAGGGGAGAACTCCAGTGTGACCTCCACGGCGCACTGTATCCCCCGTGCCTCACTCCCCCATGTGCCTTGGGCAATACTCGAGGCCTGACCTGCCCACTGAGTTTCAGCTGGGAGCTGCCCTACATTGGGCTGAAGGAACCCTTTCCAGCCTGGACCACTGTCACCCCTGCAGGGCCTCAGGAGAGACTTGCTCCTTGGGTCAGATTCCCAAGGAAGCAGCCCTCCTGAGAAACCATCGCTCCCTGGTGGGGAGTAGGTTGGCAGCCTGAGAAAACCCTGGTGGCCCAAAGGCAGAATGTCAGGGACCCCATGCTGCATCACTCATGGCCCATGACCAAAACAGGATGCACTCACCTATGCCGCTCAAGGCTGGGGGGGTCACTTGTGCAGAAGAGTTCACTGAATGACAAGGGAGAACAGGGGCTCAGGAAGGAGCCTCCAACATGCCCCGTCACCAGGGACCCAGAGCCCGGATACCAAGCCAGCACAGGGAGCCTGGGCTGCCTCACAGAGGAGCACAGAGATAGGGGTGGGCCCACAAGATGCCCTTCAGGGCCTCAAGGTCTCCAGCCCAAAATACAGCTGCTCTGTCAGGGACCTCAGAATTCCAGCATCCTCTTCCAAAATTATCACCTAGGCTGGGCCTCAGTGTAATCCTATTGAGCATGATTTTTAAGTCATCACCTTTCTTCAGGACAATATAAGGTTCTCATCACTGACCCAACCCAGGGCACCCTCCCGCCCCCAGCTCATGCATCCAGCAGGACCCAGATGGACTCACCAGAGCTCAGTGCAGGAGCCGAGGGCACTAGGAAGGTCCTGAGCTTCAGCGCACTGGGGGCTGGGTGCCTAGCTGACTGACATTGGCCCAGGGATAGTGGGCCCAACACAAATTTTCCTCCGGGGTCACCATCTGGGGAGACAGGAGGGAGACGTGTGCCCAAACTGACCTCCGTTTGGGGAAGGGGGTCGGGGGTGCCAGCTCACCTTTGCTTGCCCTCCATGGACACATGTGATGAGTTCAATGTGAAATACTGACTTGTTAAGTACGCACTACACTGTTGGCCCTCCCTTCCACTGAACCCAGAAAGGAAAGGGCAGGTGGGTCACTGGGCTTGAGCAAAACGCCCAGGCTGCATCATATTGCAGGCCCCGAGAGCACCTCCACTGTCCAAAACAGCTCCCCTGCATGACCCCAGTGCTGCACTGGGACTGTTGGGCACAGATCCGGGCCACCAGCCAGGTGGCGGCCAACCAAGGAGGCTAGCCCAGATGTCACACCCTGCTGCAGACCTGGTAGTTGCATAGTCTGTCACTGGGCATGAAGGGCACGTGTCCAGGCAACCTCTCCAAGTGTGCAACAGAAATCACAGCCTGGTGCTGCAGGGCCACGTGCTTCCTCTGGTGGGTCCCCATCCATACTCTGTAAACCTCCCACACACAGAGACAGCCACATGGCCAATCAGGAGACACTTGGTGCCCTCTGCTTTGCTTGGGCCCAAGACCCCGCCACCCTGGATGTGACCCCAAAGCTCAGAAGAAACTTGAGCGACAAACTCCTGGGACACGTCCCTCGACAGCAGGCCTTCCCACATCAGGAGGCCACTCTTCCAGATACTTGACGTCGGAAAAAGGGTGACCCCCAGTGGGACGCGGGCTCCCCCTTGGCCCAATGCCCATGAGTCCCAAGGCTGACCTGCAGAAGCCACAAGGTGCTGGCCAGAGCTCTGCCTTGACCCATCCCCAGGGAAACAATGCCACCCCCTCCCCTCCACCAGGCTCCAGGAGACTCACTGGGATGGCCCATTGCTCAATAAGGATGGTCCTATTCAGGGCCACGGTGGTGCGCGATCCTTTAATCTCCACAATCCAACCCAAGAGGCCCATTTGTGCATGACATACCGAATACTGAGAGCTCCTATGTGACCCCCGTGGCACCCAGAGCTCCTCTGTCCCCCTCATGTGGCCTGGGAAATCCTTGAGGCCTGACCTGAGCATCAACTCTCAGCTATGAGCTGCCCTGTGTGGGGTGGAAGGGACCCTTTCCTGCCTGGACCACCATCACACCCACAGGGCTTCAGGGAAGGTGTCCCCCTTGGATCCGATTCCCAAAATAGCCGCCCTCCTGGAGAACCTATGCCTCCCCAGTGGTAATTCAGGTCGGTTCCCTGAGAAAACCCTCATGGCCAGAAGGGGGACCCCTGGTGACCCCACGTGGCCTGGCTCATGGCCCATGACCCCAGCAGGATGCACTCACCTATACCCATCAATTCCAGGGGGCCCGCCTGGGCAGAAGAGCTCACTGAAAGACACAAAGGGAGAACAGGGGCTCAGTAAAGAGCTACCAATATTCCCTGACCTGGGGAACTGGAGCCCCAACACCAAGCCCACAAAAGGAGCCTGGGCTGCCTCAGGGAGGAGCACAGAGACAGGTTGGGCCACCTCCAGATGCCCTTCAGGGCTTCAAGGTCTCCAGCCCAAAATACAGAGTCCCTGCGGGGGACTTCGGTATCCCAGTGTCCTCCTCCAAAATTCTCAACTAGGCTGGGCCTCAGCGTAATCCTATTGAGCATGATTTTTAAATAATCACCTCTCTTCAGAACAATATAAGGTTCTCATCATTGACCCAACCCAAGGCACCCACCTCCCTGCACATGCATCCAGCAGGACCAGGATATACTCACCACAGCTCAGTGCAGGAGACCAGGGTGCCAGGAAAGGCTTGAGCTTCAGCGCATCGGGGGTTGGGAACCTGGCTGACAGACACTGGTCTAGGGCCTTTGGGCCCAACGCAAGTCTTCCTCCAGGCTCACCATCTGGGGGTACAGGAGGAGGATATGTGTCCAAATAGGGCCTCACATCTCCATATGAGGAAGGGGTAAGAGATACCCACGTAATGGGTTCCATGTGGAACACCGACTCATCATGGATGCTTGGCCCTCCCCATCACCATACCCTGAAAAAACAGGGCCGTCTGCCTGCCCTGTGACCACTAGGCATGGGCCACAGCCTCCAACCAGCTCCCGACCAACCAAGGAGGGTAGCTTGGAAGCTATGCACTGTTGCAAACCTGGTAGTCACATAGCCTGCCCATGGATGTGGTAGGTACCCGCCGAGGCACCCTCTCCAAGTGTGCACTGAAAATCACAGCCTGGGGACCCAGGCCATGTGCTTTCATTGGTGGGACCCCATCCACATCCCACACACCTCCCAAACAGACCTGGGCCACATGTAGCCAATCAAGGGCCACATGGTATCTTCTCCTTTCCTTGGGCCCAAGACCCCATGACCCTGGAGGTGACCACTTGTCTCAGAAGAACCCGGGGTGGCAAATTCCCAGTATAGGACCCTAGACAGTGGGCCTTCCCACCTCAGAATGCCACTGTTAACCGTTACTCAAACTCGGAGAATGGGTTACCCTCAATAGGATGTGGGCTACCCCCTTAGCCCAAAGCCCACGGGTCCCAGGGCTGGCCAGCAGCAGCACCAAGCACCAGATGGATCTCAGCCTTGACTCAACCCTATTGAAACTGCACCACACCCCACCAGGCTCAATACGTGCCATTGGGATGGCCTGTTGCTCAACAGGGTTGGCCCCATTCAGGGTCACAGGTGGGATGAAATCCTTGAACCTCCACAACCCAACCCCGTCACCAACCCCACGAAACAAGTCTGGGGACTGAGAGCTCCTACATAACACCTGTGGCACCCCAGAGCCCTTCTGGGCCCCTCAGGTGGCCTGGGCAGTCTTCAAGGCCTGACCCACATACCATATCTCAACTAGGTGATGTCCTGCATGGGGCTGAAGGAAACCTTTGCTATCTGGACCATCGTCACCCCTGCAGGGCTTCAGGGAAGACATCCTCCTTGGGTAAGATTCCCAAGGAAGCTGCCCTCCTGGAGAAACCATCCCTCCTGAAATCCCTGACCCATCATGGATGCAGGGCACCCTTGGCCCTCCCCGTCACCACACCCTGAAAAAACAGGGCAGTCTGCCTGCCCTGTGACTACTAGGCATGGGCCACAGCCTCCAACCAGCTCCCGGCCAACCAAGGAGGGTAGCTCGGAAGCTATGCACTGTTGCAAACCTGGCAGTCACATGGTGGGAATTGAGGTCGGTTCCCTGAGGAAACCCTTGGGGCCTGAAGTCTGACCCTCAGCAAACCCATGCGGCCTAGCTCATAGCCCATGATGCCAGCAGGATCCACTCACCTATGTTGGTCAATGCCAGGGGAACCGCTTGGCAGAAGAGCTCACTGAAAGACACAAGGGGAGAACCAGGACTCAGGGAGGAGCCCCCAACGTGCCCCATCACTGGAGAAGAGGAGCGCAAACACCAAGCCCACAAAGGGAGCCTGGGCTGCCTCACAGAGGAGCGCAAAGAAAGCACTGGGCCACCTCCAGACGCCCTTCAGGGCCTCCAGGTCTCCAACCCAAAATACAAGTGGCCCTCCCGGAAATCTTGGGATCCCGGCATCCTCTGCCAAAATTCTCCCCTAGGCTGGGCCTCAGCGTAATCCTATTGAGCATGATTTTTAAGTCATCACCTCTCTTCAGGACAATATAAGGTTCTCATCATTGACCCAACCCAGAGAACCCCCTCCCCGCACAAACATCCAGTGAAACCCGGATGTGCTCACCACAGCTCAGTTCAGGAGACCAGGGCGCCAGGAAGGGCTGGAGCTTCAGTGCACCAGGGACTGAGCACCTGGGTGATGGGCACTGGCTCAGGAAAAGCAGGCCCAGTGGAAGTCTTCCTCAAGTCTCACCATCTGGGGGCACAGGTGGAGGACATGTGACCACCCTCCATGCGGAGAAGGGGGTGTTGGGTGCCAGCTCATGCTTGCTTTCCCTCCATGGACAGGTGATGAGATCCACACAAAATACTGACTCATCACTGACGCAGGGCACCCTTGGCCCTCCCTGCCACCGAACCCAGGAAGGACAAGGCAGGCAGGTCACTGGTCTCAGGTAAAATGCCCAGGCTGTGCCATACTTCAGGCCTGGAGAGCACCTCCACTGCCCAAAACAGCTGCCCCGTATGATGCCAGGGCTGCCCTGGGACCACTGGGCACAGGATCGGGCCACCAGCCAGGTCATGGACAACCAAGGAGGCTAATCAATGCCAGGGTGCCCACCTGGGCAGAAAAGCTCACTGAAAGACACAAAGGGAGAATGGGGGCTCAGGAAAGAGCCACCAACTTGTTCCATCCCCAGGGTACCAGAGCACCAACACCAAGGCTGGACAGGGAGCCTGGGGACCCTCATGCAGGAGCACAGAGACAGGGTTGGGCCCCCTCCAGATGCCCTTTCAGGGCCTCCAGGTCTCCAGCCCAAAATACAGTGGCTCTGCCAGGGATAATAGGATCCCAACGTCCTCTTCCAACATTCTCACCTAGGTTCGGCCTAAGTGTAATCCTATTGAGCATGGTTTTTAAGTCATCACCTCTCTTCAGAAGAATACAAGGTTCTCATCACCACCCCAACCCAGGGCACCCCCCTCCCCATGCATGCATCCAGCAGCACCCAGTTGTGCTCACCAGAGCTCAGTGCAAGAGACCAGGGAACCAGGAAGGGTCTGAGCTTCAGTGCACTGGGAGCTGAGCACCTGGATGATGGACACTGGCCCGGGGCCTTCAGGCCCAACTGAAGTCTTTCTTCAGGGTCACCATCTGTAGGGACAGGAGGAGGACATGTGTCCAACCAGGGCCTCATGTATCAATGTAGGGAAGGTGGGTAGGGGATACCCTTGTAATGGAATCCTTACAGAACACTGACCCAACATGGACGCAGAGCACCCTTGGCCTTCCCTGCCACAAAACCCTGGAAAGACAGGGCAAGTGGGTTACTGGGCTGGGGCAAGAGGCCTGGGCTGTGCCCTACTGTGGGCCCCAAGAGCACCTCCACTGCCTGGGCCAGATCCCCCGAACAACCCCAGGGTCGTACCGGGACCATGGGGCACGGGCCAAGGCAGCCAACCTGCTGAAGGTTGGTTGAGCCAAGGAGGGTGGTCCTGATGCCAGGAGCCACTCCAGACCTGGCAGGCAAAGACCTTGCCCCTGGGCATGGTAGGGCCACCCTGGTGCCCACTCCAAGCACACACCAGAAATCAAAGCCTGGGGGCCTCCAGGGCCACATTCTTTCTCTGATGAGTCCCCATCCATGCCCTGCACACCTCCCACACATACAGCCAGGCCACACTCAGCCAATCAGAAACCACATGGTGTCCTCTCCTTTCCTTGGGCTGAAGACCCCGCCATCCTGGAGGTGACCCCATGGCTCAGAAGCAGCCTAGGTGGCAAATTCCCAGGACAGGTCCCTTGACAGCAGGTCTGCCCACCTCAGGAGGCCACCCTTCCCACCACTGGACCTCAAGGAAGGGATTACCCCAGTGGGATGGGAGTTGCCCCCTTGGCATAAAGCCCATGAGCCCCAGGGCCGGCCTGCAGCACCACCAGGCACCAGCCAGCGCTCAGCCTTGACCCAACTGCATTGAAACATGCCGAAAATGGCCCATTGCTCAACAGGGTTGGTCCCATTCAGGGCCATGGGTGGGTGGCATTCCTTGAATCTCCGCAGCCTGACCACGTGGACCCTATCACCCATCCCTCTTGGGGGAAGAACTCCAGCATGACTCCCAGGGCACCCCAAAGCCCCTGTGGCCCCTTTCATGTGGACTGGGCAGTCCTCAAGCCTCACCTGCCCACCTAGTTTCAGCTGGGAACTGCCCTACGTTAGGTTGAAGGAACCCTTTCCTGCCTGGACCACCATCTCCCTGCCGAGCTTCAGGAAATGTGTGCTCCTAGGGTCAGATTCCCAAGAAGTGACCCTCCTGGAGGAACCATCCCTCCCGGTGAGTAATCGGTTGGCTCCCTGAGAAAACCCTAGTGGCCTGAAGGCTGACTCTCACCAACCCCATGCTGCCTCACTCATGGCCCATGACCCCAACAGGATGCACTGACCTATGCCGCTCAAAGCTAGGGACCCCACCTGGGCAGAAGAGCTCACTGAAGGACACAGGGAAGAAGGAGCATTCAGGAAGGAACACCAAATTGCCCTGTCCCTGGAGAAGCGGAGCACAGACACCAAGCCCGCAAGGGGAGCCTGGGCTGCCTCACGAAGGAGCTCAGAGACAGGGTTGGGCTCCCCTGAGATGCCCTTCAAGTTCTCAAGTTCTCCAGTGCAAAATAAGTGTGGTCTAGCTGGAGATCTTGGGATCCCTGCATCATCTTCCCTAATTCTTACCTATCCTGGGCTTCAATGTAATCCTATTGAGCATGATTGTTAAGTCATCACCTCTTTTCAGGACAATATAAGGTTCTCATCATCAGCCCAACCCAGGGCGCACCCCTGCCCCACACATGCATCCAGCAGTACCCGGATGTGCTCACCCTGGCTCAGTGCGGGAGCCGAGCATTCCAGGAAAGGCCCAAGCTTCAGCGCACTTAGAGCTGGGCACCTGGCTGACTGACACTGGCCCAAGAACAGAGGGCCCAGGGCAAGTCTTCTTCGGTCTCACCATTTGGGGGACAGCAGGATGATATGTGTCCAAACTGACCTCCATGTGGGGAAGGCAGTAGTGGGTGCGGGCTCACATTTGCTTGCCCTCCACGGACACATGTTATGAGATCCATGTGAAGTACTAACTCGTCACCAATGTGGGGCACCCTTGGCTCCCCCTGCCACCAAACCCTGGAGGAACAGGGCAGGTAGGTCACTGAGCTCAGGCAAAATGCATGGGTTGCGCCATACTGCAGGCCCTGAGTCTACCTCCACTGCCACAGATGGCTCCTCACACGACGCCAGGGCCCCCTGACACCAGTGGGCATGGGTCAGGGCCATGAGCCAGCTCATGGCCAACAAAGGTGGCTGGCCCAGATGCCACACACCGCTGCAGACCTGGCTATCGCATAGTCTGCCCCTGGGCGTGTTGGGCACACATCAAGATGCTGTCTCCAAGTGTGCACGGAAATCACAACCTAGAGCTACAGGGCCATGTGCTTTCTCTGGTGGGTCACCATCCATGTTCTGCACACCTCACACACACAGAGCTGGGCCACACTTGCCCAATCCGGAGCAACATGGTGCCCTCCCCTTTGCTTGTTCCCAAGACCCCATCACCCTAGAGGTGACACCATGGCTCAGAAGCAGCCTGAGCAATAAAATCCTAGGACAGGTCCCTCGACAGCGAGCCTTCCCACTTCAGGAGGCCACCCTTCACGACACTTGACCTCAGAGATAGGATGACCCCCAGCGGGATACAGGCTGCCCCTTGGTCAAAAGCCCAAGAGTCCCAGGGCTGACCTGCCACACCACCAGGTGCTGGCCAGAGCTCTACCTTAACCCAGTCACAAGGAAACAACTCTGCCCCCCACCAGGCTCCAGGAGACCCACTGAGATGGCCCATTGCTAAACAGGGACAGTTGCATTCAGGGCCATAGGTGGGGCACTATCCTTGAATCTCCACAACCCAACACCATGGGTCCATTCACGCACCACACTCTGGGGACCAAGAGGTCACCATTAACCCTGTGGTGCCCCGTAGCCCCTCTGGCCCCCCTCATGTAGCCTGGGCAGTCCTCAAGGCCTTACTGCAGCACCGAGTCTCAACTAGGCACTGTCCTATGTTAGGCAGAAGGAACCCTTTCCTGCCTGGACCACCATCACCCCTTCAGGGCTTCAGAGAAGGTGTCCTCCTTGGGTCCGATTCCAAAAAGCCTGCCTTCCAGGAGAACCTTTCCGTCTCAGGTGGAAATTCAGGTCAGCTCCCTGAGAAAACCCTTGTGGCCCAAAGGCTGATCCTTGGGGACCCCATATGGTCTGGCTCATGATCCATAACACCAGCAGGATCCACTCACCTATGCCAGTCAATGCCAAGGGGCCCTCCTAGGTGAAAGAGCTCACTGAAAGACAAAGGCGAGAACAGGGACTCAGGAAGGAGCCATCAACATTCCCTGCCCCCAGGGAACTGGAGCACCGACACCAAGCCCACACAGGGAAACTAGAGTGCAGAGACAGGTTGGGCCACCTCCAGATGCCCTTCAGAGCCACCAGGTCCCAGGTCCAAAATACAGTGGCCCTGTTGGGGACCCTGGGATCCCAGCATCCTTTTCCAAAATTCTCCCCCAGGCTGGGCCTCAGCGTAATCCTATTGAGCATGATTTTTAAGTCATCACCTCTCTTCAGGACAATATAAGGTTCTCATCACTGACCCAACCCAGGGCACCCCCCTTCCCGCACATGCATCCAGTGGAACCCGGATGTACTCATCACAGCTCAGTGCAGGAGATCAGGGCACCAGGAAGGGCTGGAGCTTCAGCGCACCGATGGCTGAGCACCTGGCTGATGGACACTGGCCCAGGAAAAGCAAGCCCAACAGAAGTCTCACCATCTAGGGGAACAGGTGGAGAACATGTGACCACCCTCCATGTGGAGAAAGGGGTGTTGGGTGCCAGCTCACGCTTGCTCCCCCTCCATGGACACATGTGATGAGATCCATGCGAAATACTGACTCATCACCTATGCAAGTGTCTCTCCCTGCCACCGAACCCGGGAAGGACAAGGCAGGTAGGTCACTGGGCTCAGGCAAAACGCCCAGGGTATGCACGACTGCAGGACCCAAGGGCACCTCCACTGGCCAAAACTGCTCCTCCGCATGACCCTAGGGCTGCCCTGGGACCACTGGGCAGAGGTCCGGGCCACCAGCCAGGTCACAGCCAACCAAGGAGGCTGGCCCAGATGCCACATGCTACTGCAGACCTGACAGTGGCACAGCCTGCCCCTGGGCATGGTGGGCATGCGTACAGGCACCCTCTCCATGCAGGCACCAGAAAAGACAGCATGGGGCCTCAGGGTCACTTGTTTTCTCTGGTGGGTCCCCATCCATACTCCACATACCTCCAAGACACATAGCCAGTCACACATAGCCAATCCGGAGTCTCATGCTGCCCCCTCCTTTGCTTGGTCCCAAGACTGCCACCCTGGAGGTGATACCATGGCTCCCATGCAGCGTGAGCAACAAATTCCCAGTACAGATGCCTCAATAGCGGGCCTTCCCAACTCAGGAGGCCACCCTTCACAACACTTGGGTGACCCCCAGCGGGATGCGGGCTGTCCCTGGCCCAAAGCCCATGAGTCCCAGGGCTGACCTGCAACACCACCAGGTGCCAGCCAGAGTCAACCTTGACCCAATCCCAGGGAAACAACTCCGCCCCCCAACCAGGCCCCAGGAGACCCACTGGGATGGCCCATTGCTCAACAGCGATGGTCACATTCAGGGCCATGGGTAGAGCAGGATCCTTGAATCTCTGCTACCCAACCCCATGGGCCCATTCACACACCACACTCCAGGGACCAAGAGCTCCCTTGTTACCCCATGGCACTCTGTAGCCCCTCTGGCCCCCCTCATGTGGCCCTGTTCTCATCATTGACCCAACCCAGGGAACCCCCTCCCTGCACAAACATCCAGTGGAACCCGGATGTGCTCACCACAGCACAGTGCAGGAGAGCAGGGTGCCAGGAAGGGTCAGAGTTTCAGCCCACTGGGGGCTGAGCACCTGGCTGAGAGACACTGGCCCTCGGCCTGCGGGTCCCACACATCTTCCTCCAGGCTCACCATCTAGAGGGACAGAAGGAGGACATGTGTCCAACCAGGGCCTCACATATCAATGCAGGGAAGGGGCTAAGGGATACCCATGTGATGGGATCCATGCTGAACACTGACCCAACACAGATGTGGGGCATCCTTTGCCCTCTCTGCCACCAAACCCTGGAAAGACAGGGAAAGCAAAAGACAGTGCTGGCTCAGGCAAGATGCCTAGGCTGTACCCTACTGCAGGCCCCAAGAGCACCTCCACTGCTCAGGCCAGCTCCCACACATGACCCCAGGGCCATACCAGGGACACAGGGCACAGGGCACAGGACACAGGACAGGGCCATCAACCAGCTCCTGGCCAACCAAGGTGGTTGGCCAGATGCCAAAAGCCGCTGCAGACCTGGCCCTCCCAGAGCCAGCACCTGAGCATTGTGGGCACCGGCCCTGGTGCCCTCTCCAAGCCTGGGGGGCCCCTGGGCCACACTTTCTCTGGTGGGTCCCCATCCATGCCCTGCCCAACTCCGACACACAGAGCCCGGCTACACTCAGCCAATCAGGAACCAGATGGTGTCTTCTCCTTTCCTTGGGCACAAGACCCTGCCACCCTGAGGTGACCCCAAGGCTCAGAAGCAGCCTGGGTGGCAAATTCCCTTGACAGCAGGCCTTCCCACCTTAGGAGGACACTCTTCACCACTGGACCTCAAGGAAGGTTTGTCCCCAGCAGGATCAGAGCTGCCCCCTTGACTGAAGGCCCCCAAGTCCCAGGGCCTGCAGCAGCACCAGGTGCCAGCCAGAGCTCAGTCTTGACCCAACCTCACTGAAACAGTGCCATCCCTCACCAGACTCAAGGAGGTACCATAAGATGGCCCACTGCTCAACAGGGTTGGTCCCATTCAAGGCCATGGGTGTGGAGCATTCCTTGAATCTTCACAGCCTGACTGTGTGGGCCCAATCACTCACCCCTCTCCAGGGAGAGAGAACTCCAGTGTAACCTCTAGGGTGCGCCACATTCCCTGTGCCCCTCCTCCCCATGTGCCCTGGACAGTACTCCAGGCCTGAGCTGTCCACCGAGTTTCAGCTGGGAGCTGCCCTACATTGGGCTGAAGGAACCCTTTGCTGCCTGGACCACTGTCACCCCTGCAGGGCTTCAGGAAAGATGTGCTCCTTGGGTCAGATTCCCAAGGAAGTGGCCCTCCTGGAGAAACCATTGCTCCCTGGTGGGGAGTAGGTTGGCAGCCTGAGAAAACCCTAGTGGCCCGAAGGCTGAATGTCGAGGACCCCATGCTGCATCACTCATGGCCCATGACCGAAACAGGATGCACTCACCTATGCCGCTCAAGGCCGCGGGGACCACTTGGGCAGAAGAGCTCACCAAAAGACACAGGGGAGAACGGGGACTCAGGAAGGAGACTCCAACATGCCCCATAACCAGGGATCCGGAGCCCAGATACCAAGCCAGCACAGGGAGCCTGGGCTGCCTCACGGAGGAGCACAGAGATAGGGGTGGGCCCACCAGATGCCCTTCAGGGCCTCAAGGTCTCCAGCCCAAAATACATTTACTCTGTCAGGGACCTCAGAATCCCAGCATCCTCTTCCAAAACTCTCACCTAGGCTGGGCCTCAGCGTAATCCTATTGGGCATGATTTTTAAGTCATCACCTCTCTTCAGGACAATATAAGGTTCTCATAATCGACCTAACCCAGGTATCCCCCTCCCTGCACATGCATCCAGCAGGACCCAGATGGGCTCACCACAGCTCAGTGCAGGAGCCAAGGGTGCCAGAAGGGCCCAAGCTTCAGCGCACCAGGGGCTGGGCACCTGGCTGACTGACATTGGCCCAGTGACAGCGGGCCCAACACAAGTTTTCCTCTGGGGTCGCCATGTGGGGAGACAGGAGGAAGACAAGTGTCCAAACTGACCTCTACGTGGGGAAGGGGGTCAGCAGTGCCATCTCACCCTTGCTCACCCTCCATGGACACATGTGATGAGTTCAATGTGAAATACTGACTCATCAAGTACACGGAGCACCTTTGGCCCTCCCTTCCACCGATCCCGGAGAGGACAGGGCAGGTGGGTCACTGGGCTTGAGCAAAACACCTAGGCTGTGCCATACTACAGGCCCCAAGAGCACCTCCACTGTTCAAAATGGCTCCCCTGCATGATCCCAGGGCTGCCCTGGGGCCAGTAGGCACAGAGCCGGGCCACCAACCAGGTCACGGCCAACCAAGGAGGCTGGCCCAGATGTCACACTCCGCTGAAGACCTGGTAGTTGCCCAGCCTGCCCCTGGGCATGGCACGCTTGTCCAGGCACCCTCTCCAAGCATGCAACAGAAATCATAGCCTGGAGTTGCAGTGCTACGTGCTTTCTCTCGTGGGTCCCCATCCATACTCTGCACACCTCCCACACAGAGCCAGCAACACTTGGCCAATCAGGAGACACATGGTGCCCTCTGCTTTGCTTGGACCCAAGACCCTGCCACCCTGGATGTGACACCAAAGCTCAGAAGAAGCTTGAGTGACAAATTCCCAGGACATGTCCCTCAACAGCAGGACTTCCCACCTCAGGAGGCCACCCTTCCAGACATTTGATGTTGGAAAAAGGGTGACCCCCAGTGGGATTCGGGCTCTCCTTTGGCCCAACGCCCACGGGTCCCAGTGCTGACCTGCAGCACCACCAGGTGCCGGCCAGAACTCTGCCTTCACCCAACCCCAGGGAAACAATGCCACCCCCCAACCAGGCTCCAGGAGACCCACTGGGATGGCCCATTTCTCAAGAGGGACCATCCCATTCAGGGGCATGGTGGGGTGCGATCCTTGAATCTCCATGAACAAACCCAAGAGGTCCATTTGTGCATCACACGCCAGGCACCGAGAGCTCCCACGTGACCCCTGTGGTGCCCCGGAGGCTCTCAGTCGCCCTCATGTGGCCTGGGCAATCCTTGAGGTCTGACCCAAGCACCGATTCTCAGCTAGGAGCTGCCTTGTGTGGGGCTGAAAAAAACCCTTTCCTGCCTGGACCACCATCACCCTTGCAGGGCTTCAGGGAAGGTGTCCCCCTTGGGTCTGATTCCCCAAAACGCCGCCCTCCTGGAGAACCTATGCCTCCCCGGTGGGAATTCAGGTGGGCTCCCTGAGAAAACCCTTATGGCTGTAAGGCTGACCCTCGGCGACCCATGTGGCCTTGCTCATGACCCATGACCCCAGCAGGATCCACTCACCTATACCGGTCAATGCCAAGTGGCCTGCCTGGGCAGAAGCACTCACTGAAAGACACAAGGGGAGAACAGGGGCTCAGGGAGGAGCCACCAACGTTCCCTGGCCCAGGGAACCAGAGTGCCAACAGAAAGCCCACAGAGGGAGCCTGGACTGCCTCATGGAGGAGCACAGAGACAGGTTGAGCCACCTCCAGGTGCCCTTCAGGGCCTTGAAGTCTCCAGCCTAAAATATAAGGGCCCTGCCAGGGACTTCGGGATCCTACTGTCCCCTTCCAAAATTCTCAACTAGGCTGGGCCTCAGCGTAATCCTATTGAGCATGATTTTTAAGTCACCACCTCTCTTCAGAACAATATAAGGTTCTCGACACTGACTGAACCCAAGGCACCTTCCCTCCCTGCACATGCATCCAGCAGGACCATGATATACTCACCACAGCTCAGTGCAGGAGGCCAGGATGCCAGGAAAGGCCTGAGCTTCAGTGCACCAGGGGCTGGGAAACTGGCTGACAGACACTGGCCCAGGGCCATTGGGCCCAATGCAAATCTTCCTCCAGGCTCACCATCTGGGGGGACAGGAGGAGGATATGTGTCCAAATAGGGCCTCACATCTCCATGTGGAGAAGGGATCCCCTGTAATGGGTTCTATGTGGAACAGACCCATCACAGATGCAGGGCACCCTTGGCCCTCCCCATCACCAAACCCTGAGAAACAAGGCAGGCTGGTCATTGGGTTTGGGCCAGATACCTGGGCTGAGCCATACTTCCGTTCCGGAGAGCACCTCCACTGCCCTCACCAGCTCCCCTGCATGATCCCAGGGTTGCCCTGTGACCACTGGGCATGGGCCATGGCCACCAACCCGCTCCCAGCCAACCAAGGAGGGTAGCCTGGAAGCTATGCACCGTTGCAGACCTGGCAGTCACATAGCCTGCCTCTGGGCGTGGTGGGCACCCACTGAGGAGCCCTCCCCAAGTGTGCACTAAAAATCACAGCCTGGGGACCTGGGCCATGAGCTTTCACTGGTGGGACCCCATTCATATCCCACACCTCTCAAACACAGAGCTGGGCCACACTCGGCCAATCAAGGGCCACATGGTATCTTCTCGTTTCCTTGGGCCCAAGATCCCGAGACCCTGGAGGTGACCCCTTGGCTAAGAAGGCGGGGTGGCAAATTCCCGGTACAACACCCTAGACAGTGGACCTTCCCACCTCAGAATGCCACTGTTACTGCCACTCAAACATGGAGAACAGGTGACCCCCATGGGACATGGGATGCCCCCTTAGCCCAAAGCCCATGGGTCACAGGACTGGCCTGAAGCACCACCAGGAGCTGGCCAGATCTCAACCTTGACCCAACCCCATTGAAACTGCACCACCCCTGACCAGGCTCAATACGTGCCACTGGGATGGCCCATTGTTCAACAGGATCAGCCCCATTCAGGGTCACAGGTGGGATGAGATCCTTGAACCTCCATGGCCCGACCCCATCACCACCCCCCCCAGGAACATGCCCGGGGACCGAGAGCTCCCAAGTGAAACCCGTGGCACCCTGGAGCCCTTCTGGCCCGCCTCATGTGGCCTGGGCAGTCCTCAAGGCCTGACCTGCACACCAAGTCTCAACTGGGCGATGTCCTGCATGGGGCTGAAGGAACCCTTTGCTATCTGGACCATTGTCATTCCTGCAGATCTTCAGGGAAGGCATCCTCCTCAGGTAAGATTCCCAAGGAAGCCGCCCTCCTGGAGAAACCATCCCTCCCTGATGGGAATTGGGGTCAGCTCCCTGAGGAAACCCTCATGGCCTGAAGTCTGACCCTCAGTGAACCCATGCCCATGATGCCAGCAGGATCCACTCACCTATGTTGGTCAATGCCAGGAGGCCCCCCCTTGGCAGAAGAGCTCACTGAAAGACACAAGGGGAGAACTGGGGCTCAGGGAGGAGCCACCCACGTGCCACTTCACTGGGGAACAGAAAGGCCAACACCAAGCCCGCACAGGGAGCCTGGGCTGCCTCACAGAGGAGTGCAGAGACAGAGTTGGGCCTCCTCCAGATACCTTTCAGGGCCTCCAGGGCTCCAGCCCAAAATACAGTGGCCCTGCCGGAAATCTCGGGATCCCAGCATCCTCCTCCAAATTTCTCACCTAGGTTGGGCCTCAGCGTAATCATTGAGCATGGTAATTTTAAGTCATCACCTCTCTTCAACACAATATAGGGTTCTCATCATTGACCCAACCCAGGGCACCCCCCCTGCCCACACATACATCCAGCGGGACCCGGATGTGCTCACCACAGCTCAGTGCAGGAGATCAAGGGGCCAGGAAGGGCCTGAGCTTCAGTGCACCAGGGGCTGAGCACCTGGCTGACGGACACTTGCCAGGGTCCATTGGTCCTGATGCAAGTCTTCCTTCAGGCTCACCATCTGGATGGACAGGAGGAGGACATGTGTCCAAACAGGGCCTCATACCTCCAGGTGGGGAATGGGGTAAGGGATACCCATGTGATGGGATCCATGTGGAACACTGACCTGTCACGGATACAGGGCACTCTCGGCCCTCCCCATCACCAAACCCTGAAAAAACAGGGCAGGTGGATCACTGGGCTTGGGCAAGACCCCTGGTCTTCATGCTATTGCAGACCTTGAGGGCACATCCAGTGCCCCCTCTGACTTCTCCTTCACACGATCCCAGGGCTGCCCCAGGACCACTGAGCATGGGACAGGGTCACCGACATGCTCATGGCCAACCGAGGAGCCTGGCCCAGAAGCCATGTGCCACCGTGGACATGGAAGTTGCATAGCCTGCCGCTGGGCATGGTGGGCACCTGCCCAGGCACTCTCTCCAAGCCACACCTGAAATCACAGCCTGGAGTACCAGGGCCATGTGCTTTCTCTGGTGGGTCCCCATCCATGCCCCACACATGTCCCAAACACAGATCCGGGCCACCCTTGGCCAATCCTGGGCCACATGGTGTCCTTTCCTTTCCCTAGGCCCAAGACCCTGCCACCCTGGACATGACCCCATGGCACAGAGAGTCTGGGCAGCAAATTCTCAGGATAGGACCATCAACAGCGGGCCTTCCCACCGCACATTCCACTCTTCCAGCCACTCACCCATGGGGAAGGGGTGACCTCCAGCAGGACACAAGCTGTCGACTTGGCCTAAAGCTCACGAGTCCCAGGTCCGGCCCACAGCCTCACCAGGCACTGGCCAGAGCTCAGCCTTGACCCAAACCCAGGGAAACAGCACTGCCCCCCACCAAGCTCAAAGAGGCACCATGGGATGGTCCATAGCTCAACAGGGTCAGTCCCATTTTGGGACATAGTTGGGTACAATCCTTGAATCTCCACGGCCCAATCCCATAGGCTCATTCAAGCACCCCTCTCCAGGGAAAGAGAACTCTTGCATGACCCCCGTGGTGCCCCGGAGGCCCTGTGGCCCCCATCATGTGGCCTCGGCAATCCTCGAGGCCTGACACATGCACTGAGTCTCAGCTGGGAGCTCTCCTGCACGGGGCTGAAGGAAGTCTTTGCTGCCTGGACCACTGTCATCCCTGCAGGGCTTCAGGAAGGCAACATCTTGGGTCCAGTTCCCAAGGAAGCCGCCCTCCTGTAGAAACCATCCCTCCCCGGTGGAAATACAGGTTGGCTCCCTGAGGAAACCCTCCTGTCCTAAAGACTGACCCTTGGTGACCCCACGCGGCCTGACTCATGGCCCATGACACCAGCAGGATGCACTCACCTAGGCTAATCAAGGTGAAGGGGCCCTTCTGAGCTGAAGAGCTCACTGAAAGACACAAGGCAAGAATGGGGACTCAGGGAAAAGCCACCAATGTGCCCTGCCCCTGGGAAACAGTGCCAACACCAAGTCCGCACAGGGAGCCTGCTGTGCTTCACGGAGGAGTGCAGAGACAGGGTTGGGTCCCTGTGAGAGGCCCTTGAGGGCCTCCAGGTCTCCAGCCCAAAATACAGTGGCCCTGCCAGGGTCCTTGTGATTCTCAGTGTCCACTTCCAAAATTGTCACCTAGGCTGGGACTCAGCGTAATCCTATTGAGCATGATTTTTAAGTCATCACCTCTCTTCAGGACAATATAAGGTTCTCATCATTGACCCAACCCAGTGCACCCCGCTCCCCATGCATACATCCAGAAGAACCCGGATGGGCTCACCAGCTCCATGAAGGAGACCAGGGTGCCAGGAAGGGCCCAAGCTTCAGTACAAAAGGACCTGGGCACCTGGTTGATGGCCTCTGGCCGGCGCACAGAAGGCCCAGTGCAAGTCTTCCTCCAGGCTCACCATCTGGGGGGACAGGAGGAGGGCCCATGTGATGGGATTCACATGAAATACTGACCTGTCATGGACACAGGGTACCCTTGGGCCTCCCCGCCACCGAACCCTGGAAGGACAGGGCAGGGAGGTCACTGGGCTCGGGCAAGATGCCTGGGATGTGCCTACTGCACACCTCAAGATAACCTCCCCTGCCTACACTGGCTGCTCCACATGACCCCAGGGCTGCACAGAGATCACTGGACACGGGCTAGGGCCACCAACCAGCTCACAGCCAACAAAGGAGGCTGGTCCTGATGCCAGGCACTGCCGCAGACCTGGTAGTTGCATAGCCTACCCTTGGGCATGGTGGGCGCCCAACCAGGCGCCCTCTCCAAGTGCGCATCAGAAATCGCAGCCTGGGGCTTCATTGGCCCGTGCTTTCTCTGGTGGGTCCCCATCCATGCCCTGCACACCTCCCAAACTCAGAGCCAGGCCATACTCGACCAATCAGGGGCCACATGGTGTCTTCTCTGCTCCTTGGGCCCAAGACCCCACCACCTGGAGGTGACGCCATGGCTCAGAAGCAGCCTGGGCAGCAAATTCCCAGGACAGGACCCTCCACAGCAGGCCTTCCCACCTAAGGAGGCCATGCATCCTGACACTGAAACTCAGGAAAGATGTGACCCCCAGCAGAACTCAGGCTGCCGACCTGGCCCAAAGCCCACAAGTCCCTGGGCCAGCCTGCAACACCATCAGGTGCTGGCCAGAGCTCAAGCTTCACCCATCCCCACTGAAACAGTGGCGCCCCCACCAGGCTCAATGTGGAGCCACTGGGATGGCTCATTGCTCAACAGCATCGGTCCCATTCAGGGCCACAGGTGGGCGCGATCCTTGAAACACTGCAGCCTGACCCTGTGGGCCTGATCACTCTGTCACCACCCCCACAACAAGCCTGAAGACCGAGAGCTCCTGCATGACCCCTGTGGTGCCTCACAGCCTGTGTGGCACCCCGCATGTGGCCTGGGCAGTTCTTGAGGCCTGACCCATGCACAGAATCTCATCTGGGAGCTGCCTGCCCTGCAGGGGCTGAAAAAACCCTTTGCTGCTTGAAACATCATCACTTCTGCAGGTCTTCAGAGAAGATGTCCTCCATGGGTCCGATTCAAAAGAAAGTGGCCCTCTGGGAGAACCCATCCCTCCCCAGTGGGGATTCCCCTGCTCCCTGAGGAAACTCTCCTGTCCTGAAGGCTGACCTGGAGTCCCCACATGGCCTGGCTCATGGCCCATGACACCAGCAGGTTCCACTCACCTATGCTGGTCAACGCCAGGGGGCCCACCTGGGCAGAAGAAGTCACTCAAAGACACAAGGGAGAAAGGGGACTCAGGGAGGAGCCGCCAACCTGCCCCGCCCCTGGGGAATGGGACTCTGACACCAAGCCCACACAGGGAGCCTGGGCTGCCTCACGGAGGAGTGCAGAGACAGGGCTGGGGGCTGCCAAGATGCCCTTCAGGGCCTTGAGGTCTCCAGCCCAAAATACGGTGGCCCTGCCACGGACCTCAGGATCCCAGCGTCCTCTTCCAAAATTCTCCCCTAGGTTGGGCCTCAGCGTAATCCTATTGAGCATGATTTTTAAGTCATCACCTCTCTTCAGAAAATATAAGGTTCTCATCATCGACCCAACCGAGGGCAACCCCCTCCCATGCATGCATCCAGTGGGACCCAGATGGGCTCACCACAGCTCAGGGCAGGAGACCAGGGCTCCAGGAAGGGCCTGAGCTTCAGTGCATCAGGAGCTGGGGACCTGGCTGACAGAAACTGGCCCAGCTCCATTGGGCCCAATGCAAGTCTTCCTCCGAGCTCACCATCTAGGACAGGAGGACACATGTCCAAGTAAGGCCTCATGCTTCCATGTGGGGAAGGTGGGTAGGGGATATCCATGTGATAGGATCCATGCAGAGCACTGATGTGTCACGGAGACAAACATGGACCACCCTTGGCCCTCCCAGCCACCCAACCCTGGAAGGACAGTGCAGGTGGGTCACTGGTCTCACACAAAAAGTCCAGGCTGCGCCCTACTGCAGGTCCTGAGAGCACCTCCACTGCCCTGCTGGCTGCCCTGCACAATGCCAGGTCTACCCTGAGACCACTGGGCACAGGCCAGGGCCACCAACCAGCACATGGCCAACCAGAAGGCTTGCCCGGATGCCACGCGCTGCTGCAGACCTGGCAGTCGAGAGCCTGCTCCTGCCCCTCTCCAAGCACACACTGGAAATCACAGCCTGGGGCTCCAGGGCTATGTACTTTCTTTGATACATCCCCATCCACACCCTGCACACCTCCCAAACACAGAGCTAGGCCACACTCAACCAATCTGGGGACACATGTTATGCTCCTCTTTCCTTGGACCCAAGATGCTGCCACTCTGGAGGTGACCTCATGTCTCAGAAGCAGCCTGGGTGGCAAATTCCCAGGACAGGTTGCTCAATAGCAGGACTTCCCACCTTAGGAAGCCACCACTCCCGCCATTCAACCTCCGGGAAGGGGTGACCCCAAGCATGACACAAGCTGTCCCCATGGCCCAAAGCCCATGAGTTCTAGGGCCAGCCTGCAGCACCACAGGCACTAGCCAGAGCTCAGCCTTGACCTAGCCCCAGGGAAACAGCACCACCCACCGCCAGACTCAAGGAGGTGCCATTGGGATGGCCCATTACTCAACAGGGTCAGTCCCATTCAGGGCCATGGGTGTCCTTGAAACTCCGCGGCATGACCCCCACGGACCCAATCGCCTACCCCTCTCTGCAGACCCCCTGTAGTGCCCCGGAGCCCCTGTGGCCACCTCATGTGTCCTGGGCAGTCCTCAAGGCCTGACCGATGCACCAAGTCTCAGATGGGAGCTGCCTGCTTGGTGCTGAATGAACCCTTTCCTGCCTGGACCACCACCACCCCTGCTGGGCTTCAGGACAGGCGTCCTTCTTGGGTCCGATTCCCAAGGAAGTGGCCCTTCTGGATAACTCATCCCCGGTGGGAATTCAGGTCCACACTTTTAGGAAACTCTCATGGCCCGAAGGCAGATGCATGGTGACCCCACTTTGCCTCGCTCATGACCCATGACCCAAAGAGGATCCACTCACCTATGCCGGTCAATGTCAGAGGGCCCAAATGGGCGGAAGAGCTCACTGAAAGAGACAGGGGAGAATGGGGGCTCTGGAAGGAGGTGCCCACATGCCACGCCTGGGAACCAGAGCACCAACACCAAGGCCACACAGGGAGCCAGGGCTGCCTCATGGAGGAGCACAGAGACAGGTTGGACCCCCTCAAGATGCCCTTTAGGGCCTCGAGTTCTCTAGTCCAAAATACAGTGGCCCTGCCTGTGAACTTGGGATCCCAGCATCCTCTTCCAGAATTTTAACCTAGACTGGGCCTCAGCATAATCCTATTGAGCATGATTTTTAAGTCATCACCTCTCTTCAGGACAATATAAGGTTCTCATCATCGACCCAACCTAGGGCACATCCCTCCCTGTGCATGCATCCAGTGGGACCTGGTTGTGCTCACCACACCTCAGTGCAGGAGACCAGGGCGTTGGGAAGGGCCTGAGCTTCAGCACACTGGGGGCTGGGGACCTGGCTGACGCACACTGGCCCAGAGCCACGGGGTCTTCCTCTGGGCTCACCATCTGGTGAGATAGCTGGAAGATGGGTCCAAACAGGGCCTCACCCTGCAATGCGGGGAAGAGAGTGGGGAGTGCCGGCTCACACATGCTCTCCCTGCATGTACCCATGTGATGGGATCCAGGAGGAACGCTGACCTGTCATGGACGTGGGGGACCCTTGGCCCTCCCTGCTACCGAACCCTGGAAGGAAAGGGCAGGTGGTTCACTGCGCTCAAGCAAGAACACCTGGGCTGTGCCCTACTGCAGGCCCCAAGAGCACCTCCACTGCCCATGCCGGCTTCCCCTGAACAACCCCAGGGCCGCACCAGGACCCCTCGGCACAGGCCAGGGCTATCAACCAGCTCATAAGCAATCAAGGAGGCTAGCCCAGATGCCACAAACTGCTGCAGACCTGGCAGTCACATAGCCTGCGCCTGGGCATGGAGAGTGTCCACTCAGACGCCCTCTATAAGCACGCCGGAAATTGCATCCTGGGGCCCAGGGCCACGCGCCTTCTCTGGTGGGTCCCCATTCATGCACCACATACCACCCAAACACTCTCCCCATTCTCAGCCAATCAGGGGACACATGATGCCCTCTCCTTTCCCTGGGCTCAAGATCCCGCCTCTCTGGAGGTGAACCCATGGCTTAGAAGCAGCCTGAACAGCAAATTGGTGGGACAGGACCCTCAACAGTGGGCCTTTCACCACAGGATGCCTGCCACCCTTCCGGCCACTCCACCTCTGGGTAGGATGACCTCCAGAGGCAGGCGGGCTGCACCCTTGGCCCAAAGTCCACAATTCCCAGGGCCAACCACCAGGTGCGGGCCAGAGCTCAGCCTTGACCCAACCCCATTGAAGCCACGCTGCCCACACCAGGCTCAAGGAGGCACCAGTGGGACAGCCCATTGCACAACAGGGTTGGTCCCATCAGGGCAATGGGTGGGGCCTGACCCTTGAATCTTGGCCTGAATCCATAAACTCGATCACCCACACCCTGCTGCCATCCCGCCACCCCCAGCAAGCCTCAAGGATGGAGAGTTCCTGCTTAACACCTGTGGCCTCCGGAGATCCTGTGGAACCCCTCATGTTGCCTGGGAGTCCTCAAGCCCTCACCCGTGCACCGAGTCTCAGCTAGAAGCTGTACTGCATTGGGTTGAATGGACCCTTTCCTGCCTGGACCATCGTCACCCCTGCACAGCTTCAGGGAAGGCATCCTTCTTGGAACCAGTTTCTATGGAAGACATCCTCCTGGAGAAACCATCCCTCCCAGTGGGGATTCAGGTCAGCTCCCTGAGGAAACCCACATGGCCTAAAGGTGACCTCCGGCAACCGTACGCACCCTGGCTCATGGACCAGGACACCAGCAGGATGTACTCACCTATGCCCATCAAGACCAGGGGGACCACCTGGGCAGAAGAGCTCACTGAAAGACACAGGGGAGAACGGGTACTCAGGGACAAGCTGACAGTATGTCCCATCCCCGGAGAACGGGAAGGCCAACACCAAGTCCACACAGCGAATGTGGGTTGCCTCACGGACAAGCACAGAGACAGGTTTCAGCAGCCCTCAGACACCCTTCAGGGCCTCAAGGACTCCAGCCAAAAATTCAGTGGCCTGGCTGGGGATCTCAGGATCCGAGAATCCTCTTCCAAAATTCTAACCTAGGCCGGGCCTCAGCATAATCCTTTTGAGAATGATTTTTAAGTCATCACCTCTCTTCAGGACAATATAAGGTTCTCATCATCGACCCAACCCAGGGCACCTCCCTACCCGCCCATGCATCCAGCAGTCCCCGAATGGACTCACCAAGCTCAGTGCAGGAGACTAGGGCAACAGGAAGGGCCTGAGCTTCAGCACACCAGGGGCTGGATGCCAGGCTGACGAACACTGACGTGGGGCCAGTGGCCCCAATACAAGTCCTCCTCCAGGGCCACCATCTGGGGGGACAGGAGGAGGACATATGTCCAACCAGGGGCTCATGTGGGAAAGGGAGCAAGGGGTGCCTGTTCACACATGCTCTCCCTCCATGGACCCATGTGATGGGATCCAGGTGAAACAGTGACGGTAATGGACCCAGGGAAACCTTGGCTCTCCCCACCACCGAACCCTACAAGCCTGACCACATGGGCCTGATTGCCCACCTCTCTCCGGGGATGGAGAGCCCCACTCATAATCCCCGTGGCACCCTGGAGCCCTTGTTGCCCCACTCATGTGGCCCGGGCAGTCCTCAAGGTCAGACGCAGGCACGGAATGTCAGCAGGGAGCTGCCCCACATGAGACTGAAGGAAAACTTTCCAGCCTGGACCACCATCACCCCTGCAGGGCTTCAGCAAAGGTGTCCTCCTGGGGTCAGATTCCCTAGGAAGCCACCCTCCTGGAGGACTAACACATCCCTCCACGGTGGGGATTCAGGTTGGCTCCCCGAGGAAATCTTCCTGTCCTGAAGGCTGACCCTCAGTCACTCCATGTGGTCTGGCTCATGGCCCATGAACCCAGCAGGATCCACTTACCTATGCTGGTCAATGCCAGGGGACCCGCCTGAGCAGAAGAGCTCACTGAAAGAATCAAGGGGAGAACAATGGTTCAGAAGGAACCAGCAACCTGAACCGCCCCCAGAAAACCAGAGTGCCAACACCAAGCCCACACAGAGAGCCTGGGCTGCCTCACAGAGGAGTATAGGGACAGGGCTGGGCCCCCCAGATACCCTTCAGGGCCTCCAGGTCTCCAGCCAAAAATAAAGGGGCTCTCCTGGGGACCTCAGGATCCCAGCATCCTCTTCCAAAATTCTAACCTAGGCCGGGCCTCAGCATAATCCTTTTGAGAATGATTTTTAAGTCATCACCTCTCTTCAGGACAATATAAGGTTCTCATCATCGACCCAACCCAGGGCACCTCCCTCCCGACCCATGCATCCAGCAGTATCCGAATGGGCTCACCAAGCTCAGTGCAGGAGACTAGGGCACAAGGAAGGGCCTGAGCTTCAGCACACCAGGGGCTGGACGCCGGGATGACGGACACTGATGTGGGGCCAGCGGCCCCAGTACAAGTCCTCCTCCAGCGCTGCCATCTGGGGGTACAGGAGGAGGACATATGTCCAACCAGGGGCTCATGCCTCCAGGTGGGGAAGAGGGTGGGGGTGGGGGGTACCAGTTCACTCATGCTCTCCCTCCGTGGACCCATTTGATGGGACCCATGGGAAACACTCACGTGTCACAGACACAGGGGACCCTTGGCCCTTCCTGCTAGGGAACCCCGTGAGGACACGGCAGGCGGGTCACTACACTCGGGCAAGACACCCAGGCTGCACCCTAAAGCAGGCCTCCAGAGCAGCTCCACTGCCCACACTGGCTGTCCCACACAACCCCAGGGCTGCACCTGAACCCCTGGGAAAGGGCTAGGGCCACCAGCAGCTCACGGACAACGAAGTAGACAGGCCCAGACACCACATGCCGCCGCTAACCTGACAGTTGCACAGCCTGACCCTGGGCATGGAGGAGGCCCAGGACCGTCTCCAAGCATGCACTGAGAAATTGCAGCCTGGGGCCCGAGGGCCATGTGTTGTCTCTGGTGGGTCCCTATCCATGCCCCACACAACACCTCCCACACAGAGAGCAGGGCCACACTCAGCTAATTGAGGGAAACACAGTGTCCTCTCCTTTCCTTGGGCCCAAGACCCTGCCACTCTGGAGGCGACCCCATGGCTCAGAAGCAGCCTGGATGGCAAATTTCCAGGACAGTTCCTTCCACAGCGGGCCTTCCCACTTCAGGAGGATGCCCTTCCACCACTCGCCCACAAGGAAGAGGTGACCCCCAGCGGGACACAGGCTGCACCCTGGGCCCACAGCCCACTAATCTCAGGGCCGGACTGCACCACCATCAGGTGCTGGCCGGAGCTAGTCTCGACCCAACCTCAGGCAAACAGCGGCACCCCACACCAGGTTCAAAGTGGCACCCCTGGGATGCCCCAATGCTTAACAGGGTCGGTTCCATTCAGGGCCATGGGTGTGGTGTGATCTTTGAATCTGGGGCCCGATCCCATGGGCCGAATCGCCCACCACTCTTTGGGGTCGCAGAGACCCTGCGAAGCCCCTGTTGTGCCCCAGAGCCCTTGTGGCCCCCCTCATGTGGCCTGGTCATCCTAGAGGCCTAACCCAACCACCGAGTCTCTGCTGGGCGCTGCCCTGCCTGGGGCTGAGGGAACCCTTTCTTGCCTGCACAACTGGCACCCCTGCAGGGCTTCAGAGAAGGCATCTTACTTGGCTCAGATTCACAAGGAAGCTGCCCTCCTGGAGAACCCATCCCAGGTGGGGATTCAGGTCGCCTCCTGAGGAAACCCTCATGGCTCAAATGCTGACCCTCGGCAACCCTATGGTCTGGCTCATGGCCCATGACCCAAGCAGGAGACACTCACCTATGCCGATCAATGCCAGGGAGTCTTCTGGGCAAAAGAGCTCACTGAAAGACACAGGGGAGAACAGGGGCTCAGGAAGGAGCAGCCAAAATGCCCCGCCTCCAGGAAAGCAGAGTGCCGACACCAAGCCTACAGAGGGAGCTTGGGCTGCCTCACAGGGGAGTGAAGAGACAGGGTTGGGCCCCCACGAGGTGCCCTGCAGGGCTTCCAGGTCTCCACCCCAAATTATAGTGGCCCTGCCAGGGACCTCATTGATTTCCAGTGTCCTCTTCCAAAATTGTCACCTAGGGTGGGCCTCAGCATAATCCTTTTGAGAATGATTTTTAAGTCATCACCTCTCTTCAGGACAATATAAGGTTCTCATCATCGACCCAACCCAGGGCACCTCCCTCCCCACCCATGCATCCAGCAGTACCCAAATGGGCTCACCAAGCTCAGTGCAGGAAACTAGGGCACCAGGAAGGGCATGAGCTTCAGCACACCAGGGGCTGGACACCAGGCTGACGGATACTGGCCCAGGGCCATTGGGCCCAACACAATTCTTCCTCCCATTTCACAGTCTAGGGGAACAGGAGTAGGACAGCTGTCCAAACACAACCTCACTCCTGTATGTGAGCAGAAGGTGGGGTGTGGCAGTTCAAGTATGCTTGCCCTCCATGGACCCATGTGATCGTTTGCATGCGGAACACTGGCCCATCACGGACACAGGGTACCCAGTGCTCTCTTAGCCACAGAACTCTGGAAGGACAGGGCAGGCTGGTCACTGGGCCCCTGCTGGCTCCCCCACACGACCCGGGGTCACCCCAGAACTACTAGGCACAGGCCAGGGCCACCAACTCATTCGCAGGAAACCAAGGAAGCTGGCCTAGATGTCAGATGCCGCTACAGCCCTGGCAGTCACATAGCCTATCTCTGTGCATAGTGGGTGCCCACCCAGATGCCCTATCCCAGCACATAATGGAAATTGCAACCTGGGGTCTAAGGGCCACAGTTTTCTCTGGTGGGTCTGCATCCATGCCCCACACACCTCCTGAACACAGAGCAGGGCTACAATCAGCTAATCAGGGGACACACGGCATCTTCTGTCCCTGGGCCCAAGATCCGCTACCCTGGAGGTGACCCCATGACTCAGAAGCAGCATGGGCAGCATATTCCAAAGACAAGACCCTAGATAGCAGGCCTTGCAACCTCAGGAGGCAACCATTCCCGACACTTGCCCCTTGGGAAGGGATGACTTCCAGCCACGGGGAAGGGGGGACTTCCAGGGGGAGCAGGCTGACCCCTTGGCCCAAAGCCAACGAGTCCATGGCCAGACCTCAGCACCACCAGGCACCGGCCAGAGTCCAGCCTTGACTCAAACATAGGGAAACAGCACCGCCCCGCTCAAGGCTCGATGAGGCCCATAGAATGGCTCATTACTCAACAGGGTCTGTCCCATTCAGGGCCATACATTGGGCGCAATCCTTAAATCTCCACAGCTCGACTCCATGGGCCCTATCATCCATCTTTCTCCATGAATGGAGAGCTCCTATGTGACCCCCATGGTGTCCCAGAGTCCCTGTTGGCCCCTCAGGTGGCCTGGGCAGTCCTCAAGGCCAGACTCGAACACCTAGACTCAGCTGGGAGCTACTATGTGTGAGACTGAAGGAACCCTCTCCTGCCTGGACCACCGTCATCACTGCAGGGCTCCAGGGAAGGCGTCCCCCTTGGGTCCGATTTCTCAGGAAGCCACCCTTCTGGAGGACCAACCTATCCCTCCCTGGTGGGGATTCAGGTTCGCTCCCTGAGGAAACTCTCCTGTCCCGAAGGCTGACCCTCAGTGACTCTACCCAGCCTGGCCCATGGCCCACGATGGCAGCAGGATCCACTCACCTATGCTGGTGAATGCCAGGGTGCCCCGCCTGGGTTGAAGAGCTCACTGAAAGACACAAGTGGAGCAGGGGGGCTCAAGGAGGAGCTGTCCACGTGCCCCGCCCCAAGGAACTGGACCACCAACAGCAAGCCCACACAGGGAGGCTGGGCTGCCTCACGGAGGAGCACAGAGACAGGGCTGGGCCCCCCAGATGCCCTTCAGGGCCTCCAGGGCTCCAGCCCAAAATAAATAAATAAAGTCCCCTACTGGGACTTTGGGATCCCAGCATCCTCTTCCAAATTCTCACCTAGGCTGGGCCTCAGCGTAATCCTATTGAGCATGATTTTTAAGTCATCACCTCTCTTCAGGATAATATAAGGTTCTCATCATTGACCCAAACCAGGGCACCCCCCGCCCCATGCATGCATCCAGAGGGACCCAGATGTGCTCACCTCAGCTCAGTGTAGGAAACCAGGACAACAGGTAGGTCCCGCGCTTCAGCACACCAGGGTGGGCACCTGGCTGATGGCCACTGGCCTGGGTCCATTGGGCCCAATGCAAGTCTTCCTCCAGGCTCACCATCTGGGGGGACAGGAAGAGGACATGTGTCCAAACAGAGCCTCATACTTCCATGTGGGGAAGGGGTAAGGGATACCCATGTGATGGGGTCCATGAGGAACACTGACCTAGCATGGACGTGGGGCACGTTTGGCCTTCCCTGTCAGCAAACCCTGAAAACACAGGGTAGGTGGGTCACTGGGTTCAGGCAAGAAACCTGGGCTGCACCCTACTGAAGGCCTTGATAGCATCTCCACTGTCCATGCTGGCTGCCCCACACGATCCCAGAGCCACTCCGGGACCACAGGGCACAGGCCAGGGGAACCAATCAGCTCATGGCCAACCAAGGAGAATGGCCCAGAAGCCATGCGCCACTGTGGAGATGGAAGTTGCATAGCCTGCCCCAGGGCGTGGTGGGCACCTGCCTAGGTGCTATTTGCAAGCCACACCTGAAATCGAAGCCTGGAGTCCCCGGGCCACGTGCTTTCTCTGGCGGGTCCCTATCCATGCCCCGCACATGTCCCAAACACAGAGTCAGGCCACCCTTGGCCAACCGTGGGCTACATAGTGTCCTCTTTTTTCTTAGCCCCAAGACTCCGCCACCCTGGAGGTGACCCCATGGCTCAGAAGCAGCCTGGGTGGTAAATTCCTGGGACAGGACCATCAACAGCAGGTCTTTCCACCTCAGGATCCAGCCAATCACCAATAGGCAAGGGGTGACCTCCAGGAGGACAGGGCTGCCGAATGGACCAACGCCCACAAGAACCTGGGCTGGCCTGCAGCATCACCAGGCGCTGGCCAGAGCTCAGCCTTGACCCAAACCCAGGGAAACAGCCCCGCCCCCCACCAGGCTCAAAGAGGCCCCACTGAGATGGCCCATTACTCAACATGGTCGGTCGCATTTAGGGCCACGGTTGGGATGCGATCCTTGAATCTCTGCAGCCTGACCCCATGGGCTCATTCGAGCACCCCACTCCAGGGAAAGAGAGCTCTCGTGTGACCCCTGTGGCACCCCAGAGCCCCTGTGGCCTCCTTCATGTGGCCTGGGCCATCCTTGAGGCCAGACTCGCACACTGAGTCTCAGCTGGGAGCTGCCTTCAATGGGACTGAGGGGACCCTTTCCTGTCTGGACAACTGTTACCCCTGTAAGGCTTCAGGGAAGGCATTGTCTTGGGTCTGATTCCCAAGGAAGCCAGCCTCCTGGAGAAACTGTCCCAACCTGGTGGGGATTCAGGTCGGCTCCCTGAGGAAACCCACGTGGCCTAAAGAGTGACCTTTGGTGACCCTACGCAGCTTGGCTCATGGCCCATGATGCCAGCAGAATCCACTCACCTATGCGCATCAGTGTCAGGGAGCCCACCTGGGCTGAAGAGCTCACTGAAAGACAGAAGACACAAAGGGAGAACAGGGGCTCAGGAAGGACCCAGCAAGCTGCCCTACCACAGGGAACCAGAGTGCAGACACCAAGCCCACAAAGGGAGCCTGGGCTGCCTCACATGTAATGTGGAGACAGGGTAGAGTCCCCCCCGAGATGCTGTTCAGGGCCCGGAGGTCTCCAGTCCAAAATACAGTGCCCATGACAGGGACCTAGAAATCCCAGCATCCTCTTCCAAAATTCTCACCTAGGCTGGGCCTCAGCGTAATCCTATTGAGCATGATTTTTAAGTCATCACCTCTCTTCAGAACATATAAGGTTCTCATCATCGACCCAACCCAGGACACCACCACCCCACAACGCATGCATGCATCCATTGGGACC
Organism: Homo sapiens; assembly: GCF_000001405.40. Lineage (NCBI taxonomy): Eukaryota > Metazoa > Chordata > Mammalia > Primates > Hominidae > Homo > Homo sapiens. The sequence continues at coordinate 25,197,526 of NC_000015.10, read as the reverse complement.
CAGATGTGCTCACCACAGCTCAGTGCAGGAGACCAGGGCATCAGGAAGGGCCTGAGCTTCAGATTACCAGGGGCTAAGCACCTGGCTGAGGGACATTTTCCCGGGGCCAGTGGGCCCAGTGCAATTCTTCCTCCAGGGTCAGCATCTGGAGGGGTGGGGGACAGGTGTCCAAACAGGGCCTTGTGCCTCCATAGGGCAAAGTGGGTAGGGTGTGCTGGCTCACACATGCTCTCCCACCATGGACTCATGAGATGAGATCCATGTAAAACAGTGACAGTCATGCACACGAGGAACCCTTGGCCCTCCCTGCCACTCAACCCTGGAAGGATAGGGCAGGTGGGTCATGGGATTCCAGCAAGACGCCCAGGCTGCACCCTACTGTAGGACCCTGGAGCACCTCGACTGCCCACGCCAGCTCCCCCACATGACTCTGGGCTGCAATGAGACCACTAGGCAGGGCCTGGGCCACCAACCAGCTCATGGCAAACCAAGGAGGCTGGCCCGGACCCCATGTGCCACTGCAGACCTGGCAGTCACATAACCCGCCACTGGGCATGGAATGCACCCATCCATGCACCCTTTATAAGCTCACACCAGAAATACCATCCTGGGGCCCCAGGGCCATGTGCCTTCTCTGGTGGGTCCCCATTCAGGCACCGCATACCTCCCAAACACAGAGCTGGGCCATGCTTGGCCAATCAGGGGCCACATAATGTCCTCTCCTTCCCTTTGACAAAGACCCTGTCACCCTGGAGGTGACCCCATGACTCAGAACCAGGCTGCGCAGCAAATTGCCAGCACAGGATCCTTGACCGTGGGTCTCCCACCACAGGATGCCACCCTTCCGGCCACTCCACTTCAGGTAGGAGTGACCTCAAGCGGGACGCAGGCTGCACCCTTGGCCCAAAGCCCATGATTCCCAGGGCCAACCACAAGGTGACAGGCAGAGCTCAGCCTTGACCCAACCCCACTGAGGCAGCGCCACCCCCACCAGGCTCAAGGTGCCACCACCAGGATGGCCATTGCTCAACAGGGTCGGTCCCATTCAGGGCCATGGGTGGTTCCCGACCCTTGAATGTTCACGGCCTGACTCCGTAAGCCAGATCACCCACACCCAACCCCTCTGCAAGCCTCGGGGACAGAGGGCTCCCGTATAAGACTCCTGGCCACGGAGACCCTGTGGATGCCCTCATGTGGCCTGGGCAGTCCTCCAGGACTCACCTGTGCACCAAGTCTCAGCTAGGATCTGCACTGCGTTGGGTTGAAAGAACCCTCTCTTGCCTGGACCTCTGTTACCCCTGCAAGGTTTCAGGGAAGGTGTCCTTCTTGGGACTGATTTCCAAGGAAACCTGCTTCCCAGAGAAACCATTCATCCCTGGTGGGGATTCAGGTCGGCTCCCTTAGGAAACCCTCATGACCCGAAAGGTGACGCTCAGGGACCCCACCCCGGCCTGGCTCATGGCCCATGACCCCAGCAGGATCCATTCACCCGAGACTCCCGCCACCACAGAGGTGACGCCATAGCTCAGAAGCAGCCAAGACAGCAAATTTCTGAGACAGGGTCTTCCACAGCAGGCCTTCCCACCTCAGGAGGACATGCTTCCCGCCACCTGTCCACAATGAAGGGGTGACCCCAATGGGACATGGGCTGTACCCATGTCCCAAAGCCCACCAATCCCAGGGCAGGATTGCACCACCATCAGGTGCCAGCCAGAGCTAGTCTTGACTCACCCTTAGGAAACAGTGCCACCCCACACTTGGCTCAAAGAGGCACCACTGGGATGGCCCATAACTTATTAGGGTTTGTCCCATTCAGGGCCATGGGTTTGGTGCAATCCTTGAAAATCCACAGCCTGACCTCATGGGCTGAATTACACACACCTCTCCAAGGTTGAAGAGCCCCTGCAAGAACCCCTTGGTGCCCCAGAGCCCTTGTGGCCCCTCTCATGTGGCCTGGCCATCCTAAAGGCCTGACCAGAGCACTGAGTCTTAGTGGGGCACTGCCCTGCATGAGGTTGAGAAAACCCTTTACTGCCTGGACCACTGCAACCCCTGCAGGGCTTCAGGGAAGGTATCTTCCTTGGGTATGATTTCCAAGGAAGCCACTCTTCTGGAGAACCCATCCCAGGTGGGCATTCGGGTCAGCTCCTGAGGAAACTCTTATGGCTGAAGGCTGATGCTTGGTGACCCCACACAGCCTGGCTCATGGGCCATTACCCCAGCAGGATCCACTCACCTATGCTGGTCACTGCCAGGGAGGCTGCTGGGCAGAAGAGCTCACTGAAAGACACAGGGGAGATTGGGGGCTCAGAAAGGAGATGCCAAAATGCCCCACCCCCGGGTAACAGGAGTGCCAACACCAAGCCCACATAGTGAGCCTGGGCTGCCTCACGGAGGAGCGCAGAGACAGGGTTGGGCACCCTCCAGATGCCCTCAGAGCCTCCAGGTCTCCAGCCCAAAATACAGTGGTTCTGCCAGGGAACTCATAATTCCCAGCATCCTCTTCCAAAATTCTCACCTAGGCTGGGCCTCAGCGTAATCCTATTGAGCATGATTTTTAAGTCATCACCTCTCTTCAGACAATATAAGTTTCTCATCATCGACCCAACCCAGGGCAACCCCCTCCCCGCACAGGCATCACAGGAACCCAGATGGGCTCACCACAGCTCAGTGCAGGAGACCAGTGCAGGAGGGCTTGGGTAAGATGCCCTGGCTGTGCCATACAGCAGGCCCCTGGAGCACCTCCACTGCTCACACTGGCCCCACTGCATGACTCTGGACCACAACGGAAACCCTGGGCAGGGTCCAAGGTCACCAACCAGCTCACAGCCAACCAAGGATGCTGGCCTGGATGCCAGGCACTGCTGCCAATCTGGCAGTCCCACAACCTGCCCCTGTTTGGAGAGAATGCCTGCCCAGGATCCTTCTCCAAGCACGCACCAGAAATCACAGCCTGGGCCCAGGGCCACGTGCTTTGTCTGGTGGGTCCTCATCCACACCCCAGACCCCTGTCAAACACAGAGCTGGGCCACACTGAGCCAATCAGGAGCCACATGGTGCCCTCTCCTTTCCTTGGGCCCAAGACCCCGCCACCCGGAAGTGACCACATGGCTCAGAAGCAGCCTGGGCAACAAATTCCCAGGACAGGTCCCTCATGAGGGGGCTTTCCAACCTCGGGACGTGACCCTTCCCGCCACTGACCTCGAAGAAGGGGTGACCCCCAGCAGCAGGCGGGCTGCACCCTTGACCCAAAGCCCATGAGTCCCAGGGTTGGCCTGCGGCACCACAAAGCACCAGTCATGGCTCAGCCTTGACCCAACCAGTTGAAGCTGAGCCGCCACCCACCAGGCTCAAAAAGGAGCTACTGGTGTGACCCATTGCTCAACAGGGTCATTTGCATTCAGGGCCATGAGCAGGGCACGATCCTTGAATCTCCGCAGCCCCACCCCATGGGCCCGATCGCCCACCCATTTCCAGGGACGGAGAGCCCCTGAGTGATCCCTGTGGTATCCGGGAGCCTCTGTTGTCCCACTCATTTGTCCTGGGCAGTCCTCAAGGACAGACTCTCACACCAAGTGTCAGCTGGGAGCTGCCCTGCATGAGACTGAAGGAACCCTTTCCAGACTGGACCACCGTCACCCCTGCAGGGCTTCAGGGAAGGCATCGTCTTGGGTCTGATTTCCCAGGAAGCTGCCCTCCTAGAGGACAAACCCATCTCTCCACAGGTGAGGATTAAGGTCGACTCCCTGAGGAAACCCTCCTGTCCTGAAGGCTAATACTTGGTGACCCCATGCAGCCTGGTGCACGGCCCACGACCCCAGCAGGATCCACTCACCGATGCTAGTCAATGCCAGGGGGCCCACCTGTGGGGAAGAGCTCACTGAAAGACACAGGAGAGAATGGGGGTCAGGGAGGAGCTACCCATGTGCCCCACCCCCAGGGAACAGGAAGGCCATCACCAAGCCTACATGGGGAGCCAGGGCTGCCTCATGGAGGAGCACAGAGACAGGGTTGGGCCTCCCAGATGCCCTTCAGGGCTTCCAGGTCTCCAGCCCAAAATACAATTGGCTCTACCAGGGGACCTCAGGATCCCAGCATCCTCTTCCAAAACTCTCACCTAGACTGGGCCTCAGCGTAATCCTATTGAGCATGATTTTTAAGTCATCACCTCTCTTCAGGATAATATAAGGTTCTCATCATCGACCCAACTCAGGGCACGTCCTTCCCGGCGCATGCATCCAGCAGGACCCGGATGTGCTCATCACAGCTCGGTGCAGCACACCAGGGTGCCAGGAAGTGCCCAATCTTCAGTGCACCAGGGGCTCAGCACCTAGCTGATGGATGCTGGCCTGGGACCATTGGGACCAATTCAAGTCTTCCTCCAGGCTCAATACCTGGGGAAACAGGAGTAGGACAGGCGTCCACACACAACCTCACCCCTCCATGGAGGCAGAAGGTGGGGTGTGGCGGCTCAGGGATGCTTGCCGTCCATGGATCCACGTGATGGGATCCATGCAGAACACTGGCTTGTCACAGACACAAGTCACCCTGTACTCTCAACCACTGAACCCTGGAAGGACAGGGCAGGTGGGTCACTGGGCTCGGGCAAGAAGACCTGGCTGTGTCCTACCGCAGGTCCCACGAGCACCTCCACTGCCCATGCCGGCTCCCTCGCATGACCCCAGGATTACGACAGAGCTACTGGGCACAGGCCAGGGCCACCAACCAGTTCATGGCCAACCAAGGAGGCTGGCCCGGATGCCAGATGCCGCTGCAAAGCTGGCAGTCACATAGCCTGCCCCGGTGCATTGTGGGCACCCATCCAGGTGCCCTATCCCAGCATGAACTGGAAATCACAACCTGGAGTCCCAGGGCCACATGCTTTCTCTGGTGGGTCCCCATCCATGCCCCACACACCTCCTAAACACAGAGCAGGGCCACACTTGGCTAATCAGGGGACACATGGTGACTTCTTTCCTTTGGCCCAATACCCACTATCCTGGAGGTGACCCTATGGCTCAGAAGCAGTGTGGGTGGCATATTCCAGGGACAAGACCCTCAACAGCAGGCCTTCCACCTCAGGAGGCCACCCTTCCTCACACTTGCCAATGGGGAAGGGGTGACTTCCAGCCACAGGGAAGGGGAGATCCCCAGCAGGACGTGGACTGATCCCTTGGCCTAAAGCTAACAAGTCCGTGGCTGGACTGTAGCACCACCAGGCACTGGCCAGAGCTCAGCCTTGACCAAAACCTAGGGAAACAGCAACACCCCATCCAGGCCCAAAGAGGTACCATAGGATGGATGGCACATTGCTCAACAGGGTCGGTCCCATTCAGGGCTATAAATCCTGTGTGATCCTTAAATATCTGCAGCTCAACTCCATGGGCTCTATGCCCACCTTTCTCCAGGGATGGGGAGCTCTTGTGTGACCCCATGGCATCCCAAAGCCCCTGTGGCCCCCCTCACGTGGCCTGGTCAGTCCTCGAGGCCAGACCAGTGCACTGAGACTCAGCTGGGAGCTGCCCTGCATGAGATTGAAGGAAACTTTTCCTGCCTGGACCACCGTCATCACTGCAGGGCTGCAGGAAAGATATCATCCTTGGGTCCGATTCCCAAAAAAACAGCCCTCTTGGAGGACCAACCTACCCTTCCATGGTGTGGATTCAGGTCAGCTGCCTGTGGAAACCCTCCTGTCTCAAAGGCTGACTCTTGGTGACCCCACACTGCATGACTGATGACCCATGACCCCAGCGGGACCACTCACCTATGCTGGTCAATGCCAGGGGGTTGCACCTGGGTGGAAGAGCTCACTGAAAGACACAAGGGGAGAATGGGGGTTCACAGAACCGGAGCACTAACACCAAGCCCACACAGGGAGCCTGGGCTGCCTCACAGAGGAGCACGGAGAAGGGGTTGGGCCCCCACGAGATGCTGCTGTTCAGGGCCTCAAGGTCTCCAGCCCAAAATACATTGGTCATTCCAGGGAACTCCGGATCCCAGCACCTTCTTCCAAAATTCTCACCTAGGCTGGGCCTCAGCGTAATCCTATTGAGCATGATTTTTAAGTCATCACCTCTCTTCAGGACAATATAAGGTTCTCATCATCGACCCAACCCAGGGCATCACCCTCCACTGCCCCGCAACCCATGCATCCAGTGGGACCCAGATAGGCTCACCGCAGCTCAGTGCAGCAGACCAGGGTGCCAGGAAGGGCCTGAGCTTCAGCTCACCAGGGGCTGAGCCCAGAGCCAGTGGGCCCAACGCAAGTCTTCCTCTGGGGTCACCATCTGGAAGGGTGGGGGACAGGTGTCCAAACAAGGCCTCATGCCTCCATGCAGGAAAGTGGGCAGGGGGTGCTGGCTCACACATGCTCTCCCTCCATGGACTCATGAGATGAGATCCATGTAAAACAGTGATGGTCATTTACGCGAGGAACCCTTGGCCACTGAACCCTGGAAGGACGGGGCAGGAGGGTCACAGGGTTCGAGCAAAACGCCCAGGCTGCACCCTAGTGCAGGACCCTGGAGCACCTCCACTGCCCACGCCAAATCCCCTGCTCGAATCTGGGCTGCATCAGGACCACTGGGCAGGGCCATGGGCACCAAATAGCTCACAGCAAATCAAGGAGGCTGGCCTGGATGCCACGTACCACTGCAGACCTGGCAGTCACATGGCCTGCCCCTGGGCATTAAATGAACCCATCCAGGCACCCTTTATAAGCACACACCAGAAATCACATCCTGGGGCCCCAGGGCCACATGCCTTCTCTGGTGGGTCCCCATTCATGCACCGCACACCTCCTAAACACAGAGCTGGGCCACGCTCGGCCAATCAGAGGACACATGATGTCCTCAACTTTCCTTTGGCTCAAGACCCTGCTACCCTGGAGGTGACTCCATGGCTCAGAAGTAGCCTGGGCATCAAATTGCCAGGACAGGACCCTTAACGGTGGGTCTTCCACCACAGGATGCCACCCTTCCATCCACTCCACTTCCGGTAGGGATGAACTCCAGTGGGACACAGGCTGAACCCTTGGCCCAAAGCCCACGATTCCCAGGGCCAAACACCAGGTGCTGGCCAGAGCTCAGCCTTGATCCAAGCCCACTGAGGCCGCACTGCCCCCACCAGGCTCAAGGAGGCACCAGTGGGATAGCCCATTGCTCAACAGGGTCGGTCCCATCAGGGCCATGGGTTGGGCCCAATCCTTGAATCTTCACGGCCTGACTGCATAAGCTCGATCACCGACATCCTACCCCCCTGCAAGCCTTGGGGACGGAGAGCTCCTGCATAACACCCGTGGCCCCCAGAGACCCAGTGGACCCCTCATGTGGCCTGGGCAGTGCTCCACACCTGACCCATGCACCAAGTGCACGTTGCTCAACAGGGTCAGTCCCATTTAGGTCAATAAGTCCTGTGCGATCCTTAAATCTCTGCAACTCAACTCCACGGGCCCTATGCCCACCTTTCTCCAGGGAGGGGGAGCATCAAGGCAACAAGCTGCTGCACTGTATTGGGTTGAAGGAACTCTCTGCTGCCTGGGCCTCCATTACCCCTGCAGGGTTTCAGGGAAGGCGTCCTTCTTGGGATCAATTAACAAGGAAGCTGCCCTTCCGGAGAAACCATCCATCTCTGGTGGGGATTCAGGTCAGCTCCCTAAGGAAACCCTCGTGGCCTGAAAGGTGACCCTCAGCGACCCCCCGTGGCCTGGCTCTTGGCCCGTGACCCCAGCAAGATCCACTCACCTATGCCGCTCAAGGGCAGGGGCCCGCCTGGGTAGAAGAGCTCACTGAAAGACACAGAGAAGAACGGGGGCTCAGGGAGGAGCCGTCGATGTGCTCCACCCCCAGGGAACCAGAATGCCAACACCAAGCCTGCACAAGGAGCCTTGGCTGCCACACAGAGGAGTGCAGAGACTGGGTTGGGCACCCCGAAGGTGTCCTTCAGGGCCTCAAGGACTCCAGCCCAAAATACAGTGGCCCTTCCAGGGGACTTCGGATCTCAGCATCCTCTTCCAGAATTCTCACCTAAGCTGGGCCTCAGCGTAATCCTATTGAGCATGATTTTTAAGTCATCACCTCTCTTCAGGACAATATAAGGTTCTCATCATTGACCCAACTCAGGGCACGCCCTCCATCCCCACGCATGCATCCATCGGGACCCGGATGTGCTCACCGCAGCTCCGTGCAGGAGACCAGGGCGCCAGGAAGAGCCTGAGCTTCACCACACCAAGGGCTGGGCACCTGACTGATGACCACTCACCCCGGGACAGCGGGCCCAATGAAAGTTTTCTTCCAGTCTCACTATCTGGGGGACAGGAGGTGGACATGTGTCCAAATGGAACCTCACGCCTCCATGCAGGAAGGGGGTGGGGGATGCTAGCTCACGATTGCTCTCCCACCATGGACCCATGTGATGGGATCCATGTGAAACACTGATGTGTCATGGACACAGGGGAACTTTGGCCCTCTGCACCACTGAACCCTGGAAGGACAGGGCAGGTAGGTCACTGGGCTCAGGCAAGACGCCCTGGCTATGCCCTACTGCAGGCACCTTGAGCACCTCCACTACCCACTCCAGTTGCCTCACATGACCCCAGGGCTGTACTGGCCCCTGGGTGTCAGCCAGGGCCACCTACCGTCTCACGGCCAACCAAGGAGGCTGGCCTGGATGCCACGTACTGCTGCCAATCTGGCAGTAGCACAGCCTGCCCCTGTGTGTGGAGGGCAAGCACCCAGGCCCTGCTCCACACCACACCGGAAATTGCAGCCTGGGGACCCAGGGCCTCGTGTGTTCTCTGATATGTCCCCATCCATGCCTCACACAACACCTCCCACACACAGAGTGGGGCCACACTCAGCCAATCGGGAGACACATGGTGTCTTCTCCTTTCCTTGACCCCACCACCCTGTAGGTGACCCCATAGCTTGGAAGCAGCCTGGACAGGTCCTTCCACAGCAGGCCTTCTCACCTCAGGAGGACACCCTGTCCGCCACTTGCCCACAAGGAAGGTGTGGCCCCTGGTGGGACATGGGCTATACCCTTGGCCCAAAGCCCACGAGTCCCAGGGCCAGACTGCAGCACCATCATGGGGTCACCAGAGCTAGTCTTGACCCAACCTCATGGAAACAGTGCCACCCCACACTTGGCTCAAAGAGGCACCACTGGGATGGCCCATAGCTTAATAGGGTCGGTCCCATTCAGGGCCATGGGTTTGGAGAGATCCTTGAAAATCCAAAACCTGACCTCATGGGCCGAATCACACATACCTCTCCAAGGTCGGAGAGCCCCCATAAGACCCCCTTGGCGCCCCAGTGCCCTTGTGGTTCCCCTCATGTGGACGGGCCATCCTAGAGGCCTGACTTAAGCACCGAGTTTCAGCTGGGTGCTGCCCTGCATGGGGCTGAGGAAACCCTTTACTGCCTGGACCACCACAACCCCTGCAGGGCTTCATGGAAGGTATCCTCCTTGGGTCCGATTCCTAAGGAAGCTGCCCTCCTGGAGAACCCATCCCAGGTGGGCATTCGGGTCAGTTCCTGAGGAAACCCTTGCAGCCAAAGGCTGATGCTCGGCAACCCCACACAGCCTGGCTCATGACCCATGACCCCAGCAGGATCCACTCACCTATGCTGGTCAATGCCAGGGGGTCTGCCGGGCAAAAGAGGTCACTGAAAGACACAGGGGAGAATGGGGGCTCAGGGAGGAGATGCCAAAGTACCCCACCCTTGGGTAACAGGAGCGCCGACACCAAGCCCACAGAGTGAGCCTGGGCTGCCTCATGGAGGAGTGCAGAGACAGGGTTGGGCACCCTCCAGATGCCCTCAGAGCCTCCAGGTCTCTAGCTCAAAATACAGTGGACTTCACAGGGAACTTGTAATTCCCAGCATCCTCTTCCAAAATTCTCACCTAGGCTGGGCCTCAGCGTAATCCTATTGAGCATGATTTTTAAGTCATCACCTCTCTTCAGACAATATAAGGTTCTCATCATCGACCCAACCCAGGGCACCCCCCACCACACACACCCATCCAGTGGGACCCGGATGTGCTCACCACAGCTCAGTGCAGGAGACCAGAGCACCAGGAAGGGCCTGAGCTTCAGTGCACCAAGGCTGGGCACCTGGATGACAACCACTGGCCTGGGGCCAGCAACCCAATGGCAAGTCTTCCTCCACAGACACCATCTGGGGGGACAGGAGGAAGACATGTGTCCAACCAGGGGCTCAGACCTCTATACAGGGAAGGGGGTGGGGGGTGTCAGCTCACGCTTGCTCTCTCTCTATGGACCCATGTGATGAGATCCATGTGAAACACTGATGTGTCTCAGACGTGGGGGACCCTTTGCCCTCCCAGCCACCGAACCATGGAAGGACAGGGCCGGCAGGATCCTGGGCTCAGGCAAGACCCCCGGGCTGTGCCCTACTGCAGGCCTCCCTTGCCCACGCTGGCTCCCCTCATGACCCCAAGCAGCACTGGGACCCCTGGGCAGGCGTCAAGGACACCAACCAGCTCACAGCGAACCAAGGACGCTGGCCCGGATGCCACGCACCACTGCCAACTTGGCAGCTGCACAGCCTGCCCTGTGCATGGAGGGTGAGCACCCAGTCCCCTTCCCAAGGTGCACTGGAAATTGCAGCTTGGGGTTCCAGTGCCACGAGCTTTCTCTGGTGGGTCCCAATCCATGCCCCACACAACACCTCCCACACACAGAGTGGAGCCATACTCAACCAATCGGGAGACATATGGTGTCTTCTCCTTTCCTTGGGCCCAAGACCCCGCCACCCCGGAGATGACCTCATGGCTCAGAAGCAGTCTGGACTGCAAATTTCCAGGAAAGTTCCTTCCACAGCGGGCCTTCCTACCTCAGGAGGATACCCTTCCCACCACTCCCTCATAAGGAAGGGGTGATCCCCAGTAGGACACGGGCTGCACCCTTGGCCCAAAGCCCACGAGTCCCAGGACTGGACTGCACCACCATCAGGCACTGGCCGGAGCTAGTCTTGACCCAACCTCAGAGAAACAGCGCCACCCACCACATGGCTCAAAGAGGTGCCACTGGGATGGCCCATTGCTTAATAGGGTCGGTCCCATTGAGGGATATGGGTTTGGTGCAATCCTTGAAGCTCCATGACCCGACCCAATGGGCCAAATTGCCCACCCTTCTCCAGGGTTGGAGAGCCCCCATGAGATGTCTGTGGTGCCCTGGAGCCCTTGTGGCCCCCGTCATGTGGCCTGGCCATCCTAGAGGCCTGACCTGAGCACCAAGTCTGAGCTGAGCACTGCCCAGCTCCACTGTCCTGTGTGGAGCTGAGGAAACCCTTTCCTGCCTGGACCACCACCACCCCTGCAGGGCTCCAGAGAAGGCCTCCTCCTTGTGTCAGATTCCCAAGGAAGCTGCCCTCCTGGAGAACACATCCCCAGTCAGGATTCAGATCAGCTCCTGAGGAAACCCAGGTGACCCGAGGGCTGACCCTTGGGGACCCCACGCAGCTTGGCTCACAGCCCATGACACGAGCAGTATCCACTCACCTTTGCCAGTCAATCCCAGGGGGCCTGCTGGGGGGAAGAGCTCACTGAAAGACACAGAGGAGAATGCGACTCAGGAAGGAGCCACCAATGTGTCCCACCCCCGGGGAAGCTGAGTGCAGACACCAAGCCCACACAGGAAGCCTGGTGTGCCTAATGGAGGAGCACAGACTGGGTTGGGTACCCCTCCATGATATGCCCTTCAGGGCCTCGAGGTCTCCCGCCTAAAATACAGTGGTCCTGCCGGGGACCTTGTGATTCCCAGCATCCTCTTTCAAAATTCTCACCTAAGTTGGGCCTCAGCGTAATCCTATTGAGCATGATTTTTAAGTCATCACCTCTCTTCAGGACAATATAAGGTTCTCATCATCGACCCAACCCAGGACACCCCCATCCCCACTCACACATCCAGAGGGACCTGGATGGACTCACCACACCTCAGTGCAGGATACCAGGATGACAGGAAGGACCTGAGCTTTAGCGCACGGGAGGCTGAGCACGTGGCTGGCAGACACTGGTCCGGGGCCAAAGGGCCTAACGCAATTCTTCCTCTGTGCTCACCATCTGGAGGGACGGGGAAAGGTGTCCAAATAGGGCCTTAAGATTCCATGCAGGAAAGCGGGGAGGGGCTGCTGGCTACACATGCTCTACATCCGTGGACTCATGTGATGGGATCCATGTGAAACGAGGACAGTTATGGACCTGGGGAACCCTTGTATCTCCCCACCACCAAACCCTGGAAGGACAGGACAGGCGAGTAACTAGGCTCAGGCAAGATGCCGAGGCTGTGCCCTACCGCAGGCCCCTGGAGCACCTCCACTGTCCAAGCCGGCTTCCCTGCACTTCCTGGGCTGCATTGTGACCCCTGGGTAGGAGCCAGGGCCACCAACCAGCTAAGGCCAACCAAGGAAGCTTGCTCTGAAGCTAGGCGCCACTGTAGACCTGGCAGACGCACAGCCTGCCCCTGTGCAGGGAGGGTGCCCAGACTCCCTCTCCAAGCACGCACCAAAAATCACAGCCTGGGGCCACCTTCATGTGGCTTGGGCAGTCCTCAAGGCCAGACCCTAGCACCAAGTCTCAGCTGGGAGCTGACCTGCATGGGACTAATGGAACCCTTTCCTGCCTGGACCAATGTCACTCCTGTAGCACTTCAGGGAAGGTGTCCTCCTTGGGTCAGATTCCCAAGGAGGCGGCCCTTCTGGAGAACCAATCCCTCACCAGTGGGGATTCAGGTTGTCTCCCTGAGGAATCCCTCCTGTCCTGATAGCTGACCCTCAGTGACCCCACGTGGCCTGGTCCATGGCCCATGACCCCAGTAGGATCCACTGACCTATGCTGCTCAAGGCCAGGGGTCCTCCTGGGCAAACGAGTTCACTGAAAGACACAAGGGGAGAACAGGGGCTCAGGGATGAGCCACCCACATGCACCACCAAGGGGAATCTGAGCACCGACACGAAGCTCGCACAGGGAGCCTGGACTGCCTCATGGAGGAACGTAGAGACAGGTTTGGGCCCCCTCCAGATGCCCTTCAAGGACTCCAGGTCTCCAGCCCAAAATACAGTGGCCCTGTCAGGGACCTAGGGATCCCAGCGTCCTCTTCCAAAATTCTCACCTAGGCTGGGCCTCAGCGTAATCCTATTGAGCATGATTTTTAAGTCATCATCTCTCTTCAGAACAATGTAAGGTTCTCATCATTGACCCAACCCAGGGAACCCCCCTCCCTGCTTAGGCATCCAGTGGCAACCGGATGGGCTCACCCAAGCTCAATGCAGGAGACCAGGGCAACAGGAAGGGCCTGAGCTTCAGTGCAACAGGGGCTAGGCACCCGGCTGATGGCCACTGGCCCGGGGACAGTGGGCCCAATGCAAGTCCTCCTCTGGGGTCACCATCTCGAGGAACAGGAAGAGGACAGGTGCCAAATGCAACCTCACCCTTCCATGCTGGCAGAAGGTGGGGTGTGCCAGCTCAGGGATGCTCGCCTTCCATGGACCCATGTGATGAGATCCATGTGGAATACTGGCCCATCACAGACGTGGGCCACCTGATGCTCTCTCCGCCACTGAACCCTGAAAGGACAGGACAGGCAGGTCACTGGGCTCAGGCTAGAAGCCAGGGCTGCTCCCTACTGCAGACCACACGAGCACCTCCACTACACATGCCAGCTCCCCTACATGACACCAGGGTCACCCCAGGACTACTGGGCACAGGCCAGGGCCAGCAACCAGTTCATGGTCAACCAAGGAGGCTGGCCCGTATGCCTGATGCTGCTGCACAGCTGGCAGTCACATAGCCAGTCCCTGTGCATGGTAGGCACCCACCCATATGCCATATCCAAGCACATACTGGAAACCACAACCTGGGGCCCCAGGGCCACATGCTTTCTCTGGTGAGTCTCCATCCATGCCCTTCACACCTCGCAAACACACAGCCTGGCCACACTCAGCTAATCGGGGGGCACAGTGTCTTCTCCTTTCTTCGGGTCCAAGACCCCACCACACTGGTGGTGACTCCATGGCTCAGAAGCAGCATGGGCAGCAAATTGCCAGGAGCAGACCCTCAATAGCGGGCCTTCCCACTTCAGGAGGCCACCCTTCCCAACACTCGCCCATGAGGAAGGGATAACTTCCAGCCACAGGGAAGGGGTGACTTTCAGTGGGATGCAGGCTGCCCCCTTGGCCCAAAGCCCACGAGTCCAAGGGCTGGACTGCAGCACCACCAGGTGGCGGCCAGAGGTCAGCTTTGACCTAAACCCAGTGAAACAGCACCGCCCCCCTTCAGGCTCGAAGAGGCCCATGGGATGGCCCATTGCTCAACAGGGTGGGTCCCATTCAGGGCCATGTGTCAGGTGCAAAACTTGCATCTCAACAGCTCAACTCCATGGGCCCAATCACCCACCTTTCTCCAGGGACAGAGAGTGCCTGTGTGACCCCATGGCACCCCAGAGCCACTGTGGCACCCCTCATATGGCCAGGGCAGTCCTTAAGTCCAGACGCAAGCACCGAGCCTCAGCTGGGAGCTGCCCTGGGTGGAACTGAAGGAACCCTTTCCTGCCTGGACCACCGTCACCCCTGCAGGGCTTCAGGGAAGGGGACCTCCTTGGTTCTTGTTTCCCAGGAAGTCGCCCTCCTGGAGAACCCATATCTTCCCAGTGGGGATTCAGGTTGGCTCCCTGAGGAAACCCTTCTTTCCCGAAGGCTGACCCTTGGCGACCTCACGCGGCCTGGCTCATGGCCCATGATGCCAGCCACTCACCTATGCCAGTCAATGACAGGGGTCTTCCATGTGGAAGAGCTCACTGAAAGACACAAGAGGAGAACGGGGCTCAGAAAGGAGCTTCCCATGTGCCTCAAACCCAGGGAACTGGAGGGCTGACACCAAGCCTGCACAGGGAGCCTGGGCTGCCTCAAGGAGGAGCGCAGAGACAGGGTTGGGCACCCACAAGATGCCCTTCAGGGCCTCCAGGTCTCCAGCCAAAAATACAGGGGCCCTCCTGGGGACCTCGGAATCCCAGCATCCTCTTCCAAACCTCTCACCTAGACTGGGCCTCAGCGTAATCCTATTATTGAGCATGATTTTTAAGTTATCACCTCTCTTCAGGACAATATAAGGTTCTCATTGACCCAACCCAGGGCACCCCCTTCCCCGCACACGCATCCAGCAGGATCCGGATGTGCTCACCACAGCTCAATGCAGGAGACCAGGGCACCAGGAAGGGCCCGATCTTCAGTGCACCAGGGGCTGGACACCTGGCTGATGGACGCTGACCTGGGGCCATTGGGCCCAGTGCAAGTCTTCCTCTGGGCTCAACATCTGGGGAAACAGGAGTAAGACAGGTGTGAAAACACAACCTCACCCCTCCATGGGGGCAGAAGGTGGGGTGTGTCAGCCCAGGGATGCTCACCCTCCATGGATCCATGTGATGGGATGCATGCAGAACACTGGCCCGTCACGGACACAGGGCAACAAAAGCTCTCTCAGCCACCGAACCCTGGAAGGACAGGGCAAGCGGGTCACTGGGCTTGGGCAAGAAGCCCCGACTGTGTCCTACTGCAGGTCCCATAAGCACCTCCACTGCCCATGCCGGCTCCCCCACACGACCCCAGGGTCATACCAGATATACTGGGCACAGGCCAGCGCCACCATTCAGTTCACGGCCCACCAAGGAGGCTGGCCTGGATGCCAGATGCCGCTGCAGACCTGCAAGTCACATAGCCTATCCCTGTGCACTGTGGACACCCACACAGGTGCCCTATCCCAGCATGTCCTAGAAATTGCAACCTGGGGTCCCTGGGCCACATGCTTTCTCTGGTGGGTCCCCATCCATGCCCCACACACCTCCTAAACACAGAGCAGGGCCGCACTTGGCTAATCGGGGGACACATGGTGACTTCTCCTTTCCTTGGGCCCAAGACCCGCTACCCTGGAGGTGACCCCATGGCTCAGAAGCAGCATGCGTGGCATATTCCAGGGACAAGACCCTCAACAGGACTTCCACCTCAGGAGGTCACCCTTCCTGACACTTGCCAATGGGGAAGGGGTGACTTCCAGCCACAGGGAAGGGGAGATCCCCAGTAGGACGTGGGCTGACCCCTTGGCGTAAAGCTAACGAGTCCATGACAGGACTACAGCACCACCAGGCACTGGCCAGAGCTCAGCCTTGACCCAAACCTAGGGAAACAGCACCACCCCCTTCAGGCTCAAAGAGGTGCCCTGGGATGGGACATTGCTCAACAGGGTGGGTCCCATTCAGGGCAATAATTCGTGTGCGATTCTTGAATCTCTGCAGCTCGAATCCATGGGTTCTATGCCCACCTTTCTCTGGGGATGGAGAGATCCTGTGTGACCCCACTGCATCCCGAAGCCCCTGTTGCCCCCCTCACGTGGCCTGGTCAGTCCTGGAGGCCAGACCAATGCACTGAGACTCAGCTGGGAGCTGACCTGCGTGAGACTGAAGGAACCCTTCCCTGCCTGGACCACCGTCATCCCCGCAGGGCTGCAGGGAAGGTATCCTCCTTGGGTCTGATTCCGAAAAAAAACAGCCCTCTTGGAGGACCAATCTATCCCTCCATGGTGTGGATTCAGGTCGGCTGCCTGTGGAAACCCTCCTGTCTCAAAGGCTGACCCTTGGTGACTCCAACCTGCTGATGACCCATGACCCCAGCAGGACCACTCACCTATGCCGGTCAATGCCTGGGGGCCCCACCTAGGAGGACGAGCTCACTGAAACACACGAGGGAGAATGGGGGCTCAGGGAACCAGAGCCCAAGCCTGCACAGGGAACCTGGGCTGCCTCCCAGAGGAGCCCAGAGCCAGGGTTGTGCCCCCCGGAGATGCCGTTCAGAGCCTCAGGGTCTCCTGCCTAAAATATACTGGCCATGCTGGGGAACTTGGGATCCCAGCATCCTCTTCCAAAATTCTCACCTAGGCTGGGCCTCAGCGTAATCCTATTGAGCATGATTTTTAAGTCATCACCTCTCTTCAGAACAATATAAGGTTCTCATCATTGACCCGACCCAGTGCATCCCCCTCCCTGCACACGTATCCAGAGGAACCCAGATGTGCTCACCACAGCTCAGTGCAGGAGACCAGGATGCCAGGAAGGGCCTGAGCTTCAGCTCACCAGGTGTTGAGCACATGGCTGAGAGACACTGGCCTGGGGCCAGCGGACCCAATGCACGTCTTCCTCTGGGGTCACCATCTGGAGGGGTGGGGGACACGTATAGAAATACGGCCTCACGCCTCCATGCAGGAAAGTGGGCAGGGGGTGCTGGCTCACACATGCTGTCCCTCCATGGACTCAAGAGATGGGATCCATGTAAACAGTAACGATCATGAATGTGGGGAACCCTTGGCCCTCCTTGCCACAGCTCCCTCACATGACTCTATGCCACAATGGGACCACTGGGCAGGGCCAGGACCACCAACAAGCTCAGAGCAAACCAAGTAGGCTGACCTGAATGCTACGTGCCACTACAGACCCCCTGTAAAAGCTCACACCAGAAATCAAATCCTGGAGCCCCAGGGCCACATGCCTTCTCTGATGGGTCCCCATTCGTGCACCGCACACCTCCAAATGCAGAGCCAGGCCATGCTCAGTCAATCAGGGAACACATGATGTCTTCCCCTTTCCTTCGGCTCAAGACCCCGCCACTTTGGAGGTGAACCCATGGCTTAGAAGCAGCCTGGGCAACAAATTGCCAGGACAGGACCCTTGACAGTGGGACTTCTACCACAGGATGCCATCCTTCTGGCCACTCCACTTTGGGGAGGGGTGACCTTTAGCGGGACACAGACTGCACCCTTGGCCCAAAGCCCAAATTCCCAGGGCCAGCCTGCAGCACCACCAGGTGAAGGCCAGAGCTCAGGCTTGACCCAACCCCACTAAGGTCACACCACCCCCACAAGGCTCAAGGATGCACCACCGGGATGGCCCATTGCTCTACAGGTTCGGCCCATGCTGGGCCATGGGTTGGGCCCAATCCTTGAATCTTCACGGCCTGACTCCATAAGTCCGATCACCCACACCCTGCCCCTCTGCAAGCCTCGGGGACAGAGAGCACCCTCATAACACCCGTGGCCCCTGGAGACCCTGTGGACCCCCTCATGTGGCCTGGGAAGTCCTCCAGGCCTGACTTGTGCACTGAGTCTCAGCTAGGATGTGCACTGCATTGAGTTGAAGGAAGCCCTTCCTGCTTGGACGTCCATCATCTCTGCACGGCTTCAGGGAAGGCATCCTTCTTGGGACCGACTTCCAAGGAAGCTGTCCTCCTGGAGAAACCATCCGTCCCTGGTGGGTTTCAGATGGGCTCCCTGAGGAATCCCTCGTGGCCTGAAGGGTGACTCTCAGTGACCCAAAGCGACCTGGCTCATGGTCCACGACCCCAGCAGGATCCACTTACCTATCCCACTTAAGGCCAGGGGTCCCCCTGGGCAGAAGAGCTCGCTGAAAGACACAGGGGAGAATGGGGGCTCAGGAAGGAGCCTCCAATGTGCCTCAACCCCAGGGAACTGGAGGGCTGACACCAAGCCCGCAAGGGAGCCTGGGCTGCCTCAAGGAGGAGCGCAGAGATGGGGTCGGGCACCCCTAAGATGCCCTTCAGGGCCTCCAGGTCTCCAGCCCAAAATACAGTGGCCCTGCCAGAGACCTTGGGATCTCAGCATCCTCTTCCAAAATTCTCACCAAGGCTGGGCCTCAGCGTAATCCTATTGAGCATGATTTTTAAGTCATCACCTCTCTTCAGGACAATATAAGGTTCTCATCATCGATCCAACCCAGGGCACCCTCCTCCCCATGCATGCATCCAGTGGGACCTGGATGGGCTCACCACAGCTTAGGGCAGGAGGCCAGGGCACCAGGAAGGGCTTGAGCTCAAGTGCACCAAGGGCTGGGCACCTGGATGACAACCACTGGCCTGGGGCCAGCGGTCCCAAAGCAAGTCTTCTTCCACAGTCACCATCTGGGGGGACAGGAGGAGGACATGTGTCCAACCATGGGCTCACGCCTCCATACAGGGAATGGGGTTGGGGGTGCCAGCTCACACATGCTCTCTCTCCGTGGACCCATGTGATGGGATCCATGGGAAACACTGATGTGTCATAGATCAGCGGAACCCTTTGCTCTCCCAGCCACTGAACCATGGAAGGACAGGGCAGGTGGGTTCCTGGGCTCAGGCAAGACACCTGGGCTGTGCCCTACTGCAGGCCCCTTGAGCACCTCCATTGCCCATGCTAGCTCCCCTGCATGACCCCGGGTGGTATCTGGATCCTTGGGTAGGGGCCACGGACACCAAAGAGCTCACAGCAAACCAAGGACCCTGGCCCGGACACCACGTGCTGTTGCCTACCTGGCAGTTGCACAGTCTGCCCTGTGCATGGAGGGCACCCACCCTCCTTTCCTCAAGGTGCACTGGAAATCGCAGCCTGGGGCTCCAGGGCCACAAGCTTTCTCTGGTGTGTCCCAATCCATGCCCCACACAACACCTCCCACACACACAGCAGGGCCACACTCAGCCAACCGGGAGACATATGGTATCTTCTCCTTTCTTTGGGCCTAAGACCCGCCCCTGCCCCCCAACCCGCTGGAGTTGTCCTAATGGCTGAGAAGCAGCCTGGACTGCAAATTTCCAGGAAAGGTCCTTCCACTGCGGGCCTTCCCAACTCAGGAGGCCATTACTGCCACTCGCCCACAATGAAGGGGTGACCCCCAGCGGGACATGGGCTGCAGCCTTGGCCCAGAGCCCACGAGTCCCAGGAGTGGATTGCACCACCATCAGGCACTGGCCAGAGCTAGTCTTGACCCAACCTCAGAGAAACAGCGCCGCCCCACAAATGGCTCAAAGAGGTGCCACTGGGAGGGCCCACTGCTTATAGGGTCAGTCCCATTGAGGGTCCTGGGTTTGCTGCAATCCATGAATCTCCATGGCCTGACCCCATGGACCGAATCACCCACCCTTCTCCAGGGTTGGAGAGCCCCCGTGAGATGCCCTTGGCTCCCCGGAGCCCTTGTTGCCCCCCTCATGTGGCCTGGCCATGTTAGAGGCCTGACCCAAGCACCAAGTCTGAGCTGAGCACTGCCCTGCGTGGGGCTGAGGAAACCCTTTCCTGCCTGGACAACTGCCACCCCTGCGGGGCTTCAGAGAAGGCCTCCTCCTTATGTCTGATTCCCAAGGAAGCTGCCCTCCTGGAGAACACATCCCCAGTTGGGATTCAGATCAGCTCCTGAGGAAACCCAGGTGGCCCGAGGGCTGACCCTTGGGGACCCCACGCAGCTTGGCTCATGGCCCATGACACCAGCAGTCTCCACTCACCTATGCTCGTCAATCCCAGGGGTCTGCTGGGGGGAAGAGCTCACTGAAAGACACAGAGGATAATGGGGCTCACGGAGGAGCCGCCAACGTGTCCCACCCCAGGGAAGCTGAGCGTGGACACCAAGCCCACACAGAAAGTCTGGTGTGCCTAATAGAGGAGCACAGACAGGATTGGGCCCCTCCATGAGGTGCCCTTCAGGGCCTCGAGGTATCCAGCCTAAAATACAGCAGCCCTGCTGGGGACCTCGGGATTCTAGTGTCCCCTTCCAAAATTCTCACCTAGGCTGGGCCTCAGCGTAATCCTATTGAGCATGATTTTTAAGTCATCACCTCTCTTCAGAACAATATAAAGTTCTCATCATCGACCCAACCCAGGGCACCCCCCTCCCTGCCTAGGCATCCAGTGGCACCCGGATGGGCTCACCCAAGCTCAACGCAGGAGACCAAGGTGACAGGAAGGGCCCGAGTTTCAGTGCAATAGGGGCTAGGCACTTGGCTGATGGCCACTGGCCAGGGACAGCGGGCCCAACGCATGTCCTCCTCTGGGGTCACCATCTCAAGGAACAGGAAGAGGACAAGTGCCCAAACACAACCTCACCCCTCCATGTGGACAGAAGGTGTGGTGTGCCAGCTCAGGGATGCTCACCTTCCATGGACCCATGTGATGAGATCCATGTGGAATACTTACCCATCATGGATGCAGGGCACCCAATGCTCTCTCCGCCACTGAACACCGAAAGGATAGGACAGGCAGGTCACTGGGCTCAGGCTAGAAGCCAGGGCTGTGCCCTACTGCAAGCCCCACAAGCACCTCCACTACACATGCCAGCTCCCCTGTATGACACCAGGGTCACCCCAGGACTACTGGGCACAGGCCAGGGCCAGCAACCAGTTCATTGTCAACCAAGGAGGCTGGCCCATATGCCTGATGCTGCTGCACAGCTGGCAGTCACATAGCCAGTCCCTGTGCATGGTGGGCACCCACCCATGTGCTGTATCTGGGCACATACTGGAAACCACGACCTGGGGTCCCAGGGCCACATGCTTTCTCTGGTGAGTTTCCATCCATGCCCCTCACACCTCATAAACACACAGCCTGGCCACACTCAGCTAATCGGGGGGCACAGTGTCTTCTCCCTTCCTTGGGCCCAAGATCCCACCACACTGGAGGTGTCTCCATGGCTCAGAAGCAGCATGGGCAGCAAATTGCCAGGACAGGACCCTCAATAGTGGGCCTTCTCACTTCAGGAGGTGACCCTTCCCCACATTCGCCCACTGGGAAGGGGTAACTTCCAGCCACAGGGAAGGGGTGACTTCCAGAGGGATGCAGGCTGCCCCACTGGCCCAAAGCCCACGAGTCCAACAGCTAGACTGCAGCACCACCAGGCACCGGCCAGAGCTCAGCCTTGACCTAAACCCAGTGAAACAGCACCGCCCCTCTTCAGGCTTGAAGAGGCCCATGGGATGGCCCATTGCTCAACAGGGTGGGTTCCATTCAGGACCATGTGTCAGGTGCAATCCTTGAATCTCCACTGCTCAACTCCATGGGCCTGATCACCCACCTTTCTCCAGGGACAAAGAGCACCTGTGTGACCCCCAAGGCACCCCAGAGCCCCTGTGGCCCCCCACATAGTCAGGGCAGTCCAGACGCGAGCACCGAGACTCAGCTGGGAGCTGCCCTGGGTGGAATTGAAGGAACCCTTTCCTGCCTGGACCACCGTCACCCCTGCAGGGCTTCAGGGAAGGCGTCCTCCTTGGTTCCTGTTTCCCAGGAAGCCGCCCTCCTGGAGAACCCATCTCTTCCCAGTGGGGATTCAGTTTGGCTCCCTGAGGAAACCCTTCTTTCCTGAAGGCTGACCCTTGGTGACCCCACGTGGCCTGGCCCATGGCCCATGACACCAGCAGGATCCACTCACCTATGCCAGTCAATGCCAGGGGGCCCTCCTTGGTGGAAGAGCTCACTGAAAGACACAAGGGGAGAACAGGGCTCAGGGAGGAGCCACCAATATGTCCCACCCCAGGGAACCAGAGTGCCAACAGCAAGCCTGCACAGGGAGCCTGGGCTGCCTCATAGAGACAGGGTCTGGCCCTTCAGGTGCCCTTAGAGTCACCAGATCTCCATCCCAAAATACAGTAGCTCAGCCAGGGACCTCAGCATCCAGTATCCTCTTCCAACATTCTCACCTAGGCTAGGCCTCAGCGTAATCCTACTAAGCATGATTTTTAAGTCATCACCTCTCTTCAGGACAATATAAGGTTCTCATCATTGACCCAACCCAGGGCACCCCCCTCCCCACACATGCATCCAGTAGGACCTAGATGGGCTCACCAAGGCTCAGTGGAAGAGACCAGTGTTGAGGGAAGTCAGGGACCCCAAACGGAGGGACCTGCTGAAGCCATGGCAGAAGAACACAAATTGTGAAGATTTCATGGACATTTATCACTTCCCAAATCAATACTCTTATTATTTCCTATGCCTGTCTTTACTTTAATCTCTTAATCCCGTCATCTTCGTAAGCTGAGGATGTATTTCGCCTCAGGACCCTGTGATGATTGCGTTCACTGCACAAATTGTTCGTAAAACATGTGTGTTTAAACAATATGAAATCTGGGCACCTTGAAAAAAGAACAGGATAACAGCGATGTTCAGGGAACAAGGGAGACAACCATCAGGCCTGACTGCCTGAGAGCCGGGCGGAACAGAGCCATATTTCTCTTCTTACAAAAGCGAATAGGAGAAATATTGCTGAATTATTTTTCTCAGCAAGGAACAACCCTGAGAAAGAGAATGCCTTCCTAGGGGGAGGTCTCTAAAATGGCCGCTCTGGGAATGTCTGTCTTATACAGTTGTAGATAAGGGATGAAATAAGCCCTGGTCTCCCGAAGCGCTCCTAGGCCTATTAGGACGAGGAAATTCCTGCCTAATAAATTTTGGTCAGACCGGTTGTCTGCTCTCAAACCCTGTCTCCTGATAAGATGTTATCAATGACAATGCGTGCCCGAAACTTCATTAGCAATTTCAATTTGGCCCTGGTGCTCTGCCCTCATTTGCCTTCTGATATTTTATTGCCTTGTGAAGCATGTGATTTCTGTGACCCACACCCTATTTGTACACTCCCTCCCCTTTGAAAATCACTAATAAAAACTTGCTGGTTTTGCAGCTTGGGTGGCATCATGGAACCTGCCGACATGTGATGTCTCCCCCGGACACCCAGCTTTAAAATTTCTTTCTTTTGTACTCTTTCCCTTTATTTCTCAGACCGGCCGACACTTAGGGAAAATAGAAAAGGACCTACGTTGAATTATTGGGGGCGGGTTCCCCCGATAGAACAGGGCACCAGGAAGGGCCCAAACTTCAGCACGCCAGGGGCTGGGCACCTGGCTGACAGACACTGGCCCCAGGCCATTGGGCCCAACACAAGTCCTCCTTCAGGGTCACCATCTGGAGAGACAGGGAAAAGTGTCCGAACAGAACCTCATGCCTCCATGCGGGAAAGGAGGCAGGGGGTGCTGACTCACACATGCTCTCCCTCCATGGACCCACCTGATGGGATCCATGTGAAACAGTGATAGTCATGGACGTGGGGGACCCTTGGTCCTCCCTGCCACTGAACCCTGGAAAACAGGGCAGGCTGGTCACTGGGCTCAAGCAAGATGCCCAGGCTGTGCCCTACTGCAAGCCCCTGGAGCACCTCCACTCCCCATGCCAGCTCCCCTGCAATTCCTGGGCTGCACCATGACCCCTGGGTGGGGCCAAGGCCACTATCCAGCTCAAGCCAACCAAGGAGGCTGGTCCTGAAGGCAGGCACCGCTGCAGCCCCAGCAGATGCACAGCCTGCCCCTGCACAGGGAGGGGGCCTACCCAGGCTCCCTCTCCAAGCATGCACTGGAAATAGCAGCCTGAGACCCTGCCTCATGTGGCCTGGGCAGTCCTCGAGGCCAGACCCTAGCACCAAGTCTCAGCTGGGAGCTGCCCTGCATGGGACTAATGGAACCCTTTCCTGCCTGGACCACTGTCACTCCTGCAGGGCTTCAGGGAAGGTGTCCTCCTTGGGTCAGATTCCCAAGGAGGTGGTTCTCCTGGAGAACCAATCCCTCACCAGTGGGGATTCAGGTTGTCTCCCTGAGGAATCCCTCCTGTCCTGAAGGCTGACCCTCAGTGACCCCATGTGGCCTGGTCCATGAGCCCAGCAGGATCCGCTCACCTATGCTGCTCAAGGCCAGGGGGCCCTCATGGGCGGAAGAGCTCACTGAAAGACACAAAGGGAGAACGTGACTTCAGGGATGAGCCACCCACGTGCCCTGCTCCAGGGAACCAGAGCACTGACACGAAGCCCACACAGGGAAACTGGGCTGCCTCACAGACAAGTGCAGAGACAGGGATGGGGCCCCTGCAGATACCCTTCAGGGCCTCCAGGTCTCCAGCCCAAAATCCCTCCTGCCGGGGATCCCAGCATCCTCTTCCAAAATTCTCACCTAGGCTGGGCCTCAGCATAATCCTATTGAGCATGATTTTTAAGTCATCACCTCTCTTCAAGAAAACAGAAGCTTCTCATCATCGACCCAACCCGGGGAAAGCCCCTCCCCATGCAAACATCCAGCAGGACCTGGATGTGCTCACCACAGCTCAGTGCAGGAGACCAGAGTGCCAGGGAGGGCTGAGCTTCAGCGCACTGGGGTCTGGGCACCTGGCTGATGGACACTGGCCCAGGGACAGTGGGACCAGGGCAAGTCTTCCTCCAGGCTCACTGTCTGGGGGGACAAGAAGACATGTGTCCAAACATGGCCTCACGCCTCCATAGTGGGAAGGTGGTGGGTGGTGCCAGCTCATGCATGCTCTCCCTCCATGGACCCATGTGATGGGAACACTGACCCATCACAGACGCAGGAGACGCTTGGTACTCCCCATCACTGCAAAGCGGGGGTGGGTCACTGAGCTAGGACTAGGACAGGGCAGGTGGGTCACTGAGCTCGTGCAAGGCACCTAGGCTGCGCTCTATTGCAGGCCCCACAAGCACCTCCACTACCCACACCAGCTCCCCTGCAGGACCCCTGGGCCACTCCAAGACCACTGGGCACAGGACAGGGCAACCAACCTGCTCATGGCCAACCAAGGAGGCTGACCTGGAAGCCACATGCCACTGCAGACCTGGCAGTTGCATAGCCTGTGCCTGGGAGTGGAGGGCACTCACCCAGAGTTCTCTCCAAGTGTGCATGGGAAATCATAACCTGGGGCCCTGGGCCATGTGTGTTCTCTGGTGGGTCCCCATTCATACCCTACACACCTCCCAAACACAGAGCCAAGCCACACTCAGCCAACTGGGGAACACAGGGTATCTTCTCCTTTCCTCGGGCCCAAGACCCCACCACCCTGGAGGTGAGTCCGTGGATCAGAAGAAGCCTGGGAGGCAAATTCCCTGGACAGGACCCTCGACAGTGGGCCTTCCCAGCTAAGGATGCCACCCTTCCTGCTAGTTGCCCACAGGGAAGGGGTGACCTCCAGTGGGACACGGGCTGGCCCCTTTGCCCAAAGCCAGCGAGTCCCAGGGCCAGCCTGCAGCACTACCAGGCACCGGCCAGAGCTCAGCCTTGACCCAACCCCCTTGAAGCCACATCACCCCCGACTAGGCTCCGAGGCACCACTGGGATGGTCCATTGCTCAAAGGCTCAGTCCCATTCAGGTTCATGGGTGGGGCCCAATCCTTGATCTCCAAAGGCCTGACCCCATAGGCCCAATCGCTCACCCCTCTCTGGGGAAGGAGAGCTCCTGTGTGACCCCTGTGGTGCCCCGGAGCTCCTATGGACCCCCTTATGTGACCTGGGCAGTCCTCATGGCCAGACCTGCACACTGAGTCTCAGCTGGGCGCTGTCCTGGGTGGGGTTGAAGGAACCCTTTGCTGCCTGGACCACCCTCACCACTGCAGGGCTTTAGAGAAGATATCCTCCTTGGGTCAGACTCCCAAGGAAGCTGCCCTCCTGGAGAACCTAGCCCTCCCCAGTGGGGATTCAGGTTGGCTCCCTAAGGAAACCCTCCTGTCCCAAAGGCTGACCCTTGGCGACCCCAGCAGCCTGGCTCATGGCCCATGACCCCAGCAGGATCCACTCACCTATGCCGGTCAATGCCAGGGGGCCTGCCTGGGCAGAAGAGCTCACTGAAAGACACAGGGGAGAATGGGGGTCAGGGAGGAGCCACCCACATGCCCTGCCCCTAGGGAACCAGAGCCCCAGCCTATGCCCACACAGGGATCCTTGACTGCCTCACGGGGTTGCTCAGAGATAGGCTTGGGCCACCTTCAGATGCCCTTCAGGGCCTCTAGGTCTGCAGCCCGAAATACAGTGGCCCCGTCGGGGGCCTCTGGATCCCAGCATCCTCTTCCAAAATTCTCACCTAGGCTGGGCCTCAGCGTAATCCTATTGAGCATGATTTTTAAGTCATCACCTCTCTTCAGGATAATATAAGGTTCTCATCATCAACACAACCCAGGGCACCCCCCTCCCCGCCCATGTATCCAGCAGGACCCGGATGGGCTCACCACAGCTCAGTGCAGGAGGCCAGGGCATCAGGAATGGCCTGAGCTTCAGCGCACCGGGGGCTGGCACCTGGCAGACGGACACTGGCCGAGGGCCATTGGGCCCAACACAAGTCTTCCTCCATGGTCACCATCTGGGGGAACAGGAGTAGGACAGGTGTCCAAACAGAACCTCATGAAGGTGGTAGAGCCCGCCGGCTCAGCTAGGCTCTCCCTCCATGGACCCATTTGCTGGAAACGCTGACCCGTCACGGACGCAGGGCACCCTTGGCCCTCCCTGCCACCCAACCCTGGAAGGACAGGACAGGCGGGTCACTGGGCTCACACAAGATGCAGAGGCTGTGCCCTACTGCAGGCCCCAGGGAGCACCTCCGCTGCCCACGCTGGCTCCCCACACACAACCCCCTGGGCCACTCCGGGACCACTCGGCACAAGCTAGGGCCACCAACCAGGTCATGACCAGACAAAGAGACTGGCCCAGAAACCACTTACAGCTGCAGACCGGGCAGTCACATAGCCTGCCCCTGGGCATGGTGGGAGCCCTCCCAGGCGTCTTCTCCAAGCAGCATGGGAAATTGCAGCCTTGGCCTGGGCGCCACGTGATTTCTGCGGCGGATCCCCAACCACACCCCACACTTCCGTTGAACTGGTCTAATTTGGGCGTCAGCTCTTATTTTTCGAGCGTGTTTGTGAATATTTTAATGTCTTGCATCATTTTACTTTTGAATTGTTTGAAACTACATTTTTTATGTATATGCATTCATATTTTGTAACTTATTTTTGGTACGTGTCTTCGTTTGTATACAACTACTCTTGTATGTTTTCTAATGTAAGATGTATTTTCTTTTTTGTCAGTTTTTCTATTTGTATTACCATTGTCAAAATGAACCTTGAATTATCCCAGTGTTTTTGACCGTTTTATGCTTTTTCCTCATCTTACCGATTCTATGTATTTTTTAAAACATAATTTTTAGGGAGGCCGAGTTCCAGAACACGGGGTCTCAGTTGTCCCAGCCTTTTGAGTCCCTCAAGATCGCTGTGCCTCCCGATACCGCCGCCGTGCCTGCCAAGCCTGCAACCCCAGCTACACCCGGATCGCCGACCTCACCAGCAGAACACCACCTGTTGGAGACCTGCTGGAGCTGTCACGTGCTTTCTGGGTTGCGGCTGATGGGGGCAGGCGGGTATGTGTACTGGGTGGCACAGAAGCCCATGAAGATGGGATACCCCCCGGGTCCATGGACCATTATGAAGATGGTCATGGGCCTTAGCATTGCCGCCTGGGGTATCATTGTCATGGCAGACCCCAAAAGGAAGGCCTACCACATTGTTTGAAAGTACCACCAGTGAATCTGTCTTCTGTCCCTGCCCTCATAACACACAGAGCAGGCATGGAATTTAATGGATGTCCTGGACAGACACTTGTACATGGACAGACATCACTACTGTGGATACTACAAGA
This sequence comes from Homo sapiens, assembly GCF_000001405.40. Lineage (NCBI taxonomy): Eukaryota > Metazoa > Chordata > Mammalia > Primates > Hominidae > Homo > Homo sapiens. Next base: position 25,169,207 of record NC_000015.10, on the reverse strand, counting down.
CTGAAAAGAAAATCATATGTTGTCATTCTCTGGCTATGGAGTGTTAGCGGCCTCCACAGATTTCACAGGAACCAATAAATCCCTCAGAGAAGTAAACAGGTTCTTTGTCTTATCTGGGGAAGGAAAGTATAACTTATATTTAAATATAATTGTTTAATTACTTAAGCATTATATAAAAACATTATATAATAATGTCTTATGTAATTGCATATCATATTATATATAATAAACATAAATATGTTTAGTTATATAGTTTATATAATTTTTAAAACTACAACAGGAAAATTAGCTATTTTACTTCGTTATTTTAAAGAGTTCTTTTTATTTCTTTCATTATTGGATCAACAACTGTTATCAACCTAACCCTGGGTGGGCATCATGCAATATACGGAAGTACATGAAACTTTCTATGTATTAACTGCTCATTCTTTGCAAGGCATTTTCAAATCCATCACTTTATGAGAGCTTCACAGCTAGTCTGAGGCAGTTACTTCATTGGAGGTAAAACTTAAAACACAAGAAAGAGCCCACATGATTTGCCTAGGGTCACTCAGTAAGTCGGTGATGGAGCTAGAACTTGTTCTTGTCAGGTTTTTGTTCTAGTCTTCCCTTTCATGGAGGCAAGAATAACCATTATGAAACAGTTAGATAATCATAAAAATCAGCATACATTAAAAGACTTAAATGTCACAAGAAAAACTCAAAATCTTTAGCTAAAAAAAAAGATCTTTTGATTCTTTTTCCATAAGCACTAGATATGTTTCTGCAATGATTTTGAGATAAGTACTCAAAATTACGTAGCTCATTTCTAAGAGAAGGCCATGTTTTCTACCTGTTGAGTTTTTCTACCCTGAGATACTATGGCTTCTTTGTAAAGGTATATAAAGTGTTTTTCAAAGTGGAAAGATACTGTTAAATTCAGCTGCTAATCATAGTGTATGTGTTTGGAATGACATGTTGAGCAAGTAATACCTTTAAGCTGTTGCTTTTTGCAGCATTATGTGGAAGTGCCTAAGTCTGACATTTAGCCTCACAGATGACTTTAGAATCTGGTATTTTCTACATGAGAGTTCATAGTGGGGATGGTGCTATACATATCTATGCAACTGAGAAGGAAAACATTTCAAACCTAAAGTAGGCAACAAGATATTATTTATATGAAATCCACAATTCAGTTATGCAATGTTCATGAATAGAGAAGTTTTAAGTTGGAAGGGACCATAGATGACCCAAAGCAGATCACATATGGTCATTCATATACCTAAAATACCTACAAAGACAAGTTGTTCCCTGGTTTAAAAGGCAGTCTGTTCTATTGATGGACTGCTTTAGTCTGAACATTTTCTTAGGTTAAGCCAAAAACACATAAACCTAACTTGGTCTTGGCTTGATCTACTGGGTAAACAATAACTCTTAAACATATATACAGTTGACACTTGAACACCACAGGAGTTAAGAGTGCTGAACATTTGCTCAGTGGAGAATCTGCATATAACTTGACTCCCCAAAAACTTAATTAGTAGTTAGTCTCCCATTGACTGGAAGCCTTACTGATAACATAAAGCAGTTGATTAACACGTATTTTTTGTGTTGCATATATTATATACTGTATTCTTACAAGAAGCTAGAGAAAAAAAAACGTTATTAAGGAAGTAATACATTCACTATTCATTAGGAAGAAGTGAATCATCCTAAAGGTCTTCATCCTCATCTTCATGCTGAGTAGTCTGAGGAGCAGGAGGAGTTTGTCTTTCTGTCTCAGTGGCAGAGGTAGAAGAAAATCCACAGATAAGTGGACCTGCACAGCTCAAACCTGTGTTGTTTGGGTCAACTGTATCATAATAGCATTTTAATGCTTTTCTCAGACTTTTACAAGTATGAATCCGAGCTTTTTCTGAATAAACCTGCCTGCACACCATTAAAAAAACTTTTTAGAAGACTTTTTAATGGGTGTGCAATACAAGCATGATTTGTCATACTGGGACCTTGAGGTTTTTGTATACCCTTGCCTTGTTTGGCATATACTAGACCATGCCACTTTTTTACATATTCTCTCTATATTTATGGTTGCCTTTCCGCAGGATTTTGCATGGGCTATTTGTGAGATATTCTAAAATTATATACCTTAATGGAAAGTAATCCCAGTATCTAGAATGCAGTTATGAGCCCACTCTGTATTGTCGTCTCCCCGCATCTTCGATGTGTTGTTTTCACTCTCATTAGACTGACAATGAGGAGTTCATATGTTTTCACACACATGAAATTCATGTGTTCATCAACATAATCAATTCTGGGTTTAGCTGGAATAGGAATTTCCTCAGTCTCATATTCCAATTTTGTTGGTAGGATCCTTAACTTTTTCTTTTGCTTTCCTGTTTTTTTGAGACAGAGTCTCGCTCTGTTGCCAGGCCAGAGTGCAGTGGTACGATCTCGGCTCACTGCAACCTCTGCCTCCCTGGTTCACGCGATTCTCCTGCCTCAGCCTCCCGAGTAGCGGGGATTACAGGTGTGTGCCACCATGTCCAGCTATTTTTTTTTTTTTTTTGTATTTTTATTAGAGACGGGGTTTCACCATGTTGGCCAGGATGGTCTCAATCTCTTGACCTCGTGATCCACCCGTCTCGGCCTCCCAAAGTGCTGGGATTACAGGCGTTGGATCCTTAACTTTCAAAATTCTTGCAGAAACCCTAAATCTATTACACTCAGAGTCCCATTTATATTACAGAGATGTTAGTCTTGTCTTGTAGAGAGACCTTACTTTTTGTATTGACTTGTTAATTATATCAACATCAGGTAATAATATTTTGTGATAGGATAGCATCAAGTGGAGCTGTCAATCCGTAAGAACATCCCATGTCAATATCCAGGTTGACCAAATCAGTATACCTGACCTCCTTGGTGGTGAATATTTCCTAGTTCAGTGGGTTATTTGAAACTGTCATACCACTGATGCATATTTGAACAGATTCTTTATTACCTACACATAAGAATTCTCCTGCATCATATAATGGGCTTAGAAATTGAGAATAATTTTAGTAGTCTGTTTTGCTACATGCTTTGTATTTTGAGGCTCAGTTTTCACTCTTGTTTTGTTCCCCCCGCCAATTTACACCAAGTACATAATCAATAGATGGGGCTTGGTGGCCTAAAGCTGTAATGTAAATTTTTATTGAATAGCTCAGTATATTTCTTTTGAAGATTCATGAATTATATAACACATTATAAACTATGTAAATAAGAAAATGTACATACTTTAGTGAAATTAGTTTTATTATTTCAGTTTTCAGAAATTTCAATCTGCAATGCCAGATTTCAGCTCTTTTACCTATAATATGATCAACCTTTTTACACTATCATTTAATCTCTACATAGACAGTAGTATGTCCAATACCTAATTGTTTGTCTGAGTAGGTATAATCTTGTACTTCAGTACCAGCAAGTATACATTGTAGTTGTTGAATAACCAGTGGTTGTGCACTAATGCAAGTGAAGGCTTCTGAAAATTCTTTACTATATATTTTTTTGCAATAGAATTTTATTACCAGATGTCCAATTCCAAATGCTTTCCCAATTCCATTTTTGTTTTTCTTTGTCATATCTTGTTTAGATTTTGATTCTATCATGTTTGCATCTTTCTGCAAATTGTCCAATGCACTGTTTATCAGTAATTGTTTCTATATCAGAAGAGTTTACAATTGTAGTCCTAGTTTTATTCCCCCTAATACTGTATTTAATAATCTCTGGCCAGGTATGGTGGCTTATGTCTGCGAACCCAGTGCTTCGGAAGGCCGAGGCAGCAGGATCACTTGAGGCCAGAAGTTCGAAACCAGCCTGAGCAAGACCCTGACTCTACAAAAAAAAATAGGCAGGCATGGTGGCATGTCCCTGTAGTCCCAGCTACTCAGGAAGCTGAGACGGAGGAAGCCCTTGAGCCCAGGAGTTACAGGCGATAGACAGCTATGATTGTGCTACTGCACTCCAGTGTAGGCAACAAAGCCAGACCCCATCTATTAAAAAAAGAAATCTCTTTCAGTTTGATCATAGTGCCATTTTAGTCCCTGTGTAAAAACATTTCATAGTGGTAAAGCCTATCATGTACAAGTAGAATTCAGTTTACTCACATTAGCTATTGTAATATTAAATGATACAGACCATTTAATTATCCTCGAGTTTGTAAGTATGGGGACTGGAGACTGCCAGGTTCTAAACAGGGTAAGCTCATTTTTAGGTGATGATACGTTTTGGGGGTTTTGAAGAAACTAACCCTCACCATTTGGGCTGGGATATTTTCTCATCTGTGTGTCTATTTAAGCTTTATTAAATTGGACCCCCATGGCTATTTAAGATCTAGAGTTGGGCCGGGCGTGGTGGCTTACACCTGTAATCCCAGCACTTTGGGAGTCAAAGGCGGGTGGATCACCTGAGGTTGGAAGTTTGAGACCATCCTGACCAACATGGAGAAACCCCATCTCTACAAAAAATACAAAATTAGCCAGGCATGGTGGTGCATGTCTATAATCCCAGCTACTCAGGAGGCTGAGGCAGGAGAATCGCTTGAACCTGGGAGGCAGAGGTTGTGGTGAGCCAAGATCGTGCCATTGCACTCTAGCCTGGGCAATAAGGTGAAACTCTGCTCAAAAAAAAAAAAGATACAGAGTTGTTGGAGTTTTGTGATACCCTTCAGGGACTTTCAATTTGAATATAATTACGTTCAACTTAATTAGTTAAAAATTTCTTCTCATCAGTATCTTCAATAACACAAAGGGTGATGATATTTAAGATTTTTGTAATATTGACTAATCAGTGGGAAGATTTGAAATTTTTCATGTCTTCTGAATTTAAATCATCCAGTTGGTGAGTTTGAAGTATTATGACAAAGAAAGGGGTTTCTTAAGTCCTGATCTCATATTCAGGACAATTTTTAATTACCACAAAATTCCTTGAGGTTGAGATACTAACTTTTAAAAGAAAGACTAATAATAAGCTTTATGTTCAATTGATACAAACTAAGTATCAAAATTAATACAAACTAAGTATCAAAATTATAATGGTCAAAATAATTAAGAAGAACGTATTAATAACAAAACAGTCTATCTCTCCTGCTGTCTATCAAATAAGTTTTTCTCTTTAGCTTGCATATTATTCAAGGTTACTATCTAGAGAATTTATCCTTAAGGTCCTAAATGGGAATTATACCCCACTCGATGGTGGATGTTGGTCTCACATGTGAAGCGTGTATCCACTTGGGTTTCTCCTTCATCTTGATAGCACTATGAATTCTCAACCACACTTGATAGGGTTCTGTCCAGTGTGGTCACAGTCTGTCATCAGAACACTTTGATATAGACTGAATCTCCTGTTCAATATCAATGACACACTTCCCCAGGCGGCTTTTTCAGCATCTGGCCACATGTTGGCAAGGTGAGCCTAGGGAAACCCACAAACTCTTTAAGTATCATATATGGTCATGAGGATTTTCCATTGTATCAGAGAAAGGGTTAGGCTTAAGCCCAAGATTAGTAGACCTTCCAAACTCAAAGGGAGTAATGTTGGGCTTGCTAGAGGGATTTAATCTTATTTTAAATGAAACGGATGGTAAGGTTTTACATAACTTAGCTAAATAATTCAGCTAAATAATTCTTTAGGGTATGTGGTTCACTCATTCCACTTGTTCAGAAGACTGGGGATAACAGGTAGGTAAATTATTGGTATTTGTAGAGTATTACAAAATTCCCGAATTCCCACAAATACAGAATGATTCCCCTACTGAATTCCAGATATTCAGGAATTCCAGTGGTTGAGATGATATGATTCAGTAAGAGCTTGATCACTGTTTGAGCATCTGCTTTAGCCTATCCAGACACCAATACACAACACTGGTAAAAATATTTACTATCTTCTAAAGGTGGAAGTTCTATAAAGTTCTTGTGCCAGCAGATCCTAGGTATCATGGGCCTTAGTAGGCTTTCTTGACTTATTTTAGGTAAGGAAAGAATTTTTCTGACAAAGAGCATATCTTCATATTATTTCCTGAATTATATGATGCTATTACAAAGATTTCAAGTTGTCAGCATATTCCTTTTGCTTGAACGAACTTGTTGGTGGCATGAAAAAGCCACTCAATCATATAACAATCGGAATAAAGGAAAGATTTCATTATGTAATTCTCATTTTCCTATGGTGTTCATCTTAGTTCTCCTTCATTCCTAATTTTCTAATTCTTAAGAGAGTTGGCTATTTCTGAAATTATGAATAGGAGGTTTTGGACAGAAGTGATAGAGGTTTGATTTCCCCAGTCTAAACGTCAGAAGCCCTTCACAGCTAGGTCTGCAAATTAATTTCTTTTTAAAGAGTTAATCTTGTTTTCCACTGTGAGCTCTACAATAAATTACATAAATCTGTTAGAGAAGTTTGAATGACTCTACTAAATCAGAAATTAGCTTCTCATGTAATATTTTAGTTCCTATTGACGTTAGCATCTATTCTTCCAAAGTTGGCTAGTCACATAACAGACCACAAACATATAGTTATTACCAGTATAGATATCTGCTTTATAACTGGTGGCTAATTTAACAGCTGGTATAATAACTACAATTCTGCCACTTGGGCTGATTTTATGTTTCGAAAAACAGAAGCCTCTAAGCTTCATGAGGGTTGATTACCGTAGAACATGCTTTTATATTCCTTTGTGGGTCTTTCACACAGAATATATTCATGAATATTCAGTCAACATTGGGAATAGGAATATTACAAAAATTAGACCATGCTCCAGTGTCTTCCTCAATCACTCTGAGACAGTCAAGTTCAACTTATTCTGTCAAGATCTGGCCACAGAATAGCTGTCAAAAGGTTACACCTTCCTAGAATAGCATTAGGATCACACAATAAGACTTGTTCTTAGCTCGTTTGACAGCATACTGACAAGTGTTGTGTCTTATGAACTTGTAAAATAGCAGTAACAACATGAAGTACCTGTAAGTAAGTTAAATTTCTCAGAGTCAAGGACTGAATGAGCCTTTTTAATCAGGGGAGTGGTTGCCACTGTACCTTATAAATATCATCGCATTTCCAGAGAGACAAAATACAAGAACCTGGGAAAGTAAGCAATGTGCCTATAATCAAGGCCTAATTTTGGAGTAACCCTTAATCTCAAGACAGAAAAGGTAGAACTCCTTTTTTAACAAGGTTAAAAAAGTAATACAAGTGAAGAAATAGCAGCTATTTTAAGGGCATAAAAGACTTCTTCAGCCTTATTTTGACTTTAATAAAGAGTTCTAGTGATGTTTCATGTAACATCTCAGTGAGAGGCTTAGCCTTTTCATAAAACGCAAAGATCTACAATTAATCCTCAAAATCGGTGAAGTTTTTTTTTGGCATGTTGTTTCATTTGTATATTAGGCTGACTTCAAGATGCAACCACCTTCCATCTGCCAATAACACAGATCCCAAATATTTTACTTCAGTTGGTAATATTGCAACTTAGCTAGCGAGGTTTTACGTCCTGGGAGTCTAAGAAATTTAGTAAAGCTAAAATGTCTTCTTTACTAGCATGTAAGTTATTAGCAGCTATCAATAACAATTAGTATGGAATCCTAATGTGAGGAATATTCTTTATATTTTCTTATAAATGCCCAGAGAATGGAGTAGGTGACTCTCTGAATTCCAGGAAGATCCGTTGCCACAAATATTGAAAGCCTCCCGCTCCACAGGTAAACTCAAACAGGAACCTCGACTCCCCAGCTAAACATGGAGAACAAAACATTGAACATAAATCCATGACAGAAAAATACTTAGATAACTCAGGAACAGATATTAAAACAGTGGCAAGGCTGGGAATTACAAGTGTCAGAGGAATCACAACTTGTTTCTCTAAGATCATGCATAAATCTATAAACAGTTTGACCTTCCCTGTCAAGTTTTCCTAACTTTCCCACAGGCAATATGGAAGCATTATGAAGTGAATGTGCCATTTTTTTTTAACTATGCCACGTTTTTTAAAATTTTTCTAATTACATCATATTTGAGGTAAAAATAGAGAAAATGTTCTATACATGGCCAAGGTTTTTCTCTGTTGTAAGTTACAACAATGGTATTGATCTCTTTTGTTAAATCTTTATCATTTGTTCCTAGGACTCATAGATATGGGTTTATTTTCTGTAACTTGGGAGTGCTTCTCCAGCATTGAGTGAGACTCCTACTCTCCCACAGCCATCTTTTGTTTCAGAAAGCACATATTTAGCAATGTAGATACCTTGCATCCCAGAAGCTCCAAAAGCACTCTCTTCAGAGTACAGAAGATCATAGCCCTTGGTTTACACAGCAGGCCCTTTCTTAAAAGATTATTGGGCATATTAGGAGACAAGGCATATTCTTCCTATTTTATGCAAATAGGACCTCGCCTATTTGCATGAAAACCTCAGAGGAGAAAGAAGAGGTAGCAGATAGTCCAGAAATACTTATATCTGGATATTTTCCTAGTTTAGGATAAAACAGAAAAGGCCTGTAGAAATTGCAGAATACGTTGCTCCAGTATCCAGAAGAAAGGGTAAAAAAGGATTAAAAGATAGGAAACAGAAACAGACACATAAATTTATCCTTTCCCAGCTCTGTTTCCTCATTATATCAGTTTTGCCCATGCTTTGCTCCATTTGCCAATGATTTTCTGTCTGATTTTACAGAGTAGGGAAGACCTCCTCAAGGAGGTTGTAAAGCTTGTCAGGTTTTATCCCTTGCATCTTTCTCAATCTCATCCAAGATTCCTTTTTCTAATGTGTTGACTTTTTACATGAGTGACGTATTAATTTCCCGTTAGCTTGTGCCCTCTTATTTATTGGTGGCCCAAATAAGTATTTGCTCACTTTGTGAATAATTGTAACTGGGCAGCTAACACTGCAGTCTTAAGGGTTTTTTCTTCTCTTTCTCCATATTTTCTCAAAGTTGGGTTACTGCCACTAATATTTGAGAAACTATCTGTTCTTGCTAGCTACCCACTTTTTCTCTTAGTTGTATTTGAATTCCTGGCAACAAAAGTGCCAGAAAAATGGAAAGGACCAAGGATCTATTCTGATCTGTCTGTGAATTTATACCTGTTAATTTAGAAAATGTTTCAGTGAGCTATGGTAAAAATCAATGGAGAAGTCACCCAGCTTGTGAGTACAGCATTTAGCTTCTCCCAGTTCACATTCTGTAGAAAGTTTTCAAGGACTGCTATAAGCAGTCCTTCATGTCGGATTCCCAAGGCATTGAATAGCCTATCTGTCAGGGGAGGTGGAGAATTGGACTCCAAGTCCTCAGCCCTCCTTCATGAGGGGGCTCTCACGTGGTGTTTATTGTGTCTATCAAAGTCAACTGGAGGCAACACTCCATGCAACATCCAGTGGGCATCCCCAGTGTGCAGGGCCAAAGATTGAAAACACACTTCAGAGTGCCTTGGGATATATTTGTGGATATCCTCAGAGCACTGAAAAACAACTCTTAAGACAGCTAATTTCAGCTGGAAAAAAAGGCATATGGATTATTAGTATTTTGGGTCCTGCAAGCAGTCCTGGATAAGTTCTAACAAGCATCTGAGTTGCTGAAATTCCAAAAGGCTAGAGCTGATATTCTTCATGTTGAGATGAAAAATAAGTTGATTTGAGATGATGATACCGACAAATCACAAGATTTCTCAACTTTCAATCAAAGCAAAGCTCAGGTATAAAATTAAGTTCTTCAAGTCTTTATTTTTGCCATTTAGTAGTCTGACTCCATTTTTTATTCCTTTTCTTCCAAATTACTAGGACAACCATTCACTAATCTGATACTTTTATTCTATTACAGTCTCTTATCTAAATTCTCACTGACTGCTTGTTCTTTTCTCTTAATAACTTCTGTTTCCATAGCTATGTTTTGCACAGCCTAGGACACCCCCACATCTCCTCCCAAGAATGGGTCTCAGCATAATACTTATGAGCATAATTTTTATGTCATCAAACCTCCTCATGACCCAAACCATGGCACTAAATATATATATTTATCCTATATATCCTAAATATATATCTATCCTAAATGTGTGTGTATGTGTGTATATATATATATATTTGGTCCTAAAAATTATAACCAGGGATGGCATCCTTAAACCCTTCTGTGAAAGTATATTGGAGTTCATACATATTCAGTGTGGCTTTTCATGTGTCCCTGATGTAAGAGGCCAGAGAGTCTTCTTCTTCCGGTGTTATTTATCTAAGGACAGGAGTAGGGCAGTAGATGAGAACTGTATCTCATGGGTGTTATTCCTAAAAAAGTAAATTAGATATCAGGAAGCTCCTAATTTTATATCTATGGGCAAACAAACAAGTATCTGGATCTCAATCCCCTGGGTACAATTGCCAGGTCCCTTGAATATTCATAGTCCATCAATGATCTACAAATGTCATAACGTACTGCAAACCTGAAATACTATAACAGGGATGAATTTTTTTACTTGCATGCTTAGATCCAAATAAATATTGCACTGTAGAAATTATACCAATGAATCACAAAATTTTCTCAACTTTCAGTCAAGGCAAGCTCAGGTAAAAGGTGAAAATCTTACAAGAATCCCATCACATACATAACTCATGAAGAAGACCCCATAATGATATTCATACTGTCTGAAAGAATGAATCTAAATTCCTTAGAAACAAGTCTTCGCTAGAACCAAGGTCTATTTGAACTTTCTCAGTTACCAAAGGCAAATTTCATTCATGTAATATTGTATATCCTGCCAACCAGATTTACTTCAATACAGTAAAATCACAGGAAAAAATGAGATATAATTTCTAAGAATTATGGCAATGAACCACTAAAATCAGGTTAACATAAAATAAGGAATTGCTCAATTGGAAGGAAACAGAGATGGATGAAAATAAGTTCCCCGCCCACAAATATAATTTCTATTTTAATGGAGTTAAGAATATGTGAATCTAGGTAATATGACATCATAGAGATGATACCAATAATCACAAAATTTCTCATCTTTCAGTCAAAGCAAAGCTCAAGTATAAAATTAAGTTCTTCTCATGATGATCTTATCATCTATGTGGATCACACATGGAGAAGAATCAGTCACAATACTATCCACGTTCCTTGAGAGAATATGTGCATATTTTAAGGTTTACTTATCCTTCAACTCCTCCTGGGCACTTTGTTTTCAATTTTTGCTATTAGATATGGCACCATGATAAGCATTCATGTATACATATTTTGGGTCAATCATGCATGAATTTTTGTTAACCATATACCTGAGAGTATGTTGCCTCCATTCAACTTCAGTGAATACTAAGAGAATTCTAAAAAACACACACTTTCAAATTTTAAACAGATGATCCTTGATTTATGAAGGAGTTACCTCCTAATAAACCTACTATAAGTTAAAAACACTGTAAATAAAAAATGCTTTTAGTACACCTAATGTACTGAACATCATAGCTTTGCCTAGCCTACCTTAAATGTGCTCAGAACACTTACATTAGCCTACAGTGGGTCAAAATGGTGGCAGCACAGTACGCGATGAAGTATTGGTTGTTTACCTTCATAACTGCATGACTGCTAGGAGCTATGGCTCACTGCTGCTGCCTAGCCTCACTAGAGTATCATACTGCCAGTGGCTAGCCCGGGAAATGAAAATTCAAAATCCAAGGTATGGTTTCTACTGAATGCATACCACTTTCACAACATCATAAAGTGGAAAAATCATAAATCAAACCATTATAAATTGGGGACTGTCTAGATATACTGGAAGATGTTTATCTGATTGTTGTCTGAATTATTTTTCTCATGGCTAATGACCTTGAATACCTTTTCATAGGCTTATTGGCCATTCAGATATCCTCTTTTGTGAAGTACCCATTTAAGTGTTTTCTAACTTTTTGACATGTACAAGTTGTATCTTTTATACGATGCTTCTTCACTGATTATATACTTTGAGAAATAAAAATTTTAATTTGGATGCAGACTAATTCATCAATATTTTCCTTTATGCTTAGTGTTATTGGTATTTTTCACTTTCTGCCAAATTATGATGACACCCTCCTATGTTATGCTATGCTCAAGAAGCTTTACTGTTTTGCCTTTCATGAATAGACCAACATTACACCTAGAAATGATGGATCTGTATGGTTTGAAAAGGAATTCACTTTTTTATGTATTGATATCCAGCACTAACTATTGAACAAACCATTCTTTCCTCATCATGCAGGAGTGGCACTTTTATCATAAAGCAAGTAATCATATATCTATTGATCTGCTTGTGGAGTGGAGTCTCTATTTTGCTCCATTAGGCTAGTTTTCTGTCTTTTGTCAGTAACTGTAACCTTGCAATAGTAGGCCTTAAATTTTGGCCATGTAACTCATGCAAAATTGTCATCTTCATCAAGACTATCTTGGCTCTTCTTGACTTTTTGTGTCATATATAATTCTTGAAATTAGATTGAACATTTAATAAATGGCATTCAGATTTAGAATGCTCTTACGTTGGGATCTTTAAGTGAATTTGGGGGAGAATTAACATGTATAGTATATGTAATTGAATTTGCCACTGTGAATATATTATATCCCTCCATTTGTAAGGTATTACTTGCTTCCTTTCCATAATGTTTCATAATATTTTGTGTGAATTTTTTCCTATGGAATTGATGTTTCTGATGTTCCCAAAAATGTTATCTTTTAAAAACTTCATTTTTCATTTGTCATTTTACATAGAAATACATTTTAGTTATCTGCTTTTTAACCCAGCAATCTTGCTCAATTAACTTCCTAATTTTAATTGATCATGTTCAGACTTGTTTCTTGTCAGTAAATAATGAAACTTATACCTTTCCATTTCCAATCCTTATTCTATGACTCTACTCCCCTAGTTAGGACATCCAGTATAGTAATGAATAGAAATGATGAAAAAAAATCCTCTTTTATTCCCAATCTCATAAAAAAGCTTTCTCTATCTCCACTGTCAATAATTTTACAATTAATTTATTTTGTAAATACCCTTTATCTCATTAAATTTTTTTCAATTTTTAGTTCCCATAAATTCGTAGTTCCAATAAAGAGATTTATAAAGAATAGTTTTTATATTTTATCAAATGCTTTTTCTCTTTTGAGATGATCATATAACTTTTCTTCTCTCTTATGTTACCATAGTGATTTACATTGAGTGATTTTGAATTCATTTTTGAAGTAAACATTTGAAGATTTTTTAAAAAGTGAAGCTGAAACAGAGTTCCCAAATACCCTATACCCAGTTTCCCCTCCTGTTAACATCTTGTATTAATATGGCACATTTGTCACACTCAACGAACCAATATTGATAGATTATTATTAACTAAAGCCCACTTTATTCAGATTTCCATAGTTTTACATAATGTACTATTACTCTTCTAGGATCCCATATAGGATGCCATATTCCATTTAGTTGTCTTGTCTATTTAGGCTCTTCTTGACTGTCACACTTTCTCAAGCTTTCCTTTTTGAGGACCTTCACAGTTTTGAGCAAAACTAGTCAAGTATTTTGTAGAGTATATCTCATGTGGGATTTGTTTGATGATTTTTCTCATAATGATACTGATCTTATGGGTTTTTGGGAGGAAGACTGTAGAGGTAAAGTGCAATTTTTATCACGTCATATCAAAGGTATATACTATCAGCATGATTTATCACTACTGATGTTAACCTTGATTACCATGTAGAGATAGTGCTTGTCAGGTTTCTCCCCTGCACAGTTACTCTTCCCTTCCATCCCCCATTTCCACCCTGTACTCTTTGAAAGAAAGTCACCAATGTGCCTAATGACTTTCTTCCCACACTTGACGAGTAAGGAGTTCAACCTCCTTAAGGGCAAAAGTATCTATAAAAACTATATGAAATTATTCTGCACAAAAAATCTATGTTCTCCCCAGTTTATTTATTCATTTGATTATTTACATCAATATGGATTCATGGATATTTTATACTTTGGGTTGTAATCTAATATTATGCTATTTATTTTTAAAAATTTGTTCCAGATTTGACCACTGGAAGCTCTTTTGGTTGGTTCCTGAGTCCCTTTGATATACTTTCATCAATGTGGGGTTCTTGTTTTAGTACTTCCTTACTCTCTGGCACTATATGATGCTCCAGGCTCATCTTGTACATTTCCTAACCAGTCTTAGAATCAGCCATTTCTACAAGGATCCCTGATTTGTTCTATTGGAGAATGGTATTAGAAACTAAGGGCTGGGTTCTAGGTGTGCCCATTGTTACTAGAGTGTCATTGCTTCTAAGCATTCTCAGTTGACACAGGGTGTGTACAATAACTATGTAAATACATGCATCTATATTTCTATGTGTAACCATCTGTCTGCATATTAAACTAAACATAAGTTTACACTGACGTTTCCAACTCTAATCCATTACAACACAAATCATTCTTTTCTTCTTGTCTGTAACTTTTCATTCCAACAATAAGAAAATGTACACCATCTGCCAACCATTTACTTAATTGTTCAATTCCAATATACATATGTATCATGATTTAGAATTGCTAACTCATACACCTACAGAAAACAACTTTATCAAATAGTGTGCAGTGCTCCTGTACAGTCACTTTGCCTCTAGTCTTAACAGATTCCACTCATTTTCAAAGTTACTTAAGTCATTATCTTTTCTCCCCAACATTATTCGTAAGCTTGTCTAATACATTTGTAAAACACCTGGATTCTTTTGTCAGACACTGTGTTCCATCTTGGATCCCCCAAACTCCTAAATGATTTTTTAAAATTTGTGTACATTAAGGTTCATTTGTGCTTTAAAGTTCACTGTGTTTTGACAAACGCACAGTATAATGTATACACTATTACAGTACCATACAGAATAGATTTGCTGTGATTTATCTATTAAATCCCTGCCCCTTCGCCTGAACCCTGCCAACCATTGATATCTATAGTTTTGCCTTGCCCAGAATGTTACAAAAATGAAGAATATTGTATGTATTCTTTTCAGATTGGCTTCTTTTACTCAGCAATATGCATCTATGATTTATCCATGTTTTTGTGTGGCTTGATGGGTTAATCCTTTTTATTGCTTGATAGTATTCTATTGTATAAATGTATCACAGTTTATCCATCCACCTATTGAATGATATTTTAGTTAATTTCAGGTTTTGGTCATTATGAATAAAGCTGTAATATTCATGTGCTGGCATTTATGTGGACGTAAGTTTTCAGATTAGTTGGGTAAATACCAAGGAGCGTAGTGGCTAGATATATGGCAGGACAACATTTAGCTTTCTAAGAAACTGCCAAACTGTCTTCAAAAGTGGCTGTGCTATTTTGCATTTCCATCACCAATTAATGTTGCTTGCCTTTTCAACAGAAGTTGGCATGATCAGGCTTTGGATGGATTTTAGCCATTCTATTACATGGGAATACATGTGTACTGTGTGTAGTGTATATGTGTACTGTGTACATGTATATGAGTACATGTGTAGTGGTATTTTATTATTTTTTATCTCCAGTGACAGAAAATGTTAAGCATCTTTACATAAGTGTATTTATCATTTGTATTTGTTTTTGTTTTTTGGTATGGTGTCTGTTCAGATCTTTTGCCTATTTTTTAATTGGTCATTTGTTTTCTTATTGCTGAGTTTTAAGAGTTCTCTATACAGTTGACTAGAATACCTTTATTAGATATGTACTTTGAAAATATTTTCCCCCAATCTGTGGCTTATCTTTTAATTAAGTGCCTTTTTCCAAACAGAACTTATATTTTAAAAGCTTACCATTTTTTTCCCTTCATGGTCTGTGTCTTTGGTGTTCCCCATCACAAAACCCAAGATCAAATACATTTTCTCTTGTATTCTTTTAGAATTATTAACACTTTGCATTTCATATTTAGTTCTATGGTCTATTTTGAGTTAATTTTTGTGAAATATCTAAAACCTATGTCTAGGTTCACTTTTTCACATACAGACATCTCCTTGTTGCAGCACCATTAACTGAAAAGACTATTCTTTTATGCATTGGATTGTCTTTGTTCCCTGACACAGGTCAGTTAATTATATTTGTGTGGTGTCTATTTCTGGGCTCTCTATTCTGTACTATTAACTTATGTATCTGTTCTTTTGCCAGTACCACAAAGTCTTGATTACTGCAGCTTCTAGTAAAAGTCTTAAAATCAGGTAGTATTTCTCCTCTGTCTTTGTGCTTCTTCAGTGTTATGTTGGTTATTCTTTGTCAACATCTACAAAATAGCCTGCTGGGATTTTGAATAGAATTGAATTGAGTCTATAAAGTTAGGAAGAACTGACATTTTTATAATATTGAGTCTTCTATCTATGGATACAGGATATATCTGTTCATTTATTTTGATCTTCTTTGATTTCTCTTATCAAAGTTTTATAGTCTTCTACATATAGACATATAGATCCTGAACCTGTTTTTCTTTAGGTTTATAAGTAAGGGTTTTATTTGCTTTTGTTATGGTGCTATTATAGTTTTTTTCTAATTTCAATAGACTATTACTGGTTTATAGGTAAGCAATTGGTTTTTGTATATCAACCTTATATCCTTTAACTTTGTTATACTCACTTATTAGCTCCAAGTTTTTCTTTTGTGGATTCTTTGGGATTTTCTCCATGTCATCCTTGAGTAAAGACTGTTTTATTTCTTCCATCACAATCTGTATGCCTCATTCCCTTTTCTTGTCTTGTTGCACTAGCTAAGACTTCCAGTATGATGTTGCATAGAATTGGAGGACATCCTCGCCTTGCTCCTGAAATTAACATACAGTCTCTTACATTTCAGTATGATATTAGCTATGGGGTTTTTTGTAGAATTTTTTCATCAAGTTGAGGAAATTTCCTTGTATTCCTAGATTGCTGAGATTTTAAAAATCATGAATATTCAATTTTGTGAAATGCTTTTACTGCATCTATTGATATAATAATATAATTTTTCTTCTGTAGGCTATTGATACGGTCTACTACATTGGCTGAATTTTGAATGTTCAAAGAGCCTTGCATACCTGGAATAAATCCCATAATGTACATAATGGTACTAATTTTTTCTATACATTGTTGAATTCGATTTGATAATATTTTGTCAAGGAGTTTTACGTCAATCTTCATGAGAGATATTGGTCTGTAGTTTTTCTTTCTTTTAATGTTTTTATCTGGTTATTATGTTAGGGTAATGATGGTGTGATGTAATGAGTTGGGAAGTCTTCCCTCTGTTTCTATTTTCTGGAAGTAATGGTGGAGAACTGGTATTGCATCTTCCTTAAATGTTTAGTAAAAATCACTAGTAAAACTCTCTGGGCATGGTGCTATTTTGGGGGAAGGTTAATTATTATTTCAATTTCATTAATAGATATATTGCTATTCAGGTTACCTATTTTTCCTTTTGGAGGTTGTGGTAGTTTACTTCAAGGTATTGGTCCATTTCATTTATCAAATCTGGAGGCATAGAGTTGTTCTTAGTATTCTGTTATCCTTTTCACGTCCATGGGATCAATACTGATGTCCCCTCCTTTACTCCTGATATTGGTCATTTGTCTTTTTTCTTTTCTTTGCTTAGCCTGACTAGAAGTTTAGCAATGTTACCAATCTTTTAAACAAATCAACTTTTGGTTTTCTTGGTTTTCCATACTGTTTTTCTGTTTTAAATTTCATTGATTTTTATTCTTTTATTATTTCTTGTCTTCTGTTTGCTTAAGGTTCTTCTGTTTGCTTAAACTGTTCTGTATTTTTCTAAGGTGGAAGGTCAGATTGATTATTGGTCTTTTTCTTTTTAATGTATTTAATGCTAAAAATTTCCTTGCAAGCACTACTTTAGCTGCATCCCACAAATTGTAACCAGTATTGTCCAGCTGGAATTAGTTCAAAATAATTTTTAATTTCTCTAATGACTTGTTCTTTGATGTGTCTATTATATACAAGTTTGTTGTTTAGTTTCCAAATATTTGGAGATTTCCCAGCTATGTCTTTCTTTATTGGTTTCTAGTTTTATTACATTGTGACCTGAGTACTTAGTATGATTTATAATCTTTTAAATTTGTTTTATGGCACATAATATGATGTTTTCATGAATATTTCATGTAAACTTTGGAATAATGTATATTCATGTAAATTCTTCTGTTGTTGGAGTACTCTATAAACATCAAACAACTTAACTGATAATGCTGTTCAGGTTATCAATATTCTTATTTATGTCTATGCCAGAGGGATGTTGGAACCTCTGACTATAAATAGGGTTTATCTATTTCTTTTTTCAGTTTTATCAACTTTTACCTCATGTATATCTTGACACTGTTAATAGGTGCATACACGTTTAGATATTCTTGTAGAATTGGCCCTTTCTCACTATGTATTGCCACTTTTCATGCCTGGTAACCTTCCTTGTTCTGAATTCTGCTGTGTCTGAAAATCAATATAGCTACTCCAGCTGTCTTTTGATTACTGTAAGCATGTTATATCTTTCTCCATCCCTTTACTTTCAGAGTATCCAAATCTTTAATTTTAAAGTAGGCTTCTTGTAGCCATTTAGTTTGGTCTTGTCTTAGTCCATTCTGAGAGTTTCTGTTTTTCAATGTAGATAATTCACATCTGAAGTGATTATTTATACAGTTGGATCAATATATTCCATGTTTGCAACTGCTTTCTAGTCATTGCATTACTATTTCTTTAAGACCTCTATTTTACTGTGTTCTCTACTTTTACTTGATCATGTTACATGATTCCATTTTATCTCCTTTCTTAGCATATCAATTATCTTTTCTTATTTGTTTAACTGGTTGAGCTAGAACTTACAATATACATTTCTGTTTGTTTGTTTGTTTTGAGACAGGGTCTTGCTGTATCACCCAGGCTGGAGTACAGGGGTGCAATCTCGGCTCACTGCAACCTCTGCCTCCCGGGCTCAAGCAACTTTCCCACCTCAGCCTCCCAAGTAGCTGGAACTACAGATGTGTGCCACCACACCTGGCTAATTTTTGTATTGTTAGTTAAGACTGGGTTTTGCTATGTCACCCTGGCTACAATATACATTTTTAACTAATCTAAACCCATCTTCAAATTACACCATACCACTTCACGCTTAGTGCAGGTGCCTTATAACAGAGGATTTCCATTTTTTTTCCTATCTCTGGTGGCATTGCTGCCATTGTTTTCACACATCCATATGCCATAATTGACTACCACATTACTACTTTCGGATTTTTTTTCCTGATGAGAAGACGAGGATGTTTTATCTACCTTCTTTAAAGATTTCTTTTTCTGTGTTTGTCTTTCCGCAGGTTGAATATGATATTTGTAGGTTTTATTGTTTTTGTTTTTGCTTTTTTTGCATTTTTACTGTTTTGTGTTCTCTGAGATTTCTGGGCCTGTGGTTTGGTGTCTGTTATTAATTTTGAAAAATTCTTGGCCATTTTTACTTCAAACATATATTATGCTCTATACTCCATTCTTTTAGTATCCCCATTACATCTATGTTGCACCTTTAAAAATTGTTCCACAGTTCTTGGATGTTCTGTCCCATTTTCTTCATTCTTTTCTTTTTCTGTATTTGCATTTTAGTTTGCAAAATTTCTATTGACCTAACTTCAAGATCACTGAATCTTTCCTCGGCTGTGCTGAATCTACTTACGAGCCTGTTGAAGGCATTCTTCATTTATGTTATAGTGTTTTTTATTTCTAGCATTTCCTCTTGCTTCTTTTGAGTTTCCATCTCTCTGCTTATATAATCTATTTTTGCATGTCTAAGAGTCCTTAACATATTAATCATAGTTATTTTAAATCTCTATTATTAATTCCAACATCTTTGTTCTGAGTCTGGTTCTGCTAATTGCTTTCTCTCTTCAGACTGTTTTTTCTTGTCATAGGATGTGCATTGTAATTTTTTGTTGAACTGTATCTGGTAGTAAGTACTGAGGTAAATGGAGCTTTAGAATGCTATTTACAGAAATCTGATGAGGAATTGGGCTTTGTTTAATGTTTGCTGTTACTAGAGGCACCAGAAATGCCAAATTCCTCTAGTGTCTTTTGTTTCTGCTCTTGACTTTGGACTTCCCTAAGTACTCCTCTGAGAGAATTGGTGTCTTACAGCTATTTCAACTGTAATCTACTATTACACAGAACACTGCTGGTGGGGTCGTAAGACATAGGGGAGAGTGTTCTATGATCTTTTGAATAAGTCTCTGTGTGCCTGTGTCTTGGTGTTACAACCATCACAAACATTCCTTCAGTGGCAGAACCTCTCCCTCAACTCCACCTGACCTCTCTACTCTTTTCCCTCCTTCTTTTGCTTCCAATCTATTTCCTTGAAGTGCTGATCTCTATTGACAATTGTGGGTTTTTTATTTCCTGATTGGTAAAACAGGAAAGCTAGAGAAGGCTGAAATGAAAGGAATGCCCTTCCCCTTATCCCTTACTGAGATATGGCTCAGATAAAATTTTTCCCCTGGAGGTTAGGTCTTTGTTATGAAGAATGCTCTGGGTGTATTTCACAATGATTACTCTTCTCTCCCTTTCCAAAGGAGGAGGGGATCTTTCTTAAATCTTTACCATGAGAAATTGTTGAGGTTCTGGAGGTAGAACCCACAAAAATGTGGGGGTTCCCAGGAGTTTCTTCCTTTCACTCTAGCCCACATTCAGCCCAGCTATTCATCTAAATTGCTATTTAAATGTTCCTATCAATTTGTGGCTCCAGTGGCTTCTGTTCCAGCTAAGCAAATTTCAGCTGTGTATCAATCGGTGTCCCCAGACTTTGGGGTGGCAACTTTCCCTGAAGCCTCAGTTCTCTGATGGGTTAAAGGAAATAATTGATTTTTTTTTCAATTTGTTCTGCTTTATCTTGTTATAAGGACAGTAATTATAACTTACAAGTTCCTCACATATCAGAGCTGAAACCAGAAGTGTTGAATGATTTTTTGAATGTTTAAAAAAAAAATCTTCATTTCTCAAGTAAACCCCAAATGATTATAATGCAGTGACCTTTTAAAAAAATATTTTGGCTGGGTGCGGTGGCTCATGCCTATAATCCCAGCACTTTGGGAGGCCGAGGCAGGTGGATCACCTGAGGTCGGGAGTTCAAGACCAGCCTGGCCAGCATGGCAAAACCCTGTCTCTACTAAAAATACAAAAATTAAACTGGCATGGTGGCAAGTGCCTGTAATCCCAGCTACTAGTGGGGCTGAGGCAGGAGGATCACTTGAACCTGGGATGTGGAGGTTGTAAGGTTGTAGTGAGCAGAGATCGTGCCACTGCACTCCAACATGGGCAAGAGAGCAAGACTCCATCTCAAAAAAAAAAAAATTCACATAATTTGATTTACTATTATTGTGTTCAGGCTACTTGGATCTATATTCCTAGTAGCCATGTTCTGTAAATTCAATTTTTATAGTTCTTTGTCATGTTTAGTTACTAGAAGTCAGCTATCCTGAGAAAATGAAAATTATACATTTTTCCCTTAAATATTTGTAAAAATTTACTAGTGGAACATTTCAGCATGGAGCATTGTTGTTTGGGAATATTTTAATTATGTGTTCAGTGTCTTTAACAGATGTAAAGCTATATTTTATATTTCTTTTTGTGGCTTTTGCATTAACTGTGTTTTTAAGGGATTTTATCATTTAATCAGTATTTTTTAAATGATTGGTAAAAAGTTACTTTTCAAGTATTCTTTATGGTCTTAAAATTTTAAATAAGGAAAAAATTGCAATCACCTACAAAGGCAAATAGAGTACCTAGATTACCATGTATAGTGTTCTGTGTTCAGACTTATGGTCTGTGCTTTGGTCATGAGAATGAAAAATATCACCCTTGCCTAAAGGCATCATCACATGTACAAAAGAAGCTGAAAATCTTATTATCCCCTAAAGAACAGGATATCCTCACCCCATACTCAGGAAGCTGCAAAATTGGTCAAAATGAGTTTTCACTTAAATGTCCACATCAGCAAGCACTGCTTGTACTGGTCTGCTCTCTAATCCTTCCAATCATTTCCACTTGGCTTTGATCAAATCAACCCCATCTGACCAACTCCATTTGCTTCCATCTAACCCAGCTATACTGTTTATTATAAATTTAACCTAAATGCCACCCTTCCTCAAAATTTTATATAATTTTGCCTTTCTCTTTGAGAAGCAAGAAGTTGAAATTTCTCTTGCAGTTTCTCCCTTTCCAGAGCAATTCTTTTGAAGTATAAACTTTTACTTCAAAGAACTGGAAGGCAATTTAGCTCTTTCTTTTCAGGTTTAAAGTCAGTTTTTATTGCCTTCAAAGTCAGAGAATTGGTGTTGGAGCAGTAAAAGACAAAGACAAAAATCTCTACAGTCAGCATGTTTACATTCTAGTGCAAGGAGATGGATAATCATTTAAAATATTAAATAATATTTTATATTACATGATCAGTGTTGAAAATAGTGGAAAGGGGTAAAGAGCAACATTGTAGTGATATTGATACTTAGAGAAGTGTACCAGGTTAGCCTAGTTGACAACTGATGATGGCAGAGGAGTAAGCAGAGAGAGAGAGACGGTGGAAAAATGCTTGGGGCCAAGAGAGAATCTGGTGCAGAAGCTGGCCCAGTGGTTCCAGAACAGCAAGTAGTAGCTAAGAGGTAAGAGGTGACAGAAAGTGGCTTGACCAGGTCCAGTTTTGTGGGCCATTCTACGGACATTTATTATAAACAAATTGTAAACTATTGAAGGATTTGCACAGAGGGGAAATGTTAACTGACACTGTGAGAAACAAAATCATGTACACTCTCATGGCTAATTGCCTCCAATTTAAATTTTCCACTATTTTCACTGGCACTATTTTCACTTTACTATTCCAGTAAATTCTTGCTCAGAAAAATAAAAGTTGTGAATAATGTTTATTATTTATTACAAGAACTTCCTTAGAAACTTATTAACTCATCAGTAGAAAACATCAGACAATAGCTTATATTCTAAGAGTTTTTGAATCCCTCACCTCCAAATCTTTACTTTGCTGTGTCCACCAACAGTAAACTCTTTTATCATAATCCTCGCCAAATCCTAATCAAGCCCTGGCATTTAAAGACCCATCTTAAATGAGCCTTTAAAGTCTCATAAATATTCTAACTTTGTCCTTCCTTGTCCAAAATGTTATTAATATCTATTAGGGGATTGCTTTCTCTTACCACATTAAGAATAAACTCAGCTTTGCCTTATCAAAATATTCTTCAGGTTGTATTTCTAGGAATTCAGTATTGAACAATCTTGGAGATCTCACCAAGATCCATAAAGATTGAGACCTCTTTGCAGCCTAGGCACAAGAACCTTAATTCAGAACCTTAATTCATTGTCCTCCTCAGATATCCTTTTAGCTTCCTGGTCAGGACTATCTCTTAGTGCAACAGTGTATTAAGTAAATCAAATTGGACTGAGCCCCAGTATATTTTCATTGAACTCCCAGTATACTGAGATTATTTTGTCTCCTAAGGGTAAGGAACTCTTTTCAGGAACACTTTGATCAGACTTGAAAAAAATTTATCTTTGGTGAAACTGCCTTATTACTAGTGATGCTACTCTTCGCCTTTGTCTTTGCCACTTCATGTGTATATATAAGGAATGTTCATAGGGAAGAGAGTGAGAGAGACCCAGGTAAGTGGATCCCTCAAGACAGCCCCAGGGATGGAGAAGTTTGTAAGATTTCTTCTCAGCCTGCTGTCCTTTGGAGAAATTTTTCCCTAGGTCCTTATCAAAACCTATGACAATTTTCCTCAATCTTGTCTTGATCATCAGTCTGGTTCTAAGAGAAATCCCCTATTAACATCTTATGTACCCCCAAGAAACTGCAAATTCCTTCAGGTCTACAGTTAGACAATGTAGAAATCAGGTTGAGAGACCCAAGGGGTCATAAGCAACATTTTTTTCAGAGTTTTACCACACTTTCAGGGTATGCCTCCAGTCTCATTCTAATTCCAAACGCCCTCTGGACTTCTTCTTCCATATGTTTATAAGATAATCCACATTCATATACTTATTTAAATGGCATAATTTCAACAGAGATGAGTTACAATTATAGCAGCCACTTTGGGGGAAGTTTTTCTATGAACAAAATTTTTTAAGAGTACATTAAAATAAAAATAGATCAAAATTTCAAACATCCAGTAGTCTACATTTTTAATTAATCTGAGAAACATCCAAAGGCAATTCAGATTTCAAAACTGCTTTCTTATGAAATTTGTTAGCCAGGGCAAAAGAAAAAAAAAACTCTCTCTCTGTTTTAGATACCAACAAATCATAACTCAAACCAAATAGACTTTATCCTATTATTATTCTCTCCCCCATCTCTCCCTCTGAACAATTTTTCTTCTCTTTCAGACAGCCAGAAAACCCCAAAGCTCAATGACCTCTTCATGTTAAACTACCCTCACAACAGGGAAACATCTGTGGTTGATTTTAAGCCATCTAACTCTGAGATGAGAGACCCCGTCAAAGGCTCTTCAAAGCACAGGCAGAATAGAGGAAAACTTGCGAGGATTATAAAACATCTTTAGGAAGTTAGAATCCAGGGCTCCCAAATCTATACCAAGGAGTTCATATTTTAGTGATAACCCTAGATGCAAAAAAGTACATGAAAAAGGCAAAATGGGTCAGTCTCAGTGGTGACATAAAAGACCACAGGAAACCAAAGAGTTTCAAATTTTACAGGAAACAAAGAATTTTAGAAAAACTGAAGATATTGGACAAGGTCTTTTGGAGACTACCCCTAAAGTCTTCCCTGTGAAAATAGATTGTTTTATAATCCAGTCCTGCAAGCAAAGAAAGGATGTGTCCATTGGAGAAATTGAAGATAGGCTCTTTAATACCCTTAGGAAGGACTCAGTAGACCTTGAAGCAGATATGAGCCCACACACATCTTTCCCCATTTTGCAGAAAGGAACTGAAGCCAAAAAAACAGGATTTAATATGTAAAAAAAAACTACAATGAGCAATATTATTCCCATTATCAGATCTCTAGCACCTCACTAAACATTTTGAAAGAGTTTCATTAAAAAAAATCAAAGTAGAGATAAAATTACATCCTCCTATCCCAGACATTAAACCCGGAATAAGGAAGTCTCTTGATAAAGACGCCTGTAAGCAGTAAGGAAATTGGAAAACACTTGTTTTGCATTAGCTCAGAATCAAAGGGCAAAACATGAAATAAGTGACAAATCAAGGTGCTTCCGGTGGGTATCAAGCACAAAACATTTCATCTTTCAAGTCAAAAAGAAAACTTTCTCTAAATATTAAATGACAACTCTGCAAATTTTTTTAACTGATATGGGTGCTAAATATCATCAACCTTAAACCTTATCACTATTACACAACCTCTTCATTGAAAATAAACTACTCACATGGTAGGTTTCTGCAATAATTATCAAATATTCCTCACATCCCAGCCCATTACAGCCACCCTTGGACTTTAACTAAATTACACTCTTTCTTTCTCTGTAATACCATATTCACTCACATGATAGGTAGGAAGTTACTACGTGGGTGGAACTGTAAATTAAATGCTATCTGGATGGTCTAGACCTTGAGTCTCTGACTCCCTCACTCATAAAGAAACCATAGATAATCTGGACATTGATTCACGACTACTATTGAATCTAAATCAAGCCAAAATTGAAGATCTCAAGGAAGTGCTTGACATTCTTATGGATAAACCCGGTTAAGACTCAGATTTATCCACCTTAACTGCTACCCAACTTGCACAATCTCTTCTAAAACCAAGAGATTAAAAAGGACTAAAGGACTAAAATAATAGCTAAAAACTTTGTAACAGCCCTTATAATTCTTTTACACTCCATGCTCAAAAACCCAGTGGCAGAGATAGCAGATTTTTTCAGGACTTCAGAACCATAAATAGAATAATCGCTGTTTATCATACCCCACCCAAATACCATCTTATTTCCACTGAGTCCTTGAGGCTGCATATCTTATAGTGGCAGATTTGTGTTCTACTTTTTTGTTATAGTGCCTTTGTATTAAAATACTCTATACTTGTTGGTACACCCTAGGCAAAATCAACAGCATACTTGTACTATATCCCCTGGATTTACTTAGATACCTTCCTACTTTTCACAACGATTTCAAGGACCCTAAATTTCTGTGATTCCACTCTTATCAATAGATAATATGAATGACCAGTGACTGTGTTCTAAAGACAAAGCAAGTTCTAAGACTTATTCTACCTATCTACTTTGTTTTAGCTCAGAAAGGTCATACAATTTCCAAAGAGAAGTTAGAATTTTGTTTAAGTTCGTTACCTATGATGTGATTTATCCCAAGAAGATGAATCCTTTATGCCTGATAGATTATAAGCTATCCAAAACTTTTCAGGCTAGTAGTTAAGAGATCATTAAGAGGATTCCTGGGTTTCCTTGGATGCTTATTGCAGAACATTCCAAAATTTTCCAAAATTTCCCATCTCTCTGACTTACCCACTTTATGAGTAGCCAAAACTGAGCCCTAAGAACCTAATCACAAAGAGATTTTTGTGAGTTAAAATTAGCCTTCCAATGACCTCCCACTTTAGGCCTACCTAATTATCACAGAACTCTCTACCAGTTTGTATATGAGTGCTGGGGATAAGCTCTTGGTGTTCTAAATGCATTTCAGGAGAATCCTCAGGGGCCAGCTCATTGAAGTCTGTATCTTCACCCAGTGGCAATAGCCACAACAGCTAAATTACTGGAAGCCTCTGCTGGCTTGGTTTAGGTTAGGGTCTCCTTTAAGTTTCATAGTCCCTCTTGCTGGATAACCTTTACTGAAAATACACAAAATTGAAAATACATACTTTTCAGCATAGAGGCTTAAATTCCTATGAAATATTACTTCACATCAGCACCTCACATCTTTATTACTTATGGCAATACTTTCAAAATTGCTACTTTTTCCATTACCTTAAGAAGAAGCTGTGTACTGTCTTTGTTTACAAACTATGCCCTAAATAGATGTATTAGTAATCTCTTTTTAAAAATCCATGTTTCATCTTGTTCTTTGATGTGCTGTACTTTAAGACTGGGACAAAAGAATATCAGATGGCACATGATGTGACATACTTCACCCTTATAATCACTACCAGAGGCAAAATCTGCCAGATGACAGGACTCATTTCGCTCTACAGATCTGGTCAGTTTGAGTGAGATAGGAGAGTGCTGGTGGCAGGTATGCTTTGTGTGTAGTTCTTGGTCTTGTTTGTGAACAAACAGAGTTCTCAATCTCAGCAGGAGCCTCTACTAAAAATGGTCAGCAAATAAAAGAACTTTTGAGTATTGTAAAGCTTGCTAAAGATGTGGCTATTAAAAAAACAAACACTAATACAAGATGGGGATACCAGGAGGCCCCAGCATGGAGCCCTCACTAAGATCCTGGTCCTCATAATCAAACCTTCTGACGGGTTCAAACAGGTTCTTATAGAATGTCAACAATTGGTTCCACAGTTGGCAAACCGTTACTAATATAAATCTGCAGGTAAATTGCAAGAGGAAAATCTCTCACACTCTAGGATAGATGCTTAGTAGCGCCAGAGGACCTTAAACGGGATGTTTCAAACATTTAATATGCAATTAACTACCTAAGCAAAGAAAAATTGGCTACTGCACTCAATCAACATTGATGGAGAAATTTCACTAAGATTATTGAGGTTGCATGCGGTGTCTTATTTGTTACCAGTATAATCTTGGTAAAAATGCAAAGATGGGGCATGAACAAGAATCTCAGGGCCCCTTAGAACACTTACAGATTTTGTAAGTACCTTCTGCAATGGGTTTTGAGTATGTATGGTAATTGTTCGCTTATTTGGAGGATAGATTGAGGCCTTGTTTGGAGATTTCCAGCTCTGCCAGAGCAAAATTTGACATGATTTTATGTTCCCAAACTCTCTCTCTAGTACAAGTATAAACTATCTCCATTTTACTGAGATGATAAAGAGCTTTGTACAGCTCTGCCAGTCCACACAGAAACGCTGCTGTCCATATTACTCTAATCTTCAGGAAATATAGAAAGAATAAACAAAAAGTTTAAGCTCAAATTAGCAAAACTATCAAAGACTCTCAAACTCACATGGCCTAATGTTTGCTTTAATGACAATGAGCTCAACTTCTGGGGTTCATCAAATCTTCCCTTTTGAGTTAGCAACAGGCCAACCCACGAGTCTAGGAATATCTCCTCTGCTTCTAGACTCTACATTATTGGAAGTGATCACAGCCAAATATTGCAGGTAACTCAGGCAATTTATCCAGTCTTATTAAGAGGTAAACAAGCAGCTTTTCCTCTACTAAATGACCCTCACATGGTCTAAATTCAGAGGCTTGGTCTCAGGTATCTCCAGGAGAGATACCTGAGAAAGAAAGCCCTCGAACCCTGATGGAAAAGACCCTATCGGATACTGTTAACGACTCATCCAGAAGTAAAATTCCAGGGAGTTGATACTGAGAGTGATGTCTTCCAATCAAAGAGGCATAAACCATCTTAAATCATTACTGGAGACCTCAAGCTGAGAAATCTTGAGACCTGGAGACCTCAGACTGAGAACGTGAGACCTCAATGAGAACTCATTAGAAGTAAGATGGTCTTTGGAAGGAGATGGCCACTACACATGATTTTTAGCCCAAGTAGATGACTGCATGAAATGTAGAGTTTCCACTCAAGACTCATAGAACAATACCATATATTGTCATGTTTTAATCTGCGTCCTTTTGTTATTTTCTTGCCTATCTGGCTTAAAGCTACATTTAATTATGTTGCTTATAAGGCATAGTTACATTTTAATCACTCCTCAGTATGAGTCCAATACCTAGTTATAATTTATGCATGCAGTGGTTAAATCATATAACCAAATTGTCCGTTAGGTTTGCACATATTTTCCTTGGTGAGCCACTCAGTTTCTCGTTTCCAGTTCCTCATAATGAATCATTAATTGGGACTCAACTCGTATATGACAAGATATTAGAAAATAAGGTTCCAAAACAATACTGGAGAACTTTTTGTGGAAGTCAGCTTTTGTAACTGAACTTACAGAGGAATAGAACATGAAAAACAACTAGAGAACAGAGTATCTATTTGGAGGTGGCTTTCACCCATCTTATAAGACACATGACTTTTCTTTCACCTGAGATCTATTAATATCAGTACTATAAAATTTATTGCCGGGTACTAAGCTATTCTTGACGAGTGATACAAAAAAATACAATACTATTTGACAGTCTCATAAGGATATTTTGGCTTTAAATAGATCATTGACTAGATCTGAAAAGACTGGTATTGGATGATGGAGACAAAGGTCTGCTGGCTACTGTCTGCACACTGGACAGAAATTTATTTCAGGGGTGAACTAACGTCTGCCTTCACTGTAGTCCCTGACATCCCCCAGGGTCCATTTTGACCCATTAGTTTCTTCTCTTAGAAAAAGAGGTCTTCAGATAACTTTACTCCAAAAAGAGAAAAACCAGGCCTTGAGGCAAGAACCCAAACTGTAACCACACAGGGAATTCTGGGTTGCTTTCTTCTCTCCTTAAGCCTCTTCAATTCATGCTTTTCGAAAGGGTTGGGAAGCCTGGAGCTGACTCCATGCTATTGTATAGCAAACAGCAGGCAAGTTAGACAATGCCCCATCTTGACTTGGAGGTTCATGAAATTTTTCAGAATATAGTAATTTTATAAGGGAAAAATGTGTTGTTTTTGGGGGAAGAATGTTTAATTTGCATCCCTGCCATCTCTCTGGGATCTCTGATATCCCAGATAAGGACCAGAAAGCAATCAAAGACATAATAAAATTAGGTAATTTGGCTAAAGTCCCATATCTGGTCTTGTGGGCTCATCACAGTGTGGATGGTATAGATTTTCTTGGTAAAAGCTGTATGTTCCTGGCTCCTCACTCAGTAGCTGACAACAAACTCTGACCACAATCCTCTTAGTATATTTCTGTGTTGATACCTTCAAGTGTGGATCTCCAGAATCCACCAGGATAAGCAGCTTAAGTACAGCTGCTTATCCATGGAACCATGAAATGACACAACTTACATTATCTACCCACATGGCTTCCTGTCTTCGCTGGGGACATTATTATCATTTTACCTTCATTGATATAAGTGTAGATGTTCTGAGACTCTTGCCCAGGAAGATAAAAGTTGCAAATATTTTTGTTCATCCTGGGAACTTCCCAAAGACCATCAACTCATCAACAGAAAGCATCAGACCACAGCTTATGCCTCCACACTGTAGAATCCCTCATCTCAAAATCCTAACGTTCAATCTTAAAATGCTGTGTCATGACCCTCACCCAATCCTAATCAAGCTCCCACACTGAAAGACCCATCTAAAATGAAACTTCAAGATCCCAGATATCCTGTTTTGTCCCCCACGCCCCTAATATGCTGCTGAGACACTGCTAAGATGGGCTTCCCCTTAGTGTAGTAAGAATATATTTGGCTTTATCAACAGACACTTCTTGGGAAATATGTTTATTTTTGGGAGCCAGCATATAGTATGTGTAACATAAGCCATGTTTTTTAAACGTATGTTTTCTCAAAGAGTCATAAGTAACATTTATTGAATACATTTAATGTGTTATTGTGCTAAATGAGACTTTTTCCAACAATCTCTCTTAATTTTGGTAATGGCTAGTACATTCCACCTCCTCTCACCACAGAGACAACTAGGAAAACATGGTAAATGGGAATTTGAACCCAGGCAATCTATGCCAACATCAATTTCCTTTAATGAGCATGTACTTGTACATACCAATATATTCCATTTTCATTATTACAGGGACCCATACTACCATCCTCACAGCTACTTCCTCACAGCCTAGAACAGTTCTGTCTCACACTACATGCTCCACATTTTTAGAGTAAATAGATGAACTAAAAACATATTCCATGCTGGTACACAAAATGGTATCCTAGAACATGGTCTTTGAATCCAGAAGTTCAGAGTTAGGATAATATATATGTACTACTTACCAACTATTTGCCTTGGTTTTCTCATTTTTGAAATAGGGGAAATAATATCTGCTTGTAGGTTTTGTGTAAAGATTATATAAAATGATATAAAGCAACAACCACAGAAGCTAGAACACACTTGGTGCTACGAAACAGCATCTAGTATTATTTTTATATTGTTTTCACTCCAGTATTTTTTTCTTCCCTGCATATGATTTCACAAAGTGGCCTATTCTCTTTACCATTTTAACTTGTCCCTGATTATTTAATAACATATTGTTCTGTATTTTTTTAAATTTTGAGGTTTCTGAGTGTTTGGAGACTACACACAGAAGTAGACTGTAACCATTTAATGCCTAACACATCTCAGCAAGGAATAGAGACTAAAGGGGATGAGAAAAAGCAGGTAGAGTGTGTGAGAAACCAAGCTTGTGTTTTTACTGTCGTGAGGATTCCACTCAGAGGCTGTAGAACTAAGCAGCTCTGCCACTAGGTCAATATATGTCATGAGGTACCTTTCATGATCTCTAAATGTTGGAGTTGCTCCTCCATTAAATGGGCCTAAGTCTATGGAAGTGTACCTATATAGATGTATATGAGAATGATGACACAGATACAGTATGAAGTGTGTGGCTGGGACACAGCAAGACCACAATAAAGGGTAACGACGGGACAGGATTATCACATTTACTTCTGTGCCTGTCATTCAGTACAGAACATAAATCAGCCCTGAATGGGAAGGGGTTGTGTCAATTGAAGCACATACAGTATTGCATAATCTTCATTTATGATGTTAAAAAAATAGATCCATTATAACTTCAAAAGTTAAATCTCATGGTTTCAGCTATGAACTTTCTCCAGATACGAGTCTCTCTTTCATGGAGGTCATAACTACAAGAAACTTCCCACAGCAAGTAGGGAACAAATCCCTTTGCCCATTTATTCAGTCATTCACAATTTTGGTGACTTATTCAATAGACGAACATTGCTGTGACATCTTCTCTATGCCAGGTATTGTACCAGAAACAAGAACACCACCCTCTCCTCGCTGCTTTCGTGGAACTCAGCATGGTGTTGACAGCCAGTGTGAGGCTGGCAATGCCTCTTTGCCCTCTGGATCATATTTACCTGCGTCTCTGATACTCACCTCCTCAAAGAGGAGGTATCACCCACCACATACCAAACTCCATGGATGTTCAAGTCCCTTATATAAGATGTAGTGTATTATTTGCATATGATCCACATGCATCCTCCTATATACTTTAATCTCTAGATTACTTATCATATCTAATGCAGTGTCAATGCTATGATAAATAGTTGTCATACTGCATTGTTTAGGGAATAATGATAAGAAAAAAAGTTTGTGCCTGTTCAGTACAGATGCAACCATATTTTTAAAGAATATTTTTGATCCATGATTGGATGAATCCACAAATGTGAAACCCATTGATACGGAGGGTCAACAGTATATACATATACACACACACACACAAATACACATACATACACATATGTGGCTGACTGTATATGTAATCTATATTATTACCCACTCCTTCAATCATTTGATAAACCATTCAAAATGCTAAAAATTGCATTTACTTAGCACATACCATGATCAGAAAATACAGGAAGCTCTGACATCAGGATATGAAAAAGACAATCTCAAAGAGCTCATAGTTTATCAAGGATGAAGAAAACAGTGACAGTAATTAAAATGAAAATAACTGGATGAAATTACAAACCAGTTCCAAACCTGACGACGCAATTTCTTTCTGAAGTCTTATGTGAAAGATAACTTTTCTCATTTTTTTCCCTCAATTTACACCTTTAACCTTGTTAGTGATGAATCTGACATTTCTCCACACCAGGGTAGAGGATCAGTGCAGAGCATGTTGAAGAGCGTTCCCTGTGGTCTTTGCCATGGCTAGTTATGGCTGGCCTCTACACTAGCTATGGCTCCCTCTGCAGGATCTTTAGGAGATGACCCAGAGACAGAAGATACCCAGCACTGCCATTTTTAATTGCAGTTAAATATAACAGGCAGTTGGTACTATTTTCCCTGGGGCCCACCCAGGACACTAGTAACTGCTTCTTCAAGTTGAGTTGCTAATACTGCATTTTTATGCCTGAGGCTCATATTTTAAAAATCTGTACTCTAACTACAATGAGAGAAACAGATGGCCCCAACGTTTTCCTTCAAGTGGTACTATTTTGATATATCAGGATGAAACTTTTTCACTTGTGGTACAGGCTAATAACCTTCTTATATATCAGATAGGTAGTTTCTTTGTCAAATTTGTTCATTTTACAGATATTAAGAGGAGAAAGGCTAATTTAATTTTACACACCCAATTCTACAACAGCCTGAAAATAGCATCAGTAAGGTAGAGGACAGGAAGGTAGGGTGGGTGTGGGGGCTCACACATAACTCAGTGGAAAGAAACAAGAAGAAAAAGAAACAATAATTTATATGCCTAACATTCTTTATGTTCCTCTTCTAGTTCCTCCAAGGAAATCCTACCATATGCCCACATTCCACATGGACCAAGGCAGGCGTTCCACTGGGGAGCTGGCAATTATTTTGAGATTATACCGAAGTAGTGCATGAACATAGCCTTGTGGATATCATGGCCTGAAGTCTTAGAGTCTTCACCAAAAAAGATAATGATGTATATGGGTGTGGGCAGCTATTCATGATGGTGCTGCTACAAAGAATTAAGTACCATTTCCAGCTGTCCTTCTGAAAGCAGAGAATAGCCCACAACTTTGTGGAGGCACCTTTTCTGCCTATAACATGTAAGGAGCCTGAAGGTCAGGTGGTAATGAAACTAGAAAATCTGCAATAGCCATATTCTTCCCAAGCCACAGTAAGATGAGAGAAGCCATTACCAATGCCTCCAGGCATACACTAGTTTCCTGAAAGGAGGGCACATGCCACAGGCCCTTAAAGACAGTCCATTTAGGAGGTTATCACCTCCAGAAGGAAGCCTGAAGCCAAGGGAAAAAAATTTTTTTTTTCTCTAAACCTGAAGTCATAACTTAGGTACATTGATTAGAAATGGTGCCTGATAATATTTCATATCCCAATAAGTTCCCTCAACCAAATTGCCTGGAAGCCTGGTGCTTCAAAGGAATTGTGTATGCAGATTGGAAACCTAAAGCCTAACCAACAAAACAACAGCAATTCTCTGAGGCTCTGATAAAAGCCTAAGTCATAATAGTCCACAAAAAAGGGGCTTTCTACCACTGCTACAGCTTCTAAGACCCCTAGAAAACGGAGCGCTTCCATAAGCAAAGCGGGAGCAGCTGGATAAACCAACAAATGAACTCCTTCCTTGAAGGAGGGCTTGTTGCTGCCCACCAGGCACCAGTGTTTATTTGGGGTACGTGGGATTGTTTGATAGTGTGAGCTGGTGGTATAAATGTTAACTCACATCTATGGGAATAAAGACTTGTGTTAGAGTACCTGGCACCCTAGTGGTGGTGGCAGCACTTACACTTTATGTAAGTGTACTTTACTTTGACACTTTATATAAAGTGTCTGGCCTGGACATGTTTGCAACAAACTCCCTTTCCCTGACTCCCACGGAATATTTCATTCCAGACCATGAAGTCCTAGGGGAGCTGGTAATCATAGTGAGGGAAAAGGACAGGAAAAATTACTTGAGTAAACAGCTAAGAGACTAGTCCTCAGAGAAGCTGTCTGCCTGAAAAAATCACAGCTACAGGCAAAAACAGAGCAGCCAGGGGAAACTCAGGCTATAGCTGCACAGATAAGCCATAGATAAGCAGGCAGGCAAAGTCTGGCATGGAAGCCCTTTATTCTTTGTATGATTAACAAGCTCCCAGCAAAAAGTTTCCTTCCCTTTTCAGATATGTACATGGTGGGCTCCCTGGAAGCCTGCACAGAAAGGAGGGGGCTTACCT
This sequence comes from Homo sapiens, assembly GCF_000001405.40. Lineage (NCBI taxonomy): Eukaryota > Metazoa > Chordata > Mammalia > Primates > Hominidae > Homo > Homo sapiens. The sequence continues at coordinate 25,134,335 of NC_000015.10, read as the reverse complement.
AAAACAAACCCTCAGTTACACAAACAAAAATAAGCGGCGCTTTGTGCTTGCCTAGAGACATACCCACAGCTGCATAAGATAAGGGGAGTTGTACAGACAGCTTTGCTGATAAGAGAAGTTACTCAAAGTGCTACAGAGATGAGAGGAGTTTCTTAAAAAAGCTTTTGAATGACTGTAAAAACGGCAATCCACTTGGACTCCCCTCTCTGCTGCAGAGAGCTTTCTTCTTTCGCTTACTAAACTTTTGCTCCAACCAACCTCACCCTGTGTCCATACTCCTTAATTTTCTTGGTTGTGAGACCATGAGCTCAGATAACACCTTGGACAATGAGACCAGTGACCCTGACCTTTTCATTAGGGTACATTGCCTCCATTGGGGATATGACCAGACCTATCCTGAGTTATTCCCAGGTCAGTGAATGTCTTAGTGACTCAAGCCTTGTCCATCTCTTCACCCACCAACTTTTACATGGACAAGGAGGAGGGAAGGAGGACACATCCTACCAAGATTGCAAGGCAGGTAATAATTGCATCTAGGGCTTCAAATGATCCCTTTGCAAATTCACATAAAGAAAAAGTGACTGAAGATTTAAGCCAAACCAAGAAATGGAGAACTAAGAGATAAGGGAGCAAACGGTCATATGTGTCTTTAAATTCTGGACTACTGGACTCCATTAAGCCTGACGCCAGACCCAACATGGTTATTTATCTCCTTTTTTTTCTCCTTTAAGCTACTTTGTGTTGTATATAATTGAGAGAGGTGACTGATCAGGACAATTTATAGAGAAAAGCAAAGAAGGGCTAATAATACCAAAATTAAGGAAATATATTATTTCAGGGGTGCTTCTGGAATAATTCTTCTTGAGAACACAATACTGCCAATGGAAAAAAGAGATAAAGAACAGTGTGAACATGGTACAATGAAACGAGGTGACAACAAAATTCTCTTTGACATGTTATTGTTGACCATACGGTACTTATGGATGGAAACAGAATATAGTCATGAAATGAATGCAATAATTTGACTGTAATTTGTATATATTTTAAAATTTAATTGTGCAAATGCAATATGTGATTATGGTTTAAAACTTCAGATTATGCCAACAAAGTGAAGGTAGGGTATGAATAGCCTCAAGGTATAATGGTTAATCACACAGTTCTGAAGCAAGGTATACCTGGGTGCAAATATTGCCTTAATCAGATATTATAATGACAACTATTATTGCTGCTGTTCTCAACATCTAATCACTGTAGCCTTATGTTCCAAACCTTTCCAAACTGGTTTTTCTATATAAACTTTTCTTAATACTCAAAAGAGCAATTTGAGGGAGGTATTATCAGTATCATCATATGAGCACATATATAAAATGTTACATATATGTTATATATCAAATTAATACCATTACAACACATTTAGCATGGGGTAATTAGCAGCTTTTTTTTTTTTTTTTTTTTTGAGGCAGAGTCTCACTGCGACACCCAGGCTGGAGTGCAATGGTGTAATCTTGACTCACGGCAACCTCTGCTTCCTGGGTTCAAGCGACTCTCCCATCTCAGCCTCCCGAGTAGCTGGGACTACAGGCGTGCACCACCATGCCTGGCTAATTTTTATATTTTTAGTAGAGACAGGGTTTCACCATATTGGCCAGGCTGGTCTCGAACTCGAACTCCTGACCTCAAGTGATCCACCCCCCTCGGCCTCCCAAAGAGCTGGGATTACAGGCGTGAGCCAACAAGCCCAGCCAAAACATTTTTTAATTACTAGGTTTACAAATATTTCAGCACAAAATCTTCCTACCACTTTTCAGTATGCACTCAATAAATAAAAACATTTATTATCATAATGGTTACTTATTACATGAATCAGAATTTTGTAGATCTGTTATTTTCTTCTTTCAAACAGGATGCCTCTATTAAGTTGATCAAATAAAAAATGTTGATTTCATCATATAAGATATGTAAGTAACCTAAACTTACCAAAACACCCAGCAATATCTCTTCTAAATGATTGGTAAATATCATAGCATCAATCTTCACAAAGCAAACATTGCACAAAATGTTAAGATTTAAAGAAAACTACAAAGAGACTTTAAAATACTTTACCTATCATTTGATCAATTAAAGCAATGAAAAACAAGTGTACCGTTAAAGTAATTTATAATATGACTGTGTTTAGGTCTACCATTTTGCCATCTGTTTTCTATACAGTTTACTTTGTTCTTTTCTTCATTCTTTCCTGTATTCTTTTAATCAAGTATTTTTACTATTACATTTTAATTCTGCTGTTGCTTTTTTAGCTATATTTCTCTGTACTTTTTAGTGATTATTCTATGGTTATAATATACATCTTTAAATTATCACAGTCCTTTTAGAGTTAATACAGTTCCACCTAATGTTGCAGTGAGCTGAGATCATGCCCCCGCACTCCAGTCTGGGTGACAGATTGAGACTCCCTCATATATATATATATATATATATATATATATATATATATATATATATATATATATAAAATTTTACTTCATGAGAAGTGTACAATACTAACTCTAAGCAGATTGTCATAAATTAAGGGTACATTTTATAACCCATACAAAATACCCAGAGGTGGAGCCGAAATGTAAACAGAGAAGTTAATGTAGGATACTAAAAATATTCAATTAACCCAAAAGAACGAAGCAAAGCAGGCAGAGAGGAACAAACTAGAGGGGACAAATGGAAAAACAATAGCTAAATAGTAGGCATAAGTCTAGTCACGTTAGTATGTTTAATGCAAAGGGACTTAAGACCCCAAAGACTTAAAAGTCACTGATGGTTAAATTGGACAAAAAAGATCCATCTCTATGCTCTCTATAATGGAAGCACTATGAAGACAGATTTAAAGAACAGAAAAAGATACACCAGACATACTGCAAACCCAAGAAAACTGGTAATATTATTCAGATATCAGACGAAGCAGACATCAAGACCAGAAATATTACATAAGGTAAGACAGGCCAAATTAGGAAAAGATAAAATTTATTACAGTCATGATGTTCATAAAAGTATAAACAATAAGATATTTCCAAATACACGAAGAACTGAGAGAACTAAAGATAAAGAAAATCATAATCACAGCAGAAATTTTTTACACTATTCTCTTTGTAACTTATAAAACAATTGTAAAAATTCACTGACAATCTAGAAAATCTAGACACTATCTATCTGAACAAAATCTGCACACCTTGAGTTTAAATATATATTCCTGTGCATGTGAAACTTTTGTCAAGACAGATCATATGCTAGACCATAAGTCTCAATAAATTTGGAAAGCTGAAATATCAGAGTAACTTTTTAGAACCAAAACAAAACTAAAACAGAAGTTGTAACAAACTACACAGAAAAGCCCCAAATATTTGGAAATTAAATACTCCACTTAAAAATAACAGATCAAATTAAAACACAAAGGAAGAAAATAATTGAATTAAATGGTAATTAAAACAATATATCAAAGTTTGTGGAATCTATCAATGTAGTGCTTATAGCCTTCAATGGTTATATTAGAAAATAAGTAAGGTACATAATAGAAGACTTAATAGTCTCAAGATTAAGAAGCTACCAAAAAAAAGAGCATATTAAAACCAAGGTAAGATGAAGGAAAGAAATCAATAATATAAAAAACAGATAAAGAGAAAATTAGCAAATCAAAGATTGATTCTTTTAAATGACAAGATAGTTAAAAAAAAAAAAAAAAAAAAAGACCAACCTGAGAAAAAATAATATTACCTATATCAGAATTGGAAAGGTGAGATCTTACAGACAGTATAAGGGTAATAAGGAACTATCATGAGCAACTTTATACTACTGAATTTGACAAATCTGATAAAATGGACTATACTCTTTGAAAAACAGTACTAAAGCTGCCATTAAATGAAACAGAAACTCTCAATCCTGTATTATTAAATAAACTGAAATTGTTCATTAAAATATCACGAAGGAAACTCCAGGCCCAGATCATTTCACTAATGAATTCTATCAAACATTCCACAAAGAAATTTGACCTTTGAACAGCACAAGTTTGAACTGCATATGATCTATTTATATGCAGACTTTTTTCAATAAATACATTGGATACATTTTTGGAAATTTGTGACAATTTGAAAAAACTCAACTGCGTAGTCCAGAAATACCAAAAAAATTAAGAAAAAGGTATGTCATGAATGCATAAAATAGATGTAGATACTAGCCTATTTTTATCATTTATTACCATAAAATATACACAAATTATAAAAAGTTAAAATTTATCAAAACCTACTCACACATACTCACAGATCCTACATGGTGCCATTTGCAGTTGAGAGAAATGTAAATATGTGGTATTAAATCCTAACTGCATAAAATTAGCTGTAGTACACCCAGCATTATTGTAATAATTTTGTAGCCACCTCCTTTTGCTACAGTGGGGAGCTCAATTGCATCTGCTTAAAGTGCCAGGTGACCCGAAATCATGCCAGGAAACAGTTTCTCCCTCCAGTAAATTGCATGTGGCAGCAAAACAAAAGCTTTCACAGTTCTCATATTACTTTTCATAGTGTCTTGTGTAATACCATAAACCTTAACACCATGGGACCCATATGAAGTGCCACTGGTGATACTGGAAGTACTCCTAAGAAGCAGAGGAAAGTCATGACATTACAAGAAAACGTTTAATTGCTTAAAAGGTACCACAGATTGAGGTCTCCAGCAGGGGCTACTTGCCATTTCAAGATAAGTAAATCCAGTGTGAGGACAATTGTTAAAAAAAAAAAAAAAAAAAAGGAAATTCATGAAGCCATTGTTGCAGCTGTACCAACACTGTGAAAACCTTGCACTTTTGCAAAGTATCTATCTATTGAAAATGCATCTTTTCTGCGGGTACAGGATTGCTGTAAGGCATACCTCTAGGGTGCAAGATGATCCTAAGCAAAAGGAAGGTGAAGGTTCTAAATCTGGAGAATTTAATGCCAGCAAAGGATGGTTTGATAATTTTAGAAAGAAGTCTGGCTTAAAAACAGTCAAGCAGGAGAAGCAGTTCCCAGATGCCATTAAGAAAATCATTGAGGAGAAAGGATATCTGCCTGAACAGGTTTTTAAACTGACGAAAGTGCCCTACTCTGAAAAAAAAAAAATGCCAGAAAGGACATTTATTAGTAAGGAAGAGAAGTGAGCACCAGGATTTAAGGCAGGAAGGGATGGGCTAATTCTACTGTTTTGTGCAAATGTAATTGGGTTTATGATCAGGACTGACCTTATCTATAAAGCAGCTAACTCCTGAGCCTCGAAGGGAAAAGTTAAAACACCAGCTGCCGGTCTTTTGATTGTAAAACAAAAAGGCCTGGACAATAAGAAGTCTTTTTTTCTGTATTGGTTTCATTGATGTTTTGACCCTGATGTCAAGAAGTACCTTGCAGTAAGTGAGTGCCTTTTAAAGTTTTTTTTTTTGATTGGACAATGTCCCTGACCCCATGAGTTCAATACTGAAGGTGTCAAAGTGGTCTATTTGCCCCCAGACATAACATCTCTAAATCATCCTCTAGATCAGGGAGTCATAAGGACCATTAAGGCTCATTACACACAGTACTTTATGGAAAGGATTATCTAACACTATGCAAGAGAACCCTGATAGAACATCATGAAAGTCTGGAAGGATCACAGCACTGAAGATGCCATCGTTACACAAAAAGCTGTGAAAGCATCAAGCCCAACACAACACACTCCCCTGCTGGAGGAAACTGTGTCCAGATGTTGTGCATGACTTGACAGGATTTACAATACAGCCAACCAAGGAAATCACGAAAGAGATCGTGAACACGGAAAAAAGGGTGGTGAGTGAAGGCTTTCAAGATATACACCTTGGAGAAATTCAAGAGCTAATAGATAACACACTAGAGGAATTAACAGAAGATGACGTGATGGAGACAAGTGCTTCTGAACCAGTACCAGACGATAAGGAAGACGACACAGAAGGAGTGCCAGAAAAACACGCTGGCAGAAGGTTTCTAATTATTTAAGTCTGCATTTGACTTCTTTACAATATGGCTCCTTCTATGATGTGGGTACTACAAATAAGTAAACAGTGGAAGAAGGACTGTACCATATAGAAACATTTTTAGAGAAATGAAAAATCAAAAAAGCTAGAAACTATATTTCCATACAGTTACACCAAGTGTACTGCTTCTGCCACCCCGATACAGTAAGAACAACCCCTCCTCTTCTTCCTCCTCCTCAGCCTATTCAACATAAAAATGAGAATGAAGACCTTTATGATCATCTACTTTCACGTAACGAATAGTAAATATATTTTCTCTTCCTTATGTCTCGTAATAACATTTTATCTCTCATTCACTTTATTGTTAATAAAATAGTATGTAATACATATAACATAAAATATGTGTTAATTGACTAGTTATGTTATCTGTAAGGCTTTCAGTCAACAGTAGGCTATTCGTAGTTAAGTTTCTGGAGAGCAAACAATTGTCCACAGATTGTCAACTATGGGGGAGTCTGAACCCCTAATCTCCATGTCTGTTGTTCAAGGGTCAAGTGTACTAGCAAATAGAGCACTATACTAAATACATTTTATGAAGCCTAATGCCAACATCTGACAAAAATAATTTTTAAAAAGGAAACCACAGGATAATGGCCATCACGGACATAGGTGAATAACTCTTAAATAACTAGCAGAAAAATTGAATACAGTAATATATATACAAGAAGGATAACAGTGACCAATTGGATTACATCAAGAATGCAATGTTGGGCTAACATTCAAAAGCTGACCAATGCAGTCTCCCATAATAAGAGAATAAGGGGGAAAACATGATTATATTAATAAATGTAGAAAAACATTCAGCAAATTTATCACATTATTATTATAAAAATTAACAGCAAACTGGCACTAGAATAAAACTTGCTCAATTTGGTAATGGGCATCTACAAAAAAATAACAGCTAGTATCTTTCTTAATGGTAAGAAATTACATATTTTCTCCTAAGACTGAAAAGAAGACAACCCAACTGAAAAGCAGTTGCAATGTGAAAATATTACTGTTTTCATATAATAGTAACAAATCTGGAAAACGAAATTTAAACATATTCATTTACAATAGCATCAAAACAACAAAACAAATAAATTTAACAATTTAATCTAGTTTATTAAATGTTAAATTTTAATAATGTTTCTATATTGAAAACTACAAGGTATGCTTCTATACTAAACACCATAAAAGACATCTATGAGAAATTATAGACGACCTAATAAATGGAGAACTACAGACTCAACATTGTTAAGATGTCAATCCCCCCTAAATTTATCTATAGTTTTGATGTAATCAAAATCAATTTCTCGGTTGGGCTTTTTAGGAAATTGACAAGATAATTTTAAAATTTAAGTGAACATACAAAGGACCCAGTGTAGCCATCTCCTTCCTCTATAAAGCCTTGAAATAACAAAATTTTGGACTCACACTACTTAATCTCAAGATTTACTATTAAACTTCAGTGAAAAAGAATGGCATAAAGAAGGAAAAACAGAGAGTTCAAAAAAGATCCATACGTAAATGGCCAACTTATTTTCAACAATGGCATTAGATAATTCAGTAGAAAAAGAAAAATCTTTTGATCAAATGGTTCTGCAACAACTGGAGATTGATGAAAACAAGTAACTTCAACTACATTTGAAAATGATTTGAGATAGATGTTATACTTATGTCCCAAAGCTTCTAGAAGAAAACTTAGAAAACTATTATTTGCAAACCTGGAGTAAGCAAAGATTTAATAGTAAGTAATAAGCACTAAAAATAAGAGACTCAAACTGATATACTGGACTTAAAAATTTTCAATGTCTGTTTATCGAAAGACACAAGAAGCCTGGGCAACACTGCAAGACTCTGTGTCTAAAAAATTTTTTTTATAAATTAGCCTGGTGTGGTGACATATGCCTGTAGTCCTAGCTGCTCGGGAGGCTAAGGTGGAAGTATTGCATAAGCCCAGGAATTTGAGGCTGCAGTGAGCTATGATTGTGCCATTGCACTCCAGCCTGGGTGCAAAGTGAGACTTTGTCTCAAAAAAACTCCAAAAAACAAAAATGAAAAGATGGGGAAAGAGAGTTGGGACTGACTGCTTAATGGGTATGGGTTGTCTTTGGGGTGCTGAAAATGTTTTGGAACTAGTTAAGGATGGCAGTTGCAAAACATTTTGAATGCACTAAATGGCTACGTTATGTTAATTTCACGTAAATTAAAGGAAAAGAGATGGGGGAGAAAAGGAGAGGAAGAATAAATAGCAATAAGGGATGAGCCACTGGCAAATTCGGGCCATTTTAAAATTTAGAGCATAACAGCATTAAAAGGAGAAGAAAGAAAAGAAAAAGAAAGGAAATGGAAAGGAAGGCAGGCAGGCTAAGATACTTAATGAAAGAAACCTTTGCAACACATATATTGAACAAGAAATGTATGTCCCAGTAATACAAAGAACACTTCCAAACGAAGAGCAAATAAACAATCCAATGTAAAACTATTTGTAGTGTGATACTTTACACATATTGCAAACAATTCTCATAGAGCAGAGGGGTTGAATAAATTGTGGTGCATCCATGGAGTTAAGCACTAAGCATGACAGAATGAGGAATATCTCTTTGAATACACATGAAGTGATTTCCAGGACATATTAAGCGGAAAAAGAAAACTGCAACAAAAAAAAATCTATAGTATGCCACTAATCATGTAAGAAGGAAGGGGATATAAAATATACATGTGATATATGATAAAATATACATGTATCTGCCCACTTGTGAACAAGAATAACAAGAGAAAAAAATAAACCAGAAACTATTAGACTAGTTAACTCTAAGGGTTGGGTGAGATTAGGGTGGAAAGAAGGGAGGAATAGAATCAGTGTAGCAGGGATGATGGGAGAGTGGTATTTCTCACAGTCCTAATTTTTAGAAACATAGTAATATTTCACATATACAAAATATAGTTAAAATAATCCAAAAGGTGAGGGAACTCAAAATGGAATATAAACAATAAAAAAACCTGCTTGATTATATGATTAATGTAACCATATGGCAGGGGATAGGAAAAAAAAGATAACTAACCTAAATACGTTTAGAAATAATAGTATGTTGACTGAACGCTGTTAAGGATAAAGACAAAAGAACTATATTTAAATACTGTGCTGTAGTTAGTGATTTCATTTTTAAAGGGGTATAATTTAGCAATTCTGAAATTATTTAAGTGTATACTGCACTGAAGAAATAACAAAACATATTGTAGATAATGAAAGGTAGGTTTCTCACTGTTGAAGAAGCAAATCACAAATAAGCCAAGAGGGAAGAATAAAATGAACCATATGATGATGGATTATGATCCACAACAGTATGAACTTGTGATTTTTAATAAAGATAGATATATACTATCTATAGTATTCTACATACTATTAGTATATATATTTAAGATAGATAAATGAATAGAGACAATATAGGGGTGTGTGTGTATGTGTATGTGTGTAAACGGACACACAGCTCCCAGCTCTAGGCCTAGAAGCAATAAAACCCCATTAGCAATTAATACACTTAATACCAAGATCTTGGTTTCTAAATACTATTTTCCAATATGAAGAACTAGAACCCCTTGAGGAAATGGTTGATTACAGGCGTGGGGAAGGAAAATACAAGATAAACCTAGAATATCTTGTGATACCCGAAAATAAGAAGTGGTCAAAAAATTATGAGGTTGTATTAAAAGAACACAGGGGCCAACTTTAAGGAGCTCCCAATGATCAAATCCAGAAAAAAAATTGAAAATCAAACACAAACAATGATTGCAATATATAACAATCCATAAAATAAGATATCCACAAATCCATACTGATGTAAAATAACAACTGAGTACAAATAAATGGGGAAGAAGGACAGATCTTCCTTACAGTCAAATTCTAGTAAGTAGAGAAAGTATCATGGAAATAGAAACCATTACTAGGTAAACACCATAATCATAATTGCTGCAGGCAAGAATCTTCAATTAATACTGAAATTAGATGAAATAAAATATTTGCATAGTCTCAAATTATTTTCTCATAAAATATTAATTACAAAGAAAGGAAAACAGTAACTTTGCAGTGGATAAACCTGGCAGACACTACCTTAATAAAGGCGTCATATTTAGTATCAGCAGAAATAAGACATTAACTTCATGTACTCCAGATGATCCACTGAAAAGGGCACACTGTTACTACTGTGTTATCTTTTGTCAAAAGTGCATAACCTTAATCTAATAATAAAAATATCGGACAAATCCAAATTGAGGACTAGTGTACCAAATTATGGTCTAGTATTTCTCAAATGTGTCAATTAAATGAAATACAAAGAAAGACTGAGGGAGCTCTCCCAGATTTGTAGTCAGGAGAGAGGGCAAAGGAAACATGCCAGATAAAATAAGAGATCTTGAATTGGATCCTGGACTAGATAAAAAGGACATTAGTAGCATAACTTGAAAAACCTGAATATAGTCTGCAGATTGGTTGACAGTATTATATTAATTTCCTGATTTCAATTATCATTGTATGTAATAATGTTATAATAATGATTATATAAAATGCTAACATCCAGAAAGCTGGGTACAGAATACACAGGAACTCTACTATTTTTGCAAATTTCCCGTAAGTCCAAAATTACTTCAAAATTGTAATTTAAAAGTTGGGAAAAATATACAAATTTTACTAAAGAAGATTTACAATTGGATAACTTCATGAAAAACTGGTTGCCTTCTTAAGTGGTCAAATTTCAAATTGAAGTCACAACAAAATATCACCTCACACCCACTTAATAGATAAGACTGACAATTTCCAATGTTGGCAAAAATGGACAGCAACTAAAAATCTCATATCACTGGTTGGGAGTGCGAAAAGTGTCCATCTCTTTAGAAGACTCTCTAGCAGTTTCCTATAAGTTAAGCAAAATCTGTCTTATGATCAAACAATTCAATTTTTAGGTATTTACATAAGAGATCTGCTAACATTCAAAACAGCTAAAAACTAGAAACTACTCAGGTGTCCGTCAACAAGAGAATAGATAAACTGCAATATAACCATTTAGTGAAATATTACAACTATAGAAACTTTTTTAAACTGCTGATATAGGGAATAGCACAGATAAATCTCAACATGATTATGATGAGTGCAAGAAGCCAGACACACACTGTGTGATTCCATTTATATTAATTTCCAAACAGGCAAAACTTATCTATGATCATAAAAATCACAACATTGTTTTTTTGAGAAGGTGCTTGGTTGGAAAGAGGCAATAGGGTAGGTTCTCAAGTAATAAAAATATTCTATCTCCTGAATGGGATAGTAATTACTTTTAAGAAACTTATTGAATTATACAATTACTATATATCAATGCATTTAACTATGTAAATTTTACTTATGTAAAAATATAAGTTATTAAAAATAGGGAAGCTTCACATCTATGGATATGTAATAATCAGATAGAAATATTAAAATATTTATATATTACATGATATAAAAGAAAGTTATAGAACAATATAAAAGCATACGAATGTGTATACATACACATTCAAAAATAAAATTGTAAAAATGTTTATGGGAGAATAAGAAGCGTTAAGATTTCTCTAGCTTATTTGAAAATACTTAAAATAAACACAAAGTAAATATGGCAAAATACTGATAATGATGGAACCAGTTCCAGTTCCTTGTATGTGCTAGTTCACTGTTTTCTTCTCTTCATACACTGTATGTTTACAATGTGTTCATAATGACAAGTTTTATAAAATGCACAGCAGGGTAAATCTTTCATTGCCAAGAACAAGTGAATATGAATGTGTTACACAGGTTTAAGAATTTATTAAGAAAAGAAACAAAAGAATACAGAAACAATATATATAAGTAAATTAGAACCTTAAAAAATACCTGATAAATTATACCAAGGTCCTGATTAAGGGAGATGGAAGGGGAAGGCTAGTGATGCTAAACATCCACTGTTTAAACTTATTCATTAACAAAGGCACAGCAGAAATAACTATAACTGGAATGAAAATGGAAATTTAATAGAATGATGAAAGAACACTTTGTATAACAAGGCTAATGTGTTTGAAAATCTGCATGAGCTGTGATTTGCTAAGAGAAAACAGGTTAAATTTGACACAAAACAAAGAACAAGCAATAACCATACAAAAAAAGGAAAAAAAGAAAAAAACTTCTAGATGTCCTAACTCCAAACCAGCAAAAACAAAGGAGAGTCCAGATGATGTCACTGATGTGTTCACTTAAACACTGATAGTGAGACTAGGGCTTTTTTACCCACTCTAGAACACAGTATAAGAAGAAAATCCTCAAAATTATTTTAACACAACCAGAATATCTGATATCAAAACATGACAAAAATAGCACAAAAAAGAAAAATCACAGATCAATTTCACTTAGTTGTATACTTGTAAAAATTCCAAATCAAATTAAAATACCCACAATTAAGTAGTAAATTAAAAGAATAAAACATTTTTAAAACCAGTAGGGTCTGTTCATTCAAGGAATTAAAGGAAGTTGCAATAATAGTAAATTAATTCACAGTGATAAAAGTCTTTAAAGAGAACAGGAAAATTGATTCTGCAAAACAATTTGATTATATCTACCACCTGGTTTTGATTAAAATTCCTTAAAAAAGATAAAAGGTGGCAGACTTTCCTAACATGGTAGACAAAGTATTTCGCACTTAAAATCAGCATTTTACACATTGATGATTAAGACCACCCATATCCAAATAACTTACCTATTGGGAATAAGACCTGATACCACCCCCAGCAGAGTCCTGCCCAGCAAGATAAAACTGTAAACCAATAAATAAATTCAGTTTGTTTATCTAGGCAAATAGTTCTTCTGTCATTGATAACATCTTTATATAGGCAAACAGCTCACCTAGAAAATGATTTCACCATCAATACTCACATTAAGAACCTCATCTCACTTTCCCACAAGGTATTGCATGACAAATTTTGCCCATTTCTAATTAGTTCCCTGCCCAGACCCCAAAGCCTCATTTCTTGATTTTGAAACATTATTAAACCCTATCAAGGTGGTGTTTTCCCTTGCTGCAGGTAAGTTTAACAAACTCAGCTTTGCTTGATCATAGCTCTTTCTGGTGGTCTTTGGGAGGAAATGACCAGCGACAATGTGCCAGTCAAACCAAAGAAGCATACCATTAAACTCTGATTAAATCAAGGGTAGGTAATATTTCCATAACTGTTCAAGTGTTCTGATAGTAACAGTCTGTGGACTTTGTCAACATAACTAAAATCAGGATCAATATGAAGGGGGAAAATAAAAACTTTAAATATTTGTGAAGGATTTAGTCTATACTTTGAAAAAATCTGAAAAGCAACAAGAAACAGTAAGGTGACAACTTACCCCCAAAACAAAACAAAACAAAAACTTTAGATACAAAAAATGAACAAGAAAATAAATTAAAAGAAAAACTCCCATCACCACAGTGAAAATATTAACAGTAATTAAAATTATTGAATAAGAAAAGACATACCTTGTCCTTGGATACGAAGACTTACTTAATATTTTTAAAAACCAATTCTCCCCTCAATTGATTTATTAAAGTTGATGAAATTGCAGTCTAAACTGTAATTTCTTCCAACGAGCAGACACGAGACAGGAGGCAGAAGAAGAGACACACAAATCCACAGAACAAAAATGGAGCCAGTCACAGATGAGAGTACAGCATATGCGCAAGATGGCGGTACAGATAAATGGGCAATTATTGGCAAATAATCGCAAGTAATGGCAAGTAACTTGGCAACTTTAAGATTTCAAAACAAAAAAATTTCTCATGATTTAAGAATTTGAATTAAAAAAACACAAAAGAATTAGAATTTAACATAGGTGAAGGGTTTTATGGACTCAATATATATATCTTTCCAAAAATGACATGAAACTCAGAAGCCATAAAAGCGAACATGGTTATACTTGGACATGTAACAATCATACACATTCTTATAACAAAAACAAAGTTGAAAAGTGTGTAAAAAATAGCTATAATGGTTGACAATCCAAATCTTATTTCCCGAAATAGTAAATGAGCTCTTCGAAATCAGGAAGAGACTAAATCCTCCTCCCACCCACAAAATTGGACATAAAGAAGAAATTAAAAAATACAGATGGCTAATAAACATGAAAAAATGACCAAACTCAAAAACAAAAGAGATACAATTTAAGACAATAGTTTGGGTGATCACATTGGCAAAAATGTTAAATATTTATAAAATCCATTGTCTGTGAGGCTGTAGGAAAGCTGGCAATCTCATTCATTGCCATTTGAAGATAAAGTTGTTAACCACATTTTTGAAGGCAATCTTGCAATAATTTTCAAAATATAAATATAAAGTGTGCACATACTTAATCCCAGTAATTCAACTGATAAGTAATTTATTATGATATTATAGACAAATGCAAAATTACTGATATATAGGGAGGTTCATTGCACAGAAATTTGGTGCTAACATAAATATCTATGAGTGAGAAATGCTTAAAACATTTAATTATATTTTATCTACAAAACATTCATGTCGTCATTCAACAAATGACACAGATGTGTATGTACTACTGAAAAAGAAAAAGGCCATTGAATAAGGGCTGTTAAATGAAAGAGGTGATTTGCAGAAAAATGTGTTACAATATGGCCACACACGTGGATCCTTCCCCATAATGGCTTGTGTGTTTGTGTGCATCTATCCACTAAAAGAATGCATGTAGTTCACTTAATAGAGGAAAACTATAGGGACAGAATTGGAAGAGAGGAGGGCATTTAATTTATATATTATTTAAATATGCTTTGAATTTTTGAAAAAAAATCATGCAGTTTCTTTTTAATATAGTCTGTATTTTTCAGTTTACCATGTGGCAAATGAAAATTATAAATGTATATTTATGGGAGCACTGAGCAATTCCACCATTTTGAGCATCTTGTGTAATATTATATCCTCTACTGAGGCTCCTGGGATTGAGTCAAGTGGCAGCAAGGGAAACAGTCACCATGCCCAAATTAAAGTCTCATCGATGATATCCCAACATGAGCATTTCTCAGTTAAGCATTTCTTATCTGCAGGAGGCATCCACTGCAACACAGGAAAGAGAAGAGTCTCCATGCGGAAGGAAGACTGTGTCATTGTTTTGGTGAAGCTGGCAGTAGAAGGAATGGCACCAACTCAACAAATCCACCTCTTTGTGGCCATCACCTGCAAGGACACAGTGGGGAAAAGTGGCAAAGGTGAGAAACACATTTCCTAAGGAGTCATGGGGGTATGAAATTCCTCTTTAATCTTCCCCCTACTTGTGCTAGAACAAATATACCCAGAGTACACAGAGAAAATCTCATTTCTAGCACCTGGGTCCATGATGAGGCCAAAACAATGACATTAAAACTTCCTCATGTCCAGGATGCCAGATATTGGTGCTGCTTTTTCTCCTTTTGCTGGGCTCAAAAGTAATAGCCATCAACAACCTTGGGTTTCATGTCTGTCTCTTCCCATCTGGTTTCTTAAAGCTCTAGGTCATTCATTGATTTGATCAGTTATTTCAGACCAGTTTGTCAAACTTCCAGTCTAACAGTTATGGAGAGGCTACTGTGTCTTCTGTGTACAACAATTTTCTAGCATCACAATGGATCAAGCCATGAAGGAGTTCAGTTTACTAGATGAGAGAAGTTATGGAAATCCTTCATATTAACAGTAAATGTACTGAGATGTAGAAAAGCCACGAAGGTATATAAGAAAAGCTGCATCTCTTAACATATTATGAAATCTTAGAATCAATTAGAATGTAATCAAACATCATCAATATTCGGAAAATTAACAGCTCAATTTCTACTAAGACATGGCTTCTCCCAGAAAGCAAGGACTATTTTAACTAACATCTTACCTTTAGTGGGTGGTCTAGGCAATGCATAGGTGAGGAGGCTTTTTGTCTAAGGGGTGTTGTTTTGGGAATTTGCTGATAACATTCACTCCCAGAAGAGTTCCCAGGAAGTCATCTTCTGAGGTTTAAAAAAAAAAAAAAAAAAGAAAGAAAAAAAAGAAAAAAGAGAAACACCACTTCCAATGAAACAAGCAATGCAGCTGGAATCTGGAAATTCCTTCTCTGCTACTCTTTAATATTGATTTAATTTGGAATCTACCCCTTACTTACACAGTTCTGAAACCATAACCATCTAGTCCACAACTACACATTTCAATGTCAGCACACTGCATCAGGGACCTTCTCTCTTGCGCATTTCCAGACCCGACTAGATCACCTGAATCCCACTGAAAGTTATGTCTCTTTCTGTTTTAAAATCATTTGTCTTCTACTGCTTAGTTGGTCAGGTTATTCACAAAATTACTCAAGACAATCTACTTATACATCTTTTTTCAATAAAAGTTTATTGAGAACCTGTTCTATGACAGGCAATCCACAAGGTGCTTGTATCACGAAAAAAAGAACTGAAAAAATATCTGGACATAAGAAATTAAAAGTCCACTGGATGAATCAATCATATAAATAAAGAGCTGACACATAATGGTCTTATGGAGGCAGATTCAGTTTTGGGCTCGGATTGCCGAGGAAGACCTGTTGTGACCACTCGTCTTTAACTCCCCAGAACTGTATCCACCCTCAGCTGGCTCTCAGATGGGTTTTCATGCTATTTAACTGGAAACAAATGTCATCAAACTCAAGAAGAGCAAGATCTATTAACTCCTTCCATCCTAGGCCTGTTTCCTATAAACATGCAGTTCCCTGCCCACATACCTGCAAGGGTGTCCAAGAGACCACAGGTAGGCATGGAGAGCCACTGACCAGGGAGTAGGTTGTCAGCTCATTCTCTGGAGTTTTCTTTAATTCATTCTTTTGCTTCCTGACAAGTCAATAAACAAATTTAGTAATATTTATCACAATGTGGTAGCTTACAATTCTATTTTCAAACATACTTTCCCCAACATAATTTTAGCTAATATTTCTAAGACAGGTATTTTATAAATGTTGTTTTTATCGTATCTGAAAGTTAAGGCAAGGGCATGGACAGTTTTGCTTCCCTAGGGGCTCTATCATCACCTGACATAAAAGAAAAAGAGAAAAAATAACATTTTAAGAAAAAAAATGCAACTAAAATACATACATCTGTATGTTAATATAAAATACACACACACACACACACACACACACACAATCTAATTTAACAATGAAACATTCAGGAAGAATGGGTATCCTGTGCTGGGAAAACACGGAGGTTGCTAAGCCCTTTGTGTGTCACGTGCACAGGCTTCAAATACGCACTGCCCTCCCTTTACCCTATAAGGTCCAATGGACACAGAGAGTGGCCAGCTAATGACTACGTTAGTAAGATAAAATATTCCCATTCTATTAAGACTGAGTGTTATAAAACAAAATTTGTACCATTATATACAGAGCAATACGATCATGGTCTATTAGCACCCAGTGAAGCCCAAGGAAAGCTTCTAAGAATTCCACTGGTGAAGGACATGTTTCTAGCTCAACAACTTTCATAAGACCATCTTCACAAAATATACATTTCAATAATTTCTAAGTATCTGGAAAGGTTGGATTAAACTAAGGTACTCTTTTTTAAAATAATAGTCTAAAATTTGGCCCAAAACAATAATCTAGTGAAAGGCAATATTTATGTGCAATAATCAGGACTATCCTAACCACTCTTCATTTAAAAGACATACATAAATAAAATATCTTGATCTATGATTTGGAAGAAAGCATGTAATACAAAATCATTTTCAACAGCACCAATATAACTAGAAAGTCTAGATATGATAAAATGATGTAACTCTATTCAGAATAGCCTCATAACAGTGGCTTACATGTGATTTACTGATCTCAGCCCTGTTGATTACCTAAGGGACAAATGTAAAACTGTGCATATCTCAAACAGATGTGCTAATAACCTCTGAAGCCATCTGCAAAACAATCCATCATAAATTTTACCAAATGTATTTACAGGTTTTCTTCAATTGTCCTGTCCCTGTCAACCATTAAGATATCTTGAAATTACAGATTCATGTAAAAGTGTAATGTCTTAACTTTACAAAAAAAGTTAAGCCAAGAACATATAATAGTTAAAACGTGCATTTGTCTTCTGAATAAAAACATACTGATACAAGGCTACTGTTTTAATTCACTCTGTTGTCTCCTGACAAGTTAATAGACACATTTAGAAATATTTATCACAATGTGGTAGCTTACGATTCTATTTTCAAACATACTTTTCCCAAAATAATTTTAGCTAACTTTTCTAAGACAGATATTTTATAAATGTTTTTATCACATCTACATCTTTTATCATAGAATAGCATACATGTAGTAGCTCTAGATAATCTGAGTCCAATAGAACTTTCTGTGGCAAAAGAAGTGTCTTATAATTCTATTCTGTAATATCAATTATGTTGATAATACATGGTGTAGAGTAACTTGAGAAAAATCACTAAATGGGTAAAGAGTGCAATCAGCGTGTTTCAGCCTATCACTAACTGTGTTAGGGACAAGTTCTCATTTTATTTAATATAGTATCTTCAAGATAGAGAGCACCTTTTCAATGATTAGGAGAGATATAAAATAAAAATAAAGATAGTATTACTTACAGGTCCTGAGGGGTATATGGCATGCCTGGAGTCCACACGCAGAGGTCAGGGAGCGAGAGAGAGAGAGGGAGAGAGAGGGAGAGAGAGAGAGAGAGAGAGAGAGAGACACCCAGGGGCCAATGCCCTTATTGGGTCAAGGGTACTATTCAAACAGGTTTTCTGTGGAGACTTTTAAGTGGTGGGTTTAAAGCAAGCAGGCAAGAGTTCCCTGGGGTCACACTGTGACTGGGAGGTGGACACTGGTTCCATGAGGGGTGTGGGGTTCCAGGGTCTTGTCAAGTAGATTGCATCAAGCTGTCCCATGATGAAGTGGTCCAAAGGAGGCAGTTGGATAAGGCAGCTATCTGGACCAATCACACTGAGGAACGAGAAGGAGGTGTAGAACTGGAAACTGTGCAAAAGTGAGTAAGCCTTGCTTCTGGTATAACAAAGTTAAACTTATACTCAAGATGGATGCCGAGGCAACATAAAATTATAAGAATTCACTACATGCTTCCAATGCCCATACCCAAAAGGACACACTGCTCAGGCCTCAGGGACATTCTCTCAATCACACATCTCATTCTAGCCCAATTTCATCTTCATTCCCAAAAAGGAGAAACTGTTCAAACATTCTTGATATCCAATACCTTTCTGCTATAAGCTAAGCAGAGAAATGTCAAACATCCTAGAATCTCTAGGAATGAAAACCATGGAGGACTCACCATGTGATTAATGTTGATATATGATTTGATTACAAGAGGCTTCCCAAAATAGATCAAATTATTGCCTAGTTAAAATAATTCCCCACTGGCTACAAACATACTTGCCAGGCACAGTGGATCATGCCTGTAATCCCTGCACTTTGGGAGGCCAAGGAGGGCAGATCACCTGAGGTTGGGAGTTTGAGACCAGCCTGGCCCACATGGTGAAACCCTGTCTCTACAAAAACACAAAAATTAGCGGTGTGTGGTGGCACGTGCCTGTAATCCCAGCTACTTGGGAGGCTGAGGCAGGAGAATCGCTTGAACCCTGGAGGTGGAGGTTGCAGTGAGCCAACATCGTGCCACTGCACTCCCGTCTGGGCGATAGAGCGAGACTCAGCCTCAAAAAATATATATATATTTTCTTACTGCTCCTTGCAGAGCAGGGCTAACCCATAGACAGCGTTCCCAGAGTAGCCCAAAGATAAATTTAGAATGAGTGATATTGCTACGGGATCTTCTGGAAACCTCACAGAGATGAGCACTGAAGCCAGTGAGAATCAAAATGTCAACGCTGTGTTGTTGAGTTGTAAGTGCAATGAGAACTTTGTTTTCCTTCATAGCTCTCCCCTCAAGAAAGCACAATGCAGCAAACAGCGACATTCCTGATCCAATCTATAGGGTCAGTAGTGATGTTGTCTCCATCATTCCTAATTCTAATGATCTGTGTCAGTCTAGCTAAAGGATTGTAAATTTCACAAATCTCTGCACAAACCCAACTTTTGGTTTCATGGATTTTTCTCTGTATTTTGTCTGGTTTTTTATGTCATCAATTTTTGCTCCAATCCCTATTGTTTACTTCTTTCTGCTTGCTTTGGATTTCATCTTCTAGTTTAGTCTTTTTCTTGTTTCTTAAGGTGGAAGCTTATGTCATTTATTTATCTTCCCTTTTTTTCTGATACAGTTATTTAAAACTATAAATATCCCTCTAAGCATGTCTTTAGTTGTATCAAATTCTATGCAAGATGTTTTCTGGATTCCTTTTATTTTTTAGACAGGGTCTCACTTTGTCGCCCAGGCTGGTATGCAGTGGTGCAATCTTGGTTCAATGCAGCTTCTACCTGCTGGGCTCAGGTGATTCCCCTACCTCAGCCTCCTGAGTAGCTGGGACTACAGGCATGCACCACCATGCTCAACTCATTTTTTGTATTTTTTTGTAGAGATGGGGTTTTGCCATGTTGCCCAGGTTGGTCTTGAACTCCTGGCCTCAAGTGATGTGCCCACCTACGCCTCCCAAAGTGCTGGAATTACAGGTGTAAGCAACCACCCCCGGCCTTTCTAGTTTAATATATATATTTTTGACCAATGGGCTCTGTAAAGTGTGTTAATTTCCAAATATCTTGTGACCTCCAAATTTATTTCTGTGTTGATTTCTAATTCCTCTATGGTCACACAACATACTCTACATGGTTTCAATCTTAAATTTATTGAGTACAGTTTTATAGCCTAACATATACTCTATCCTGGAGAATGTTCCAGGTATGCTTGAAAATAATTTGTATTTCTGTTGTTGGGTGAAGTTTTCTCTGTCTGTCTGTCTGTCTGTCTAACTGTCTATCTATCTATCTCAGGTCAAATTGGTTGACAACATTGCTGAAGTATGTTGTAACCTCAATGATGCTCTATCTAATTGACTTATCACTGATTAAGAAGAGGGTATGAACAAAAGCTTTTATTGTTGAATTGCCTATTGATCCCCTCAATCATGTTAAATTTCAGTGTATGTAGTTTTGGGCACTGTTGTTAGTGCTGATATGATTGTAATTGTTACATATTCCATATTAACCCTTCTATCATTAAATACTATCCTTCTTCCTCTCTAGCAATACTTTATCTTAAAGTCTCTTTTTTCTGATGTCAGAATAGCCACTTCTGCTCTCTTCTGGATTCGCTGGATATAGCTTTTTCCATCTTTTTACTTTCCAACTATTTGTATCTTTTGTTCTAAAGTGTCTCTTCTGTAGACAGCGTATAGTTGCTCATGTTTAAAAAACAACGGAATTTCCTAATCTCTTAAAAATTTAATATAATTGTCATATGGCTGGGTTTATGTCTGTCATTTTCCTATCTGTTTTCTATATGTCTTATTGGTTCCTCTGTTCATCTTTAACTGCCTTCTTTTGTGTTAAACAGATCTTTTCGGTTATTCTATTTTAATTCTTTGGTTGTTCTTTTAATATTTTTTGAATTGTTTTCTTACTGGTGGTCCTAGTGTTTATAAAATACAACTTAAATGATCACAGCCTCCCTCAGATTAACAATATATGTGTAACATGGCCTTTTATATGACTTGAAATCAATTTGAGAGAAGCAATTCTATTGCTCAGTCCAGATTTCCAAAAGATACTGAAGCCATCATCAATCCAGGCATGTTTATAAAAGGGACTGTGAGCCTGAGATAGGAGACAGACACTACACACTAACAATTCTGTCACACTTGGACACAATGACACCATCACCACACTAAGTCATAGAGACCAGGATACAGGAACGATGATCCAGCCACATGGCTGACTACCATTATCATTGGAATGTTATAGTTCCCTAAGAAGAATATTCTCTGGACAAAATGCTTACTGTGAGAATTCCCACTGGCCTGTGAGCATGGAATGGTATAATTATTTCTGATACTTTCTGTCATATTTCAAGGGCAATGTTTAAACTCTTTCATATGACATTCACATTTTGGTCTACATGACCTGTGGAAATGGAGTAAAAATATGGGAAGATGAGAAATATACATGTCCATTTGTCAAATATGCATAAGAAAGGAGGCTTCACTATGTATCTGCATATAAAATGTACTAATTCATTACTCTACTAGGATGTCTCTGATATTATTCAAAATATAAATTGTGCAAAAATTCTAGGAGAGGAAAAAAGGCCTCAAATAACTCACCAGGTTATTAATGCCTTACAGTGTTTGGTTCAACAGACTTTGTAAAAAAAATTCTAAGTTATTTAATAACACAACAAAAATAATCCAGGGAATTACATGTATTAAAAATTGGATGTTAACCTTGCAGTGCATCGTTTTGATCTTTCCTGGAGAAAGAAGCTGGTGCAAATGACAAAAACAGTACTTCTTTGGTGTGGAGGTGAGAATTCCAAGCGGCAAAATGTTGTCTTCCACCAATATCACTTCCAATCTATAAAGGGGAAATCAGGGAGTTGAGAAACAAAACATTCCTAATGGAATATTTAGTAACAAGAGGTTGGTTGTAAGGAATTCACCAGAGATGTTCACTGGACCATCTGTATGACAAGAACAATACTCGGTACTTGAAACATGACAGTATAGAAATAATTTTTTCTGAAACATTGGTCTCAAAGTTTCCTCAGCATACCCAACACAACACCATTCATCATGACTAGGCTCTCTCCTTAAATCCATTAGAAACCCATTGAAGAGATATAAAAGTGGCCAGAAAAATCCACATTTTAAAAACTTGGAAATTTAATCATTTCACATCTAGGAATGTTTAATGCAGCATGTAGCTGAAGACAGTACTTCTGTGCACACAAAATTACTCTCTCAGCTTATGAGAAAAACGAAAGACAAAGAAACTGATTAAATCCCAGTGACTGCTTGGCAAGCAAATTATACTGTGAAGATTACATAAGTAATATCTATTTTTCAATTTTCATATACTTTTTTCACTTAATAGAGAAATGAAAAGTGAAAACCCCAACTCTCCTTGGATTGTGACCATCTCATTGCCCTCACGAGAGCAAGCATGACTTAGAAGATTATTGCAGCTCCAGCAAAAGTGTGAATGGCTCTAGTGTAGGCATAGCTATTTCCCGCTTTTCACAACTCAAGTGCTGATTCCCCAGGGTCTGTTTACTATCAACGTATTTATGTTGCCAATCAAGAACTCAGAGTTGCAATTTCATCTCCAAACTGGGTACCTACAGATCACTGTCCAATTCTACTTCTCTAGTGCATGTAAGCTGGTTAGTTTTCCAGTACCACAGTCCTTGCTGGGACCACATAGCTGAACAAACTGAACTCTCCTTCCATATAGTTTGCTTAGGGCAGGTAATTGGGCTGGACCTCATGTTCAGAGAAGTTATTATTTAACTCACTGTTTTCCCAGGTTTTTCAACAAGATCAATTATTAAAGTTATCAGTGACACATGCAAACTTCTAAAAAAGGGGGCACTGTTTGCTTCAGAAACATGAAAGAAAATGAGCACTCTGGAGTACACTTCTCTGGGACACACTGATACACCCTATTAAGTCATGGAGACCAAGCCCCCAACACAGCAATGACCCAGGCTCCATGCTGCCCAGCACAGACAGTGCCTTATAGAGTATTACATAATCCCTAAAAAAGGGCAATATTTTAGTGACAAAATGCTTAGCGACCTGACCTGGCCCTTGAGGGTGGGATGGTAAAATTCATTCCCACTGGTCCCTGAGGATGGGATGGAAAAATCATTTCTGTTATTTTCTTTCATGTCACATCTCAAAAGGGAAAGGAATAAAGTTTCATGTGGGGCTAGGTGCCTTGTCTTTGTTGACCTGTGGGAATAGGGTAAACATGTAGAAACATGAGAACGATACAAGCATATGTGTCTGCTGGTCCGTCAAGCACAAGACAGTGGGATTCAGTTTATGTACCTATTAAATTAGCTAATGTACTGCTCTCCTAAGATGTTTCCAGTGTTATTCAACAATAGTCAATGTGTTTGTCTCTAGCTTCCATCAGTCCAAATACTGTCCAACATTTACTGCCAGACAAATCAAATGTGCAACCAGACTATCAGTTTGCTCAAAGTTCCAAGAAGATGTTGGCCCGGTGAACATCCCATTCACAATAATGCATAGCATTTCCGTAAATTCAACCACCTCAGGATTACTTTACCTTTAAAGGTGACCCAACGGACTGGGGAGGAAGAAGTCACAAAAAGCCATGATAAGGGAATAAACAAATGGTCTAAAAATCACTCGTAGCACTCAACCTGCTTGAGAGTGGGAGCGTGGCAATTTGCAGAAGCTGCAGAGCTGCACTGCACCTGATTCCACTAAAAGTGGTCACAGCAATGCAGGCAGGACACACACAGGTATGGTACTGTCCCGGGACATGTGACTAGAAGAACTGGGCAGTGCGCAGAGAGGGAAAGGCGGCCTCTGAACCCTCTCACCATGAGCTGCTTCCCACCTACTCTCAGCTCTCAAGAGTGACGCTCACCAGGTGGTACTGCTGAGGACCCAGTGGCATGTGGGCACCGCATACCCCTTAGTCGCACCCAACTTTCCTCTGCCACACTGCTGAGGATCAGCCTCTCTGGCACTCTCCACGCTTCAGGCCCATAGAAAGATCATCAGCAAGACTGAGAAAGCACAAAAATTCTGGAAAAGAACAAACAGAAGCCTCAGATGACTCACCAGATTAAGGTCTTATAGTATCTGAATTAACTGACTCCATATAGCACCCATTAAATTCCTAAATACTTAAAACAGTAATAACCCAGGAAAAAAGATATCAAAAATTAGATGTTACCTCAGCGTGTTTCATTGTATTCTTTTTCAGTTGAGGAAGCCGGTAAAAGTGACATATCAGATCTTCATTTCCCAGGCTTTTCAACAAGATCAATTATTACAGTTATCAGTGACAAATGCAAACTTCTAAAAAAGGGGCAATGTTTGCCTCAGATCTTCATTGGCGTAAAGGTTAAAAATCTATGCAACTCTAGTATCACATGGAACCTGCAAACCACAGGGGCAATTAGAGAAGTTGAGAAAGAAATCTTCTACATCGAATGTTTCCTGATAAGAAGTTATGAGGAATTATGATACATACTCACTGACAAGGTGTATGTCCAGAAAAAAGTATACTTATTCCACAGAACAGGAGAATGTTTAAAGTCCTTTTTCCAAGACCTGTTCAGGTTAACCGTAAAGTCCACCTAGACATCAATTAACAAGGATCTCCCTTAACATGCATAGGAAAATCCACTGATGAAATATGAAGATTAGCCAATAAAATCCACATAACATTCCAAGGACTGGAAATGTAATCATCTCACAACATCTACTTGAATCACTCAAATGTCTAGAATATTGCTTTATACAGACAGAAAAAAGGTCTGAATTCTTGGTACTGGGTTAGCAAGCAAATTTAAACAAACTAAAATATTCTCATGGTTAGAAATCACTCTTAATTTTCCAGATATTACCTCTGCCTAAAAAAATAATCGATAAGATCCACACCATCTTTGGAACTGATGATCTAAATGACCTTAGTAAACTGCTCTCACTCAAAAGACTGTCATGTCCCAGATAACTTATGGATGGCTCAAAGGTAGGCACAATCATGTCTCATGGGGTCTCACTACATATGTGCTGGTTTTCCAGGGTCTATTTACTACCAGTGGATGGATGCTACCAGCCAAGCACCAAAGGAATAGCCATTTTATTAAAAAATACGATATTTATAGATGACTGTCCAATTCATTTCCTCTAACATACGCAGGCAGATTAGCTTTCAAATACCCCAGTCCCTGTGGGCACTGACCATCCACATCCCTCCACGTTTGCCTATCATGTGTGCTGGACCTCAGCTCACAGAAGTGGTTTGGTCACTCATTTTTTTCAGATTTCAATGAGATTTTTTTTTTTTAAAGTCATCGTCAATCCAGGTACATTTATAAAAGGTACCTTAAGCCTGGGATATGTGACAGACACTGAGCACACAGCTTTCCATCAGCTTGGGGTACACTGACCCACACTATTCATTCAATTATGGAGACTGGCATCACAGTCAATGACTGGCCAATGGCTGACTAGCATGGCCAGGGTCTCATGGTCATTGGAGTGTCACGATCTCCTAAGAGGAATGCCAGTATTTTCAGGACAAAATGCTTACCATGGGAGAATTCCTACGGATTCTTGAAGATGAGGTGATAGAAGTATTCTCAATACTTTTCTCATGTCACATCTCAAGAGGACAGAATAAAATATTTTATATGAAACCCAGTTCTTGGTTCATGCCGATCTGTGAAAACAGTACAAATATGGGAAGATGGTAAGTATATATGTCCATTTGTCAAACATGCACAAGAAGGGAGCGTTTGTTATGTATATTAATATCAAATATACTAACATAACTCTACTAGGATGTTTTTGATATTACTGAAAAGGAGAACGCAAAAAAAATTGGAAATAAAGGATAATGAAAGCCTTGGATGATTCACCAGATAATTAATGTCTCATACTGTTATTAACAGATCATTCACAAAACTGATTATCTACTTGACTACAGAAAAAATTACAAAATAAGCCATAAAAAGTAAATTTATTCAAACTTGGATGTTACCTTTGGAGTGCGTCCTTTTGTTCTGCCCCCAGGGAATGAAACAGGTAAGAGTGACAAGATCAGCATTTCTTTGGGATGGCAGTGAGAATTCCATGCAATTCCAAAATCACTTCCGTTCTGCAAGGCACAGGGGACATTACAGGAGTTTTGAAACAAAACCTTCCCAACTGAATGATTCCTGACAACAGTTTGTAATTAATTAGCCATAGTCACTTGACTATCCACATAACTAAAAAATCTGCTTGTTGCTTGGAACAGGGTAAGTACAGAAAATCAATGTTTCCAAGATTTTGGTCTCGAAGGCCAAAGGCCCCGAGTATTACTAAAATTAGAATCTCTCTTAAAATATACAAAGACTCAATGAAGGAATATTCCTATTAGCCAACAATATCCATCTAAAATCCCTAGAATTAGAAATTTCATTATTTCACATTAAAATGTTTAATGAAGCATCTAATTTAATCTATCATCTAATGCTTAGAAAATTGCTCCCTGAGTGACAGGAAAAAGAAAAACAAATGCTGTTCTAATCCTTGAGACTGAGTTAGGAAGCAAATTCCAGCATGTAATAAGATAATCCCATGAATACAACCCACTCTTCAATTTTCACATATTTCTTTTAGTGAAAGAATAAATAGCAAGCAAAGACTGATAATTTCTTTCTAATTGACTACATAATATACCTATACATGCTGATACTCACTAAGAATGTTGTGGCGTCTACGAAAATAG
Organism: Homo sapiens; assembly: GCF_000001405.40. Classification (NCBI taxonomy): domain Eukaryota; kingdom Metazoa; phylum Chordata; class Mammalia; order Primates; family Hominidae; genus Homo; species Homo sapiens. The sequence goes on along the minus strand of NC_000015.10, from coordinate 25,106,856 downwards.
TGTGAATGACTCGAGTGCTGGCACAGCCATTTCTACAGTGTTCACTCCTCTGACGCTGGTACCCCAAAGCCTGATTACTAGGTGTTTGAAGGCTGTCAGCCATGCACTTAAATCATTGTCATGTAATTCCCGAAGATATATAGGCCTCTGTACAATTCATCTGCTCTAACATATGCAAGTGGGTTCGTTTTGGTACCAGTTCCTGACCAAACTGAACGCCCTCCACGGGTTTGCCTGGTATGGTCCCTGTGCTGGACCTCAGCTCACAGAAGTGTCTTGGTCACTCATTTTGTTCAGATTTCCAAGGTTTCCATTTTTTTAAGTCATCATCGATCCAGGCACACTTATAAAAGGGACCTTAAGCCTGAGATATGTGGCAGACACTGAACACTGATCTTTCTGTCACCTGGGGACTTGCCAACCCACAGTATTCAATTACAAAGACCAGCATCACAGCCAGTGACCAGTCTCATGACTGACAAGCACAGCCAGGGTCTCATTGTCATTGGAGTGTCATGACCCCCTAAGAAGAATGTTGGTGCTTTCAAGACAAAATGCTTACCAATATTTGAATTCCCCCTGGCCCTTGAGAATGGGAGGGCAGAATTATTTCCATTACTTTCCTTCATGTCACACCTCAAGTAGAAGGAATAAACTCTTTTATATGAAATCTAGTTTTTGGTCCACATTAACCTTTGAAAATAGGAAAAAATTATAGAAAAATAAAAAGTGCAAATGTAATTTGCCAACCATGCAAATAGTGTACATATACAACAGGCTTACTATGCACAAGTATATAAAATATACTAAATTATTTTGCTAGTAGGGTATCCTAATGTTATTTGAAAACAGAGGAAGTATAAAAATACTGTACAAAGAACACAGAAACTTCAGATGACTAACCAGATTATTAGGGCCTCACACCATTTGGATTAACAGACTGCTTGAAAAACCAATTATAATCTTACTTGCTAAAATAAAATAATAGAACGAACCCAGGAAAAATGCACTTACTAAAAATTGCAATATTACCTCTGAAGTGTATTGTTCTCATTGCCAGACAACGAATCTGGTACACGTGACAAAATCAGCAGGTTACTGGAGCAGCAGTAGGAATTCCATGCAATTCCAGTATTACCTCCAATACACAAAGCACACTGAGGAAGTAGGAAGTCGACAAATGAAACCCTCATAATTAAAAGAGTTTCATTTGTCAACTTTCTTACTTTCATAATTACTAATGACGAGTTATAAGAAATAAACCATAGATATTCACTTGCCCATGTGGTATGAGAATAAAAATTATGCTCACTCCCTGGAAATGGGTAGTACTGAAAGTCAGTTTTCTAAGACCAAAAGGCCTCCCTTAGTATCACACAATAAAACTAGGATCTCCCTTTAAACATCTATGAAACCCACTAATAAAAATAATGAATATCAGGCAATGAAATCCACATAAAACTCTATGAATTGCAAATTTAATCATTTTACAATTAGAAATGTTTACTATAGCATCTACTAGAATCCCTTAATCAAATGTCTAAAAAGCTTCTCTTTGAGTGACAGGCAAAACTTAAATTCCAACTTCTGTGACAAGATCAATAAGGAAATTAAAATGTTAAGACTTTCCACAAATAGAAAGTACCCTTCAATTTCCATACATTCTTTTCTTTAATAGATAAAAGCTACTCTTCAATTTCCATATATTTCTTTTACTTAATAGATAAATAATATGTAAAACCTCATAATACCTTTTACACTGTCCATCTAATGAACCTGAGAGACTGACCTCACACACAAGATTATAGCACCTAAAAACATGTATAAAAGACTCTAGGGTAGGCAAAACCATTTCCTACTGTTCCCTCTACTCTTGTGTAATTCTGTTTACTATGAGAGTATGGACACTGCCAGCCAAACACTGAAAGAAATGCCATATAATCCCCAAAGATATATGTACACAAACATATATAAATATATACAAACACATACAGACCTCTGTACAATTCATGTGCTGTAAGCTATGTGAGTGGGTTTGTTTTCCAATACCACAGGCCATTTTGGTACCAGTTGCTGACCAAACTGAACTCTCTGCACGTGTTTGCCTGGCATGGTCCCTGTGCTTGACCTCAGTTCACAGAACTGCACAGAAGTGGTTTGCTCACTCGTTTTGCTCAGATTCCAACGAGATTCATTTTTAAGTCGTCATCCATCCAGGCACATTTATAAAAGGGACTTTGAACCTGAGATATGTGGCAGACACTGAGCACATAGCTATCTGTCACCAATGACCCACACTATTCAATCATGGAGACCAGCAGCACAATGACCAGCCCATGGCTGCCTGGCATAGCCAGAGTCTCACTGTCATTGGAGTGTCCTGATTCCCTAAGAAAAATTGTTGTTATTTTCAGGACAAAATGCTTTTTAACATGTGAGAATTCCCATGGGGACTTGTGGGTGGGAGGCGGAATTATTCACTATACTTTTCCTTTATGTCTCCACACAGGGAAAAAAATAAATTCATCCGTATGAAGCCCAGTTTCTTGGTCCACCTCATTCTGTGGGAAGAGATTATATACATGGGAATGAGAAGTATACATGTTCATTTTTCAAACTTAAATAAGACAGGAGGATTTACTATGTAACTATATGTAAAGTATAAGAATTTTATTACACTTATAGGATGTTTCTGATGTTAAAGTTGAGAAAAATGTAAAATGTTAAAATAAAAGAAACTGAAGGCTCAGATATCTCATGAGAGTATTGAATGCCTAATACTATTTGTATTAAGTGACTCCTTGCACACCTAATGAAATTCTCAATTACTTAAAAAAATAATAAAAACAACACACAAAAATGAATTTACTAAAAATTCGATGTTACCTCAGGAGAGTATTGTTTTGTTGCCTCCCAGATGCGTTAGCTGGTACAAGTGACAAAATCAGTGCATCATTGGTTCAGCAGTTAAAGTCCATGGAATTCTGTGAAAACCAATCTACAAAGTACATGGGCAATTAGGAAAGTTGTGAAATAACATTTGCCAAATGAAATATTTTGTTACAAGCAGTTATAAGAATTCACTTTAGACATTCATTAGACTATATGTATGACAAGAATAATTATGCTCACATCTTTGATCAGACTGATACAGATAGAACTTTTTCTATTCTATTGTTTTTTCTATTCTAGACAGAATATTTTCTATCCATGTCAGTGTTTTCTCAACACACTGACTTCAAAATTATTTATTCTATACCTAGGATATTTCTTTAAACACAGCGAGCACTGTGCACTATTGGCATAGAACCTATGTACATCCTCCTATATGCAGGAAATCATTTCTAGATTACTCATGATGCTGAATACAATGTAAATGCTGCGTAAATAGTTGTTATACTGTACTGTTTTAGGGAATAATAACCAAAGAAAAAGTCTGTACTTGGCTGGGCATGGTGGCTCATGCTTGTAATCCCAGCACTTTGGGAGGCTGATGCAGGCAGATCACTTAAGGTCAGGAGTTCGAGACCAGCCCGGCCAACATGGTGAAACCCCATCTCTACTAAAAACACAAAAATTAGCCTGGCACAGTGGTGGGCGCCTGTAATCCTAGCTATTCAGGAGGCTGAGGTAGGAGAATCACTTGAACCCGGGGGACAGAGGTTGTAGTGAGCTGAGATCGTGCCACTGCACTCCAGCCTGGGTGACAGAGTGAAACTCTGTCTCAAAAAAAAAAAAAAGAAAGAAAGAGAAAAAGAGAGAAAAAGACTGTACATGTTCAGTACAGATGAAACCATACAATTTTTTGTCAAGTATTTTCAATCCATGGCTAGTTGAATCTGAAGATGCAGGCCCCATGGAGAAGGATAGCAAACTATATATAAAATTGTTTGCTAAATTAATAGAAAAAAACAAGAGAAGAACAAAAGAAACAGTTCAATCTTAGCAGCTGGGTTGGCAACTGATTAAAATATACTTGGAAGATACCACATGAAATTGTTTCACTTTAAGAAAATGAGAAGTAAAACAAAAGAAGACATTTATGCAGCCAACAAACATGAAAAAAGGCTCATCATCACTGGTCATTACAGAAATGTGTATCAAAACCACAATGAGATACCATCTCATGCCAGTTAGAATGGCGATCATTAAAAAAAGTCAGGAAACAACAAATGCTGGAGAGGATGTGGAGAAATAGGAACACTTTTACACTGTTGGTGGGAGTGTAAATTAGTTCAACCGTTGTGGAAGACAGTGTGGCAATTCCTCTAGGATCTAGAACTGGAAATACCATTTGATTCAGCAATCCCATTACTGGGTATATATCTAAAGGATTATAAATCATGCTACTATAAAGACACATGCACACATATGTTTATTACGGCACTATTCACAATAGCAAAGACTTGGAACCAACCCAAATGTCCATCAATGATAGACTGGATAAAGAAAATGTGGCACATGTACACCATGGAATACTATGCAGCCATAAAAAAGCATGAGTTCATGTCCTTTGCAGGGACATGAACGAAACTGGAAACCATCATTTTCAGCAAACTAACACAAGAACAGAAAACCAAACACCACATGTTCTCACTCATAAGTGGGAGGTGAACAATGAGAACACATGGACACAGGGAGGGAACATCACACACCAGGGCCTGTTGGGGGGTCAGGGGCTAGGGGAGGGATAGCATTAGGAGAAATACCTAATGTAGATGATGGGTTGATGGGTGCAGCAAACCACCATGGCACGTGTATACCAATGTAACAAACCTGCACGTTCTGCATATGTACCCCAAAACTTAAAGTATAATAAAAAAAAAAAGAAAATGAGAAGTAAAAACTCATCATATCCTTGGATTTTGACCATCTCATCACCCTCAAAAGATCAATCAGTAGCTCAGGCAAATGTGAGAACAGACCAAGTATAGGCAGGAACATTTCTCTTGGGTCTCACTGTTCTGCTTCCCAGGCTCTGTTTCTATGGTATATAGATGCCGCCAACCAAACTCTCAGAGTTTCCATTTTACCCTACAATTGAATTTTTATACACAAATGTAAAATTCGTTTCCTCTAATAAATGCACTCAAGTGGTTTTCAAATACCCCAGTCCCTGTGGTTGCTTCTAACTGACCAACTAGTTGCAACTCCAGGCAACACATGTTTGACTGGAGTGGTCTCTGTGCTGGACCTCAGCTCACAGAAGTGGTACAGAAGTGTTTTGGTCACTCATTTTGTTCAGATTTAAATTAGATAAATCTTTAAGTCATCATCGATCCAGGCACATTTTAAAAAGGAACCCTGAGTCTGAGATATGTGACAGACACTGATCACACAGCTTTCTGTCACCCTGGGACATGCTGACCCACACTATTTAATCATGGAGACCAGCATCACTGTCAATGGTCAGCCCCCTGGCTGACTAGCATAGCCAGGGTCTCATGGTCATTGGAGTGTCATGATCTCTTAACAGGATGTCAGTATTTTAAGGACAAAATGCTTATCATGGGAAAATTCCTACTGGTCCCTAAGGACAGGAAGCAGAATTATTCCCATTACTTTCCATCATATTACAACACAAGGAAACAATAAACTTAGCCATATAAAATGTAAAATGCAGTTTTAGTCTGCATCATCTTGTGAGAAGAGATTTTATATATATATATATTTATATATATACACATGCACGCACACGTCCATTTTTTAAAAATCTGTATAAGACAAAAGGTTTCATTATTAATCAGCATAGAAAATATACTAATTTATAACTCTTGGAAATGTTTTAAATATTATCCAAACTACAGAGAAGAAAAAAATCTTAAAAATAAAGGAAACTGATGCTTCAGATAGCGCATCAGATTAATAATTCCTAACATTGTCTGTATTAACCTATTGTTCACCAAACCAAATCACTGACAGTTTGAAAAATAATAAAAATAAATTTACTAAAAATTGGATACTACCTCAGGAGTGTGTTGTTCTGTTTCCTCCCAAGTTAGTTAACTGGTACAAATGACAAAATTAGCCCTCCACTGGTTCAGTGGTAAAATTCCATGGAATTGTATCTCACCCAATCTACAAAGTGTAGAGGAAATTAGGGAAGTTATGAAACGAAATTTGCCAAATGGAATGTTTAGTTACAAGTGAATATAAGAATTCACAGTAGACACTCACTGGACTATCCAATGAATGACAAGAAAAATTATTCTTACATCTTTGATCACTATAGAATATAAACTTTTTTAAAAAAAATCTGAGACATTAGTCTCAAAGCTTCCCTGGCATCCCCAATCAAAAGCATTTATTACAATTAGGATACCTCTTCAAACACAATGGAAACCTTTGAGGATATATGAATATAGCCAATGAAATCTATGTAAAAAAGAATTTGTAATATAATCTAAGTTTATTTGAGGCAGCATACAGTTGAAACCAGCACTCAAATATAAACAGTGGTTTGCTTTTTGATACGAAAAACTAAAATCAAAAAAACAAGTGACACAATCCTAGTGGCTGAATTGGCAAGAAAATTAAAATACACTAGAGTAGTCTACTTAGAGTACCTTTTTTTTTTTTCAATTTCCATGTAATTGTTTCACTTAATTGAAAATAAAAAGTAAGGCCGGGCACGGCGGCTCATGCCTGTAATCCCAACACTTTGAGAGGCTGCAGTGGCTGGATCACCTGAGGTTGGGAGTTCGAGACCAGCTTGGCCAATATGGTGAAACTCCATCTCTACTACAAACACAAAAATTAGCCAGGGGTGGTGGCGGGCGCCTGTAATCCCAGCTACTCAGGATGCTGGGGCGGGAGAATCTCTTGAACCCAGGAGGTGGAGGTTGCAGTGAGCCGAGATTATGCCACTGCACTCCAGCCTGGGCAACAGAATGAGACTCCATCTCAAAAAAAAAAGTAAAATCTCATTAGTATCTTTGGATTTGGATGTTGACCATCTCATTACCCTCAAGAGACTGCTCATTGACCAGATAATTCTGCGAGCTCAAATGTGTGAATGGCTCAAGAGTAGGTGAAATAACGTCCCATGAATCTCACTATGCCCTGGTTCCCCAGGGTCTACCAGCTGTTTCTATAAATGCTGCCAAGCAAATACAAAGAGAGTTGCTATGTCAAACCACAGCTGGATATTTACAGAACTGAGAACAATTCATTTGCTCTAATATATATGGGTAGGTTAGTTTTCCAATACCCTAGTCCCTGTAAACTCCCTCCTCATGTTTGCCTGGCATGGTCCCAGTGCTGGACCTCAGCTCACAGAAGTGGCACAGAAATGATTTGGTCACTCATTTTGTTCAGATTCCGATGAGATCCATTTTTTTTATAGTCATCATCGATCCAGGCACATTTATAAAAGGGACCTTGAGTCTGAGATATGTGGCAGACACTGAGCACATCTGTCACTCTGGGACACACTGACCCACACTATTCAATCATGGAGACCAGGATCACAGTCAATGACCAGCCCATGGCGGACTAGCATAGCCAGAGTCTCACGGTTAGCAGAGTGTTATGATTCCCTAAGAGGAAATGCTGGTATTTTCAGGACAAAAGGCTTACCAATATTAGAGTTCCCACTGGCCCTTGAGGATGGGAGGGCAGCATTATTCCCAATACTTTCTTTCCTTCTTGTCTTGCCTCAAAGGGAAGAATAAATTCATCCATATGAAACCTAGATCTTGGTCTATGCTGTCCTGTAGGAAGAGAGTATGTATACAAATCTGAGAAGTATACACGGACAATTTTTAGCCTTGCATAAGACAGGATGTTTCACTATTAACATATATGGAATATACACTAACTTAGAACTGCTGTTGGACATTTCATATGTTATTCAAAGTAGAGAAAAGAACAAAACCTTTATCAAAAGGAGATTGATGCCTCAGCTCATCAGAACATTAATGTCTGAAACTGTTAGTATTAACCAATTCCTTGTGAACATAAATTCTTGATTACTTAAAAGAATAAAAATAACTCACAAAAATAAATTCACTAAAAATTGAATGTTACCTTAGAAGTGTATTGGTGTGTTTCTTCACAGCTACGTTAGCTGGTACAAATGTCAAAATTAGCACTTCACTGGTTTGGCAATGAAATTCCATGGAATTCTATCTCACCCAATCTACAGAGTACAGGGGAAATTAGGAAAGTTGTGAAACAAAATTTGCTTCATGGACTACTTTGTTATAAACAGTTATAAGAATTCACATTAGACACTCATTGGACCATCTGTATAACAAGAACAATTATGCTCACATCTTTGATCCAAATTTTATGGAAATAATGTTTTCTAAAACATTTGTCCCGAAGTTCCTCCAGCACATACCTTTCAAAATCATTTATTACAACTTTTAATTAATACAGTGGTCACACATGGAGGACATATGAAAGTAGACAATGAAATCCATGTGAAAATCCAAGAATTTGAAATATCACTTCTAAAAATGTTTGCTGCAACATGTAGTTGAAACCAGCACTGAAACATGTATTAAATAGCTTGCTTGGTTGATGGGAAAACAAAAAATAAACAACTGTTTCAGTCCTAGTGACTGGGTTGGCAATCAAATGAAAATATACTACAAGATTTCATATGAGATATTTATATCTTATATGATATAAATAAATATCTTATATTTCATATGTTTCATATATTTCATATAAGATATTTATTCTTTAATTTCCATGCAATTATTTCACTTAAAAGAAAAGGAGAAGTAAAAACTCATGATGTCTTTGAATGCTGACATCTCTTTGCCATCAAGCAACAAACCATCAACCAGAATATTCTGGGCGCTCACACAAATGTCTGAATGGCTTGTGGGTTCACACAATAATTTCCTGTAAATCCTATAACTCCTGTGCTGGCTCCCAGTGTCTGGTCACTGTAGTGTACAGATGCTACCAGCCAAGCATTTGAAAAGTCTCCGTCTTACCCCCAACCATATATTGGTAGGTTAACTGTCCAGTAATTTCCTGTACTGTATGTGAGCTGGTTAGTTGTCTAATTCCACAGGCCGTTTCATAGTACCAGTGCTGACCAAACAAAACACCCTCCATGTGTTTGTCTGGCATGGCCCCTGTGCTGGACCTCAGCTCACAGAAGTGGCACAGAAGTGATTTGGTCACTCATTTTGTTCAGATTCCGATGAGATCCATTTTAAAGTCATCATCGATCCAGGCACATTTATAAAAGGGACCTTGAGCCTGAGATATGTGGCAGACACTGAGCACACAGCTGTCACCTTTGGAGGCACTGACCCACACTAGTCAATCACATGGAGACCAGCATCACAGTCAATGAACAGCCCAGGCTGACTAGCACAGCCAGGGTCACATGGTCACTGCAGTGTCATGATCCCCTAAGAGGAAATGCTGGTATTCTCAGGACAAAATGCTTACCAATATCACATTTTGAGGTTTTGATGTCAGACTTTTTCATGATACACTCCATTCTGTCACTTTTTGAGGTTAAAAAGAAATAACTTTCGTATGAAAATCTGTGCTGGTTCCACAATGAACTACAAAAATAGAGAAAAAGTGAGCAAAGATGTGTAACACAGACATTCATTGTTCAAATAGCCTGGGGATCCCCACGCTGTAGGCCTTCTCACATTCTTATATTTCATATAAGTTTCATATATTTCATATATTTATTCTTTAATTTCCATGCGATTATTTCACTTAAAAGAAAATGAGAAGTAAAAACTCATGATGTCTTTGAATGCTGACACTGGAGAATTCCCTCCCATACTTCATGAGGCTACTGGCTGGTTGACCCAGGTTATCGCATATGATTGAGCTGCCTGACCTAAGATGTTCTCTTCATTCCTGTGGTCCAGAGTCTCCTCCCCTTACATAGAGATACACGGCATCTCAGAGTACAGAAAAACCTTCGCCATCTCAGGAAGTACCAGTCAGCACCAGTTGGAGGCCCAGCAACATCAGATAAACTAAGTGATCAAAACAGCATCCCCTCAGCTCTGATAGCAAGACTGCCTGCGAAAACATGGCCTACAAAAGTAGGACAGGACATTCAAATTAAACCTAAACAGGGCACATGCCTGCTAAAATAAAACATTTGAATAGATTCAGATTCCTCTAACTTAAAAAGGAAAAAAAAATGCAGGATAAACTAAAACATCACCCATCTATCAAGAACCGGAAAAATCACAATTAGAAGGAAAATCATAAGCAGGATGAGAAAAGACAGTTAACCAAGCCAACCTCAAGATTAACCAAATGTTGTGGTTATCTGAAGAAGTTAAAAACAGTCATGGTAAAAATGCTTTAGCAAGTAATTATAAAGCTTCTTGAAAAAAGTAAAAAAGTAGAAGTCTCAGAAAGGTAGTAGAAGTTTTTTTAAAAAAAGAACCAAGTGAAAAAAACAGAACTAAAAAATTCAAAAATAATAGAGTAGTGATTAAGTGAATTTAGCATAGAACAATCCAATTTAGCTAATCTGGACAAGAAAGAAAATACTCTGAAAAAAAAAAAAAAAAAAAAAAAAAGAACACAGCTTCATGGACCTGTGTGTGACACGGAGACATGAGGCTGAAAATAATTATAACATTCTTTTTTTTTTTTTTTTTGAGCCAGAGTCTCTATCGCCCAGGCTGGAATACAGTGACATGATCTTAGCTCACTGCAACCTCCACCTCCCAGGATCAGGGGATTCTCTTGCCTCAGCCTCCTGAGTAACTGGGACTATAGGCACACAACACCACGCATGGGTAATTTTTGTATTTTTAGTAGAGATGGGGTTTTGCCATGTTGGCCAGGATGATCTTGAACTCCTGACCTCGTGATCTGCCCACCATGGCCTCCCAAAGTGCTGGGATTACAGGCATAAGCCACTGCGCCCGGCCAGCAGTCATGGATTTTATATTGGAAATTAAATCCCATATCTTGCTCACTGAAACGTGCTGAACACAATGGATAAATCAAACCATCAAAAGAGTATGTGCAAGACATCTATACAGCTGAAAACAAGGATTTTATCCCCAAAAATACCTGCACACAAAGAAGTATGGTAGGATAGAAGTCCAAGTCTAGATATGAAACACTGCACCCGGAATTATCTGTGGGAGGCAGGGCTGCGCCAGTGGTTTACCTCCGCCTCTCTGGAAAACACAACCATCCTGGAAATCGAAGCATGTCTTCTACGCTCCATTTTCAGACTCTTTAACAGAACTCATAGAAAAACCTTGAAAAGCTACAGGAAAATAAGCCAACAAACCACAGATAAAGCCAACTAAGTATTATACAAATAATTAGCATAATTGGAAATTGTTCTGGCTTTACCAGTACAATCTTTTGGATTATTCCTCCAGAGATAAAAAAATAAGTGGTTAAATATTTTGTGACTTGAGTGTGACAGAAAATGACATCACTGAATATAGTCACACAAGCACTGATCCCAATTCAAGGTAACACCTGTTACTGACATGCACATTTGGTCCCTTACTAAAATAAGAAGAGGCTATGTTGCAAAACCATGTTGGTGTATCTTCTAAAGCCAGAAGAGGCAAAAACCACGAAGACAGATTAGAACACCAACAGTACAGGAAAATGACAAGTCTTCTTTCTATGCAACTCCATACTCTCTTACATATGGGATCTGTGTCTGCACTGGAAGCATATCAAATCGAAGTCCACATTTAAACAGAAAAGGTATATGCACAAACAAAAGTGAAATGGAATATTTCTTGTAGGATCCTCCTGGTTCCACTGCTTTTTCTCTTATTCTGACCAGTAGCCGAGTACAGCTGTGAAAGTTAGAAGAG